>NW_025791796.1:361322-722645 GCF_000001405.40 Homo sapiens
AAAAAAAAACTAAAAATTTTTGCACATCAAAAGACAATCAAGAAAGGCAAAAGATAACCCACAGATGGGAGAACATATTTATAAGTAATGTATCTTGATAAGTGTCTTGTAGCCGGTTGAATGGTACCCATCAAAAAGATATGTCCATGTCCTCACTTTCTAAACTGTGAATGTGACCTTGTTGAGAAAAATGATATTTGCAGATGTAATTAAGAATCTTTAGGTGATCATCCTGGAGAACTTGAGAGGGCTCTAAATCCAATGACAAGTGTCCTTATAAGAGAAAGAAGAGAAGACAATAATACAGAGAAGAAGGTCATGTACAGCTGGTGGCAGAAGTTGAATTTATGCAACCACAAGCCAAGGAATATCTGGACTCGCCAGAAGCTTCACGTGGCAAGGAAGAACTTTTCCAAGAACCTTTGAAGGGAGCCTGGCCCTGTCAACACCAGACTTCTAGCCTCCAGAAATGGGAAATAAGGAATTTCTGTTGTTTAAAGCCGCCAAGTTTGTGGCAATTTGTTATGGCACCCCTAGAAAACCAGCACAGGCTAATATGTAGACTATATAAAGAACCCTTACAATTCAACAATAAAAAGACAACCCATGAAAAATGAGCCAAATGTTTGAATAGAGATTTCTCTGAAAAAGATATACAAATTGCCAACTAAGAAGCACATGAAGAGATGTTCAACATCATTAGTCATATGGGAAACTTATATAAAAACCACAATGAGATGCCACTTTATATCCACTAATCGGCCATAATTAAAAATAAGAAATAATAAAATAAAATAAGTATTGGTGAGAGTGTGAAGAAATAGGAGTGCTACCTTACCTGCTGCAGGTAAGAATGTAACATTCTGCAGCCACTAAGGAAAACAGATTGGCAGTTCCTCATTTTTAAACATAAAGTTACTATATGATCCAGCAGTTCAACTAGTATGTATATACCCAAGAGAATTGAAAACAGGTGCTCAAAAAATTGTTCACATAAATATTTTTAGAACTATTCACAATAGCCAAAGGTAGAACATCAGCTGATAATTGGATAAACAAAAAGTGGTATATTCATATGATATAATACTATTAAGTCATAAAAAAATGAATGAAGTTCTGACACGCTACAATATGGATGAATCGTCAAAAGATTATGCTAAGTGAAAGAAACAAGACATGAAAAAGGCCACATATGATTCTATTTATGTAAAATGTCCAGGCAGAAAATGGACTAGTAGTATCACTCCACCTATTGAAGGATCTTGGTTGTTTCCAAGATCCAGTAATTATGAATGATGGATCATTCAAAATTGAATGATTTACACATTTGTATGCAGGTTTTTCTGTTGACACAAGTATTCAGCTCATTTAGGTGAATACCAAGGGGCATAACTGCTGGATCTTATTGTAAGAATATGTTTGGTTTAATGAGAAACTGCTGAACTGTCTTCCAAAGTGGTTGTACCATTTTGCATTTCCATCAGTAGCAAATGAGAGTTCTTATTGCTCTACATCCTTGCCAGCATTTGGTGCTGTCACTGTTATGTTCTGGCTGTTCTAATAGGTATGTAGTGGCATCTCTTAATTTGCAATCTGCTAATGATTTATATCTTCCAAAGTGGTTGTACCATTGTGCATTTCCATTTGTAGTGAATGAGAGTTTCTATTGTTCCACAACCTTGCCAGCATTTGGCTCTGTCACTCTTATGTGTTTTCATGTGTTTTGGCTATTCTAATAGATATGTAGTGGTATCTCTTAATTTGCAATTTCCAAATGATTTATGTTGTTGAGCATCTTCTCATATCCTTATTTACTATCTATATGTCTTCTTTAGTGAGTATTCTAGTCAGGTCAGGTCACTCATTTTCTCATTGTTGAGTTTTAGGAGGTTTAAGAGTTGTTTGCAAAAATTTTCTCCAATTCTGAAAGTTACATGTTTACTCTGCTCATAGTTTCTTTTGCTGTGTAGAAGTTCTTTAGTTTAATTAGATCCCATTTGTCAATTTTTGCTTTTGTTGCAATTGCTTTTGGCATCTCCATCATGAAATCTTTACCCGTTTCAATGTCCAGAATGGTATTACCTAGGTTGTCTTTCAGAGTTTTTATAGTTTTCGGTTTCAAAGTTTTAATATCCAGTATCTATAAGGAAATTAAACAAATTTAGAAGAAGAAGGGCAAACAAACCCATTAAAAATGAGCAAAGGACATGAACAGACACTTCTCAAAAGAAGACATACATGCGGCCAACAAGCATATGGGGAAAAAAAAAACCTCTACATCGCTGATCATTAGAGATATGCAAATCAAAATCACAATGAGTTACCATCTCACACCAGTCAGAATGGCTATCACTAAAAAGTCAAAAAATCACAGATGCTGGTGAGGATACAGAGAAAAAGGAACACTTATACGATGTTAGTGGGAGTGTAAATTAGTTCAACCATTGTGGAAAGCAGTCTGGAGATTCCTCAAAGACCTAAAAACAGAAATACCATTTCACTCAGCAATCCCATTACTGGGTATACATCCAAAGAAATGTAAATAATTCTATCATAAAGACACATGCACACTTATGTTCATTGCAACCTAATGCCTATCAACGGTAGACTGCAGAAAGAAAATATGGTACATATACACCATGAAATACTATGCAGGCATAAAAAAAACAAAATCATATCCTTTTTAGGAACATGGATGGTGCTGGAGGCCATTATTCTTAGCAACCTAACAAAGGAACAGAAAATCAAATACTGCATGTTCTCACTTATAAGTGGGAGCTAAATGATGAGAAGACAGGGATACATATAGGGAAACAACAAATGCTGAGATCTCCTGGGGTGTGGAGAGTGGGAGAGGGAGAGGATCTGGAAAAATAACTAATGGGTTTTAGGCTCAATACCTGGTACTAATTTGTACAACAAACCTTCATGTCAGGGGTTTACCTATATAGCAGACCTGCACATGTACCCAGGAACTTGTAATAAAATTTTTTTTAAAAGTTCATTGTATATAGTTCAATAGATATGTCTTTTTCAAATGTTATCTATTATAAATTTAAACCATTTGTAAATGGCATTGTGCTTTTAATTTCAAATTCTTCTTGTTTATTGCAGATATATAAGAAAGTGATGGACTATTGAATATTAACATTGTATCCTGCAACCTTACCATAATCACATATTACTTCCAGGAGTTTCCCACGTTTTTATTATCATTCAGGTTACAAATATTTCACTCCCATTGTGATTACTTCATTTTCTCATAGTGCTTTTTAGGGTGGAATATATATTCTCCAAACATTTGGTTATATTTTACTTAACTATGTTACTGGGTTCCAAATGAATCTTACAATGATCTGGAAACATTCACTGTATGATGTTGATTCTTTAAAACTTGCTTTTCTTAATCAGAATAGTATCTGTTTTGTTAAATGCTCTATGTACCTTTGCAAAAGAATGCATATTCTGAAGTTATTTCATGTGTGATTTTCTTTTAAAAATATATCAATTGATGTTAATCAACCATGTTGTATAAGACCCCTATAATCTTACTGATATTTTTATCTGATTGTTTTCTTACTCAGAGCAGTGAATTAATATCCACAGAGATTTTATTTTTATTTATCCTGCTGTATTAGTTTGTTCTCATGCTGCTCTGAAGAAATACCCAAGACTGGGTAGTTCATAAAAGAAAGAGGTTTAATTGACTCACAGTTCAGCATGGCTGGGGAAGCCTAAGGAAACTTACAATCATTGCTGAAGGCAAAGGAGAAACAAGCACCTTCTTCACAGGGTGGCAGGATGGAGTGAGGGCAAGCAGGGAAAATGCCAGATGCTTATAAAACCATCAGATCTCATGAGGCTCACTTACTATCATGAGAACAGCATGGGGGAAACTGCCCCCCATGATTCAATTACCCCCACCTGGTCCTACCCTTGACACATGGGGATTACAATTCAAGGTGAGATTTGGGTGGGGACACAGACTCAAACCATATCATTGCATCCCTGGCCACGCCCAAATCTCATGTACTCACATTTCAAAACACAATCATGCTGTTTCAACAGTTCCTCAAAGTCTTAACTCTTTCCAGCATTAACCCAAAAGTCTAAGCCCAAAGTCTCATTTCAGACAAGACAAGTCCCTTCTGCCTGTGAGCCTGTAAAATCAAAAGCAAGTTACTTCCTAGATACAATGGGGATACAGGCATTGAATAAATACAGCCATTCCAAATGGGAGAAATGGGAGAAATTGGCCAAAACAAAGGGGCTAGAGGCCCCATACAAGTCCAAAATCCAATAGGGCAGTCATTAAACCTTAAAGTTCCAAAATATATCTCCTTTGACTTCATGTCTCACATCCAGGTCACAGTGATGCAACAGGTGGGCTCCCAAAGCCTTGAGCACATCTGCCCCTGTTTTCTTTTTTTTGTTTTGTTGATCCTCTGTACTATTTTTTGGACTGCATTTTATTTAGCACTGCTCTGATCTTTGTAATTTCTTTCCTTCTACTAATGTTGCACTTGCTTTGTTCTTGTTTTTCCAATTCCTTGAGGTATGACAGGTTATTAATTTGTAATTTTACTACACTTTTATATAAGCATTTAATGCTATAAGTCCCTCTTACCACTGCTTTTGCTGTATCCAACAGGCTTTGGTATATTGTGTTTCCATTTTTATTGGTTTTATAATTTTAAAAACATCTCTGTCTTAATTTTTTTCATTGACCCAATTCAGGAGCATGTTGCCTAATCTTTCATGTATTTGTTTAGTTTCCAAAGTTTCTCTTAGTATTGACTTCTAGTTTCATTCAACCGTGATTGAATAAAATATTAAGAACATACTTTGATATTATTTAATATTTTAAAATTTGTTGAGACTTGTTTTGTGACCCAACACATGGTCTATCTTGGAGAATGTTCCATGTGCTGATGAGATGTATATTTTGCAGTTGTTGGATAGAATGTTCTGTAAAAGTAGTTAAGCTTATTTGGTCTAATGTCCAATTTAAGTCCAATACTTCCTTGTTGATTTTCTGTCTCAATTATCTGTCTAGTGCTATGAGCAGGGCATTGAAGTCCCCCACTATTAGTGTATTACTGTCTATGTCTTCCTTTGGGTCTAGTAATATTTGTTTTATAAATCTGGGTTCTCCAATGTCGGGTACATATATATTTAGGACTGTTATATCTTCTTATTGAATTGATCCCTTTTTCACTATATAATGACCTGTAGTCTGTAGTGTTGCCAACTTGATTCTTTTCTCTTTCTTTCTCCATTGTGTGATTTTTCTATAAGACCTGAGGGTTTTATACTCTGTGTTCTCATGATGAAAAGTATTGTGCTTTTGTTTCCAAGTTTAGAACTTCTTCAACAATTTCCTGTAGGTCCAGTCTAGTGACAGATTCCTTCACCATTTGCCTGACTGGGAAATAATTTATTTCTCCTTCATTTATGAAGCTTGATCTTGTTGTATATAGAATTCTTGGCTAGCATGTTTTTTTTTCCTTTCAGCACTTTAGTTATGCCATCTCATTCTCTTCTGACCTGTAAGGTTTCTGCTGAAAAAATTGTTGTTGGTCTAAAGTGGCTTCCTTTTTAAGTGACAAGAAGCTTTTCTATTGCTGATTTTATAATTCTTTCTTTCATTTTGAGTTTAGACGGTCTAATGATTATATCGCATGGTGACAGATTGTGTGTGTGTGTGTGTGTGTGTGTGTGTGTGTGTGTGATGTATTCACTGGGGTTTGTTGGTACTCTGGGATCTGGATGTCTAAATCTCTTGCTAGACTTAGGAAGTTTTCATCTATTATTTTATAAACTGTATTTTCTAAGGCTTCATATCTTTCTTCCTCCTAAAGAATACCAGTAATTTGTACATTAGATTACTTTATGTAGTCCCAAATGTCTCAAAGGCTTTGTTTATTCTTTTTCTTCATTTTTTATCTAACTAGATTATTTCAAGAGACCTATCTTTGTGTTCTAAAATTATTTATTCTGCTTAGTCTAGCCTATTGTTGAAGGTTTCAAGTGTATTTTGTATGTCCTTCAATGAAGTTTTTAGTGCTAAAATATCCTTTTTTAATATTTATCTTTTTAAATTTCTCATTCATTTCCTAAATACATTTTCTGATTTCTTTGTATTGGTTTTCAGATTTATCTTACATCTCACTGAGTTTATTTAAAATCAATATTTTGAATTCTTGATATGGTATTTCTAGAATTTCTCTTTGGCTAGAATCTATTGCTGGAGAATTATTGTGTTCCTTTGAGCGTGTCATATAACCTTGCTTTTTAAAGTTTCCTGCATCTTTACATTGATTTTTGCACATCTGGAGTGATAGTCACTTCTTATTTTCAAATTTACTTTCACTGGGGAGGGTCCTTTTACTCAAAGACATGACTATGATGTTGCTTGGTTAGGGGCATTTGGTTTAGCTTCTTGGTACATACAGTAGTGAATATTCTGTATAATTTCTTTGGCTATAAATAGCATTAGTGGTATGTGTGCTTTCCTTGGCTTAATATGGTGCAGTGATTTGCGGGGCTGTGGTGAAGGTGTGCTGGGGAGGGGAATGCCAGATGGCCCTATCTTCAGATTTCAATGGTAAAGGTGTTGGGCTAAGTGGGTCTATTCTTGTAATCTAGAACAGTGTTTCCTCATGTCTGCTTGGCAGTTGCAGGCAGGCTGATTCTTGAGCCTCTGGACGGCTTTCTTGAATGCCAGTTGCAGTAGCAGCGTATTGGGTGGGTGAGTGGGCTCTGGACTTCCTTGGCAGCCAATGTGGCATGGGCAATGGCAGTAGCAGTGGACACAAGATGCTCTTCAAGTTCTTGAGTTCTGTGTTCTTGTGTTAGCAGTGGTTGCAATGGGTTGTATGGACTGGCCTCCAGGCCAGTAGGTGACACTTTCAGTTAAAAGTCAGCTGTACGGTATTGGTAGGACTTTGATGTCCTACCTCTGTTCCCCAAGAAAGGTGCTTCAGTGTCCCGGGTAGCATACTGGGGTGTGGAACACCCAGGAATCTGAATCCCACAATCTGTCTCAAGGGTGGGTGGGGCAGTGCTGGGATTGGGGTTCCCATTTCAAGTGCCAGCAGCTGGAGACCACGCCATGCTCACTTCTCAGGCTGAGTTATGAAAGCTCATTCCCTTCTCAAGCCCTGATTCTGCAATCAACACCTGTTTTCCCTGTTGGCTAGGAATGAGATAAATGCTTCCAGGATCCTGCACAGTTTGTTAAGAGCTAGGGTCAAGAATGGCATCTTATGGTAGCCACTTAGGTTGCAAAAAGGTCATGTGACACTTCCTAAAGCAGTTTCTTCTTATAATCTCCTGGTTGCTCCCTAAGTTAGATTCGGGATTTGGGAGGGTCAAAATGCTCTCCCACGGCTAGATTGCATGATTACCTGGTAAGAAAATAGACCACAGAAAGGCACTCACTCACTCTTTCACTTATTGGGATTTACTCCAGCATAAACAGCTGGAGTCTTACGCCTGCTACGTGGTTGCTTGTTTTCTGTTTCCTAGATTTTAAAGTTTCAATTTCCTGTTGATCTCCCATGTTCCTCCTTGAATAATGTATTAAAAATATGATTGTCTGCAACCTATTTTGGTTCATTTAAGTGGATGAGGCATGCTGGAAATGCTTCTAGTCAGCATTTTGTGGGGAAAATTTTAAAACACAAGTTGTATATTTCTTAGAAATTTATCCATTTCTTCTGGACTCTCCAATTGGTTGGAATGTAACTGCACATAGCAGTCTCTCATGAGCCTTTGTATTTCTGTAGTATAAGTTGTAACGTTGCCTCTTTTGACTATAATTATATTTTTCAGAGTCATCTTGTTTTTCTTAGGTAGTGTAGCCAAAGGTTTCTCAACTTTGTTCATTTTTTTCAAAAAATCAACTCTTAATTTCATTTATTTTTTCTATTTTTTTCTTTTTTTCTATTTTTTCTTTCTAGTCTGTATTTCATTTAAATTAGCTTTCTACTAGTTTTAGGCACAGTGTGCTCTTTTTCTAGTTTCTTTGGGTATAATGTCAGGTTGTCTATTTGTATTCATATTTTTCCTAATGTAGTCATTTACTACTATACTTCTCTCTGACCCCAAATTTTATGTTATTGATGTCACAATTTACCTCTTTTTTAAATTGTGCAACCATTAACATATTGTGTAACTATAGTTATTTTTAATTATTTTATCTCTTAATTTATATACTATTGTCAAAATAGTTGTTTATCTGCATTACAATATTAGAGTCATCTGAAGTTGATTACATACTTACCTTTACCAGTGAGTTTCATACTTTAATGCTAATGTTACTAATTAGCATCCTTTGTTTAACTTTCTTATAAACAGAATCAAGTAGTGATAAACTTCCTCATATTATAAAAAAAATAATCAAACACTTCAATATACCTCCCTCATTAATTAATAGAAGTGGTAATCAAAAATTTATCAGACTTGTAGTTGACCTGAAGAACACTATGAACCAATTAGAAGTTAGTGACATTATAAAACACTTTCACAAATAAACATTGGAATACTCCTTCTTTTCAAGTTTATCAAGTTAGACCATATTCTGGGTCATAAAACAGGTGTCAACAAATTTAAAAGTATTTAAGTGACATAGAGTTCTGTACACAAACATAACAGTTTTATTTGTAGTAGCCAAAGATTGGAAACCACCCAAATGTCCCTCAGAGGATGAATCAATAACTCAATTGTAGTATATACATATGGAATACTACTGAGCAATAAAAGGAATGCACCATTCTAACACACAACAATATGATAAATATCAAAATAAGTATGCTGATTAAAAGAAGACAGAAAAAATAAGAGTACATAATACTAGATTTTACATGCTACAAAACTACAAAACATGCAAACTTGCAAACTAATAATTAGAACACATTTTAGTGTTTGTCTGGGAAGAAAGATGTGTGGAGGGATTATTAAAAGGGGTTATCAAGGAACAAGAGGATACTTCGGGGACTGAGGCATATCTCTATCTTGATTGCAATGATATTTTAATAGTTATATACATGTCAAAACATATTAAATTGCACACATTAAATATGGATAGTTTATTATATGTCAATTGGACTTCAAGAATGTTGTCTTAAAATCTAAGAGGGCAAAATAAATGTATTTTAAACTGACATCTATTTTCTTGTTTAAAGATCTAAATAGCGGTCCCCAACCTTTTAGGCAACAGGGACCAATTTCATGGAAGACAACTTTTCCACAGAATGGGAGTGAGGGTTGGTTTTGGGATGAAACAGTTTCACCTCAGATCATCAGGTGTTAGATTTTCATAAGGAGCACACAACCTAGATCCCTAGAATGTGAGGTTTACAATAGGGTTCATGCTTCTATGAGAATCTGACAGGAGGTGGAGCTCAGGCAGTAGTGCTTACTCTCCCAGTGGCTCACCTCTTGCTGTGTGGCCAGCCACAGAATAGCACCTGCCTGTGGCCCAGGGGTTAGGGACCCCTAGATGTAAAGATATCAATAATTTGACATTCAGTGCATAACTGTCAGAAACTCAAGCAACCATAGAACATATGGAAACACATCAGTCATCTGACCAAGATTATCTGCCTATTTAGAAAACATTTACATACAGTAGGGCATTCCATCCCTATAATAATTGTTTGTTGGTGGTCATGCATTACATTAGTGGGAATACAAATTCTGTTGCAACTGAAACAAAATCTTACTTGAATCTCATGGCATAGCTAGGGTTACATATAAGATTGTACAACACATTGCCTTAGTGCATATAGGTCAAATGAAGAATTTTTTTAAACTTTACTACTTTTTTCATTTTTAATTATTATGAATACATAACAGTTGTATGTATTTATGAGATACATGTGATATTTTTATATAACTATACTGTATGTAATCAAGCATTTATCATTTCTTTGTGTTAGGAGCATTCTAATTCCATTTTTTAGTTATGTGCAACTACATGGATGAAACTAGAAGACTTTATGTTAAATGAAATAAGCCAGGCAAAGAAAGATAAACATCACATTATGGCTAACATGTTGAAGCTTAAAAAAAAAAAAAAAACTTATGGAGATAGAGAGTTAAATAATGAAAACCAGAAGAGTTTTGGGAAGAGTGGTGGAGATGGGAGGATAAAGAGGAGGGAGATGGTTAATGGGTATAACTTTAAAAGTCTTTGAAATGACAAAAGTTTCCTAGGTAGCAGAGTGTAGGAATCACCTATAGTCCCAACCAAGACAAAGTTTTAACCATTTATTAATATTCTGCAATAATTTGCTGCTAATTTTTTTCTCCAGCAAATTCTTATCTTTAGAATTAAAGAAAATTTAGTCACAATCCATGTTCACTGAATATTAAAAATACTATTATAAACCGTTGAAAAACAATTATACACATCAGTTTTAATAACTCAATATTCCAGAGTAGGGATGGTGTAATTTTTGGCGATTTCAATAATGAGATACATTGTTGTTTTTTTTTTTCCTCCTCATAAATCCCTTTTATTAACAAGAGGACAAAGCACACCTTCTGCATAAAGCTTTGCCCACAATTAGGACAGGTAATTTGAAGCAGACCTTTGTGGCCAGATACAAAAGAGTGCATATTGGGTAATTCCTCTCATTTGAAGGTCAAAATAGGCAAACGAAATCTTTGTTCTTGAATATCTACACTGGGTGTGGTGGCTCATGCCTGCAATCCTAGTACTTTGGGAGGCCAAGGCAAGCAAATCACCTGAAGTCAGGAGTTCAAGACCAGCATGGCCAACATGGTGAAACCCCCTGTCTACTAAAAATACAAAAATGTAGCTGGGCATGGTGGCACACGCCTGTACTTCCAGCTACTCAGGAGGCTGAGGCAGGAGAATGGCATGAACCCCCGAGGCGGAGCTTGCAGTGAGTGGAGATTGCGCCTCTTCACTCCAGCCTGGGCGACAGAGAGAGACTCCGTCTCAAAAAAAAAAAAAAAAAAAAAAAAAAAAAAAAAAAAAAAAAAAAAACTAAAAACATTAATGTAAGGGTAGTAAACTAAATAAGGAATACATTTTTGTGACAATTGACAGCAGATTAGAATGACTATAGTTGACAACAATACATTGTACATTCCAAATTAGAAGAGAGGACTAGAGATAGAATCTTGCTCTGTTGCCGAGGCTGGAGTGCAATGGTGTAATCCTAGCTCACTTCAGCCTCCAATTCCTGGACCCAAGTGACCCTCTAGCCTCAGCCTCCTGAGTAGCTGAGACTACAGACATGTACCACCACACCTGTCTAATTTTTGTATTTTTTATAGAGGTGGGGTTTTGCCATGGTGCCCAGGCTGGCCTCTTAACTCCTTGGCTCCAGCAATCCACATGCCACAAGCCTGCCAAAGTGCTGAGACTATAGGCATGAGTCATCACACTGAGTGAGCCATAAGATATTTTTTGAACTCATGTGAAAGCACAGTTAAAAGCCCCACAATGGCAGGATCTGCAACAGTGAGAATTCAGATATAACACAACTGACAACTGGCTTCCACCCTCTGCAAGAGGTCAAGCCCAGAGACAGTAACAATTTTTCAACAATGTAAAATTGTGTTTCCTATGATTAAAATTTTTGGACCCCACATATAACCTAAAGACAGGTTATATAGCTTAAAGCAACATATAAGCTATAAGTCCCTTAATATATAAACTAGTGCCAGGCATGGTGCTGCATGCTTGTAATCCTAGCACTTTGAAAGGCCAAGTTGAGTGGATTACTTGAGCCCATTAGTTGATTTTTGAAAAAGGTTTTATGGCAAGTAAGCGGGGAAGGAATGGTCTTTTCAACAGATGCTGCTGGTACATCACATGCAAAATGATGACTTTAAACTCTTACCTCACAATATGTGCAAAAAATAACTCACAATGGATCTTACTCCTAAACAAGAGATAAAACTATAAATTTCAGGAAGAAAATCTAAGTCTAAACCTTTGTGACCTTAGGTTGGACAAAGATTCTTTAGATACAACACCAAGAGCGTAGTAATAAAAGAAAACTTGAAAAACTGAATTTCACCAAAGCAAAAGCTTTTGAGCTATAAAAGACATCACCAAGAAAATGAAACAACTAGCCAGACAGAAACAATATGTGCAGAATCGTATTTCTGATAAAAGACTTGTATCCAGAACATATCAAGAACTCCTATAACTCATAAAAGAAGAAAAACACAATTTTTAAATGGGCAGACACTTACATAGACATGTCACCAAAAAAAATAAATAAAAAGTAAAACAAAATAAAATCTTCATGCATTTGGGTTACGCAATGGTTTCTTAAATATGAAGTCAAGGCCGGATGCAGTGGCTCAAGCCTGTAATCCCAGCACTTTGGGAGGCCAAGGCAGGTGGATCACGGTGTCAGGAGATAGAGACCATCCTGGCTAATACAGTGAAACCCCGTCTCTACTAAAAATACAAAAACTTAGCCGGGTGTGGTGGCACGTGCCTGTAGTCCCAGCTACTCAGGAGGCTGAGGCAGGAGAATTGCTTGAACCCAGGAGGCGGAGCTTGCAGTGAGCCGAGGTCATGCCACTGCACTCCAGCCTGGGCAACAGAGTGAGACTCTGTCTCAAAAAAAAAAAAAAAAAAAAAAAAAAAAAAGTTAAGTGAAAGGCACAAGTCCCAAGAGAATAATCTGGTTTCTATCAAAATTAAAAATTTTTCTGCCTCAAAACAGTACTACCAAGCAAGGGAGAAGACAACTTATATATTAAGAATAATGTAGAATTATTAGAATTGGAGAAAATATTTCCAAATCCTACACCACAGCCTGCATGAAAGTGTGACATCCTGTCTCACACGCAATTTTTTTTTAATCATCAATCAATTAGGTACTTATATCGAGGCTATGTAAAAAACTCTTATGACTCAATAATAAAAAGACAAACCCAATTTTAAAATGTGAAGAGGATCTAAATAGACATTACTCCAAAAAACATATGTAAATGACCAATAAGCACATTGAAAGATAACACAAACCTGTAATCCAAGCACTTTGGGAAGCCTAGGCAGGTGGATTGCTTGAGCCCAGGAGTTTGACACCAGCCTGGGCAATGTGAGGAAACCCCATCTCTACAAAAAAAAAAAAAAAAATTCAAAAATTAGCCAGGTATGATGGTGCACACCTATAGTCCCAGCTACTCAAGACCTGAGGCAGGAGGATCACCTGAGCCAGAAAGGTTGAGGCTGCACTGAGCCCAGATCATGCCACTGGACTCTAACCTGAGTGACAGAGTGAGACTCTGTCTCAAAAAAAAAAAAGTGTAAGGTAAGAGAACATCAATAGTCACTAGAGAAATATAAAACAAAACAAAAAAAAAACCAAAATGAGATACCACTTCACACCGATTTACAATGGCTAACATCAAGAAGACAGTAAGTTGGCAGCAATGTGGAGAATTTGAACACTTATAATGTGCTGCTGGAATATAAAATGGTACAGCTACTTGGGAAAACAACTGGTCAGTTTCCTAAAAGTTCAGTGTAAATGTACCCTATTCCTAGTAATTATACTCCTAGGCATATATACAATGTATGAGATATTAAGGTATATGTCCAGACAAAAACTTGCTCAAGCATGGTCACTGTAGCATTACTCATAACAGCAAAAAATGAAAACAACAGAATCATCAAGTGATGATTAGACAAACAGGTGGTACGTTCATAGAATACTTAATGCTCAGCAGTAATAAGGAGCTACTGATACACACAACAAGCCCAATGAGCCTGAGGTGAATTATGCTCAGTGAAAAAAAACTAATTTCTATAGGAAATACATTATATATTCAATTTCTATATCATAATTCAGAGATGGGGTAATAAAAGCATCCTAAAATTAGATTGTGATGATGGTTGTAAAATCATTTTAAAAAAATTTTAAGACTGTAAATTTACTATCAGTGAATTAAATACTCAGACAGGTGAATTTTATGGTGCATCAATTATACCTCAATAAAGGTGCTAAAAATTAATCTTTTCACTACAATGAGAATAAAACAAAGATTAACAGAAAACAAAATGTGTGTGTTCATGTACGTATTATTTTCCCTTTTATCCCTACATTGTGAAGAGTATTCCAATGATATTGGTTATTTCCTTTCAAAAGTCTAAAAAAAATTGGCTCCAAAGGGTACCACTCTTTATCATTTTTTTCTCTTCAAATGAAATGGCTAAACTTCCCTAAAGGAAGTTGAAATCCTTCTCATTCTCCAAGGGCTCATCCAAATGCCCTCTCCCTCATGAAATTCTTCCTGAACTATAAAGGAATCCAACCCCTAATGAACATTCGCAGCACTTTCTCTGAACCATTCTTACAGCAGGGATGTGAGGCTCTTGCTATGGTCATTTTACAAACTTTTCTCCCTTCCATGAGACTCCGAGAACTCCAAAGCCATAATGCTTATACACAGTTGTGTATCCCCTCCCCACCTAATTCTGTGCCCAAAAATGCCATGCCTATTCAATGACATTAGGTCATTAATCCTACTCATAATGCTTGGAAGTGGGGGCAGATCTATGAACTTACATAGAAAACAAGTAGCTGATCTGAAAACAAAAAACAAGTCTCTACTTTTTCAGCTCAATGAACTTTTCTTGGATTATATAAATATCTAAGCAGCCCATCTGAAAATGTCTTACATCGTATTCTCAAAGAAAATAAAAGAGAAACCATTAAAGTGTATTAAAATCTAGCAAAACGGGATTAGGAAGCCAGCCAGCGATCAAGGAAGCAAAGCAATCACTAATCTAGATGCTTCTTTGGCTCTAAGAAAGATCTGCAATAAAACAAAACTAATAAAACATGAATACACAAAATTAATGACAGCATAAATTTAAATGAATTGCGCTAACCGAGAATTTTTAAAATATATTAACATAAGCTGAATATTCAAATTTATATGAATAAACCATCGATGGGCATGAAGGGAGAAAACAGCTCACCACTTAATAATAACTGAAACCCCGGCTATGTTCTCCAAAATCCATTTCAGGGTTGCAAGATCATAATTCTCAGGGTGTTTAAAGCAACACCTTCTGGAAGCCCCTGTACTATCAAAGCTGACTGGTCTTGTAGCATCTTCTCATATGGTACAGGTACCTCTGTGGGTTTTTGTAAAGCTTTCCCTGGGGGAGGTGAAAAGCAGATAAATGTCATTAAATTGTAAGATTAAAAAGCAAAATCATCACTACCTTATTGTGGCTTAATAAAGGCATACATGGTCTTTTGTAATATGTGATTTTAAAATGACTTAATACTACAGCACCCTATTCACATGTAAGAAGTTCTAAACCTGACACCAATCCAAAGGGCCACAATGAAAAGTATATTAAATATATGACTTTAAAAACTACACAAAAGGAGAGAAAAATGTCTGATTTCTTGCATTATTGTCTTTTTTTTAATTATACTTTAAGTTTTAGGGTACATGTGCACAACGTGCAGGTTTGTTACATAAGTATACATGTGCCATGTTGGTGTGCTGCACCCATTAACTCATCATTTAGCATTAGGTATATCTCCTAATGCTATCCCTCCCCCTTCCCCCCACCCCACAACAGTCCCCAGAGTGTGATGTTCCCCTTCCTGTGTTCATGTGTTCTCATTGTTCAATTCCCACCTATGAGTGAGAACATGTGGTGTTTGGTTTTTTGTCCTTGCAATAGTTTGCTGAGAATGATGGTTTCCAGCTACATCCATGTCTCTACAAAGGACATGGACTCATCATTTTTTATGGCTGCATAGTATTCCATGGTGTATATGTGCCACATTTTCTTAATCCAGTCTATCATTATTGGACATTTGGGTTGGTTCCAAGTCTTTGCTATTGTGAATAGTGCCACAGTAAACATTTATGCAGCCAAAAGACACATGAAAAAATGCTCATCATCACTGGCCATCAGAGAAATGCAAATCAAAACCACAGTGAGATACCATCTCACACCAGTTAGAATGGCGATCATTAAAAAGTCAGGAAACAACAGGTGCTGGAGAGGATGTGGAGAAAGAGGAACACTTTTACACTGTTGGTGGGACTGTAAACTAGTTCAACCATTGTGGAAGTCAGTGTGGTGATTCCTCAGGGATCTAGAACTAGAAATACCATTTGACCCAGCCATCCCATTATTGAGTATATACCCAAAGGATTATAAATCATGCTGCTATAAAGACACACGCACACGTATGTTTATTGCGGCACTATTCACAACCAGTATTTCTTAAGCTCTTACTGATCAGGCACTGGTCAAGGTACTCCATTTCATACAGTAATCTTTGCAACGGCCCTTAAGGCATAATTATGACCATTTTATAGTTAAGGAAACTAAGAAAGTATTAATTTCCTATGACTAGTAAAGAAAACTCTTGACTCTAAATCCAGGACTTTTTCTATCTTGTATAGCTGCCTACCACTTGTCCCAATCTGGAAAATTATCTTATCCTTACTTTTTAAAGTACTTTCTAGAAACAGATTGCCCAACATTACAGACGTGGCAGCCCCCTCACTGAACCTGCGCAAACAAAAAAGAGGAGGCAAGCGTGTTGTCATGAGACATCTCTGGGCTGGCTGAGGAGGGGGGTCAACCAAGTTGGGTGTCCAGACTTCTACTGTACTGAACTTTGGGGGAACATTAAAGTATCAGGGAAATGCCTTCTTATCACACTGCATGTGACACAGCTTGGCTCATTCAGTCATAGTCTATCTTCACCCCACTTTCTGGGGTTGACTAATTTAATGAGTAAACAGATTTTTTTAAGTAGTTTTTGTTGTTAATTAACTTGGTCCAAGCAGCCTGGGTACAAAAACACAGTGTTGTGCCCGTGTTCACATTGCCCTCTACAGCCAATGCAGGGTGAATCAGCTAGATTTTTTCTTTTTCTTTTGTTTTGTTTTTTTACTTTCTTTTCTTTTTCTTTTTTTTTTCAATCCAGCCGGGATTTCTGGCAGGTAAACATCATAGTTTCTTCTGCACAGAAGAGATGAGTAATAAAAGGTAAGTAACAATACAGTCTGGTTAAGACTGTTAGCTCAAAAGAACATAAAGCCATTCTGCAAAAGTATAGCCACCCAAAGTCATTCTGCCTTGAGGTGTTTCCAAACAGTGATTGGGAAAGGACGCAAAAAAATGTAAAGTTTTTTTCTTCTCTTCAAGTTTCCTGCTAAACCTATCTTAACATTGGATCGCTAATATCAGGTTCCACTGTTTATGTAACTAGAATGGTAACCAATGGATTTTGCAGACTCATATTCCCAATCCAGAAAATCAAAGACCTGTTTCAACAAGACAAAATTAAACCTGATTCTATTCCTCAGCTCCATCTACCCTTGATGGCTGGGGAACTCTTTTAACAGAAGTGAGAAGCAGCTACCTACTATTAATTTGAACATTTTACTCCTGAAATTGGTAAATTGCATTACCAAATAGCATGAATTAATGAGTTAGTTCACTATCTCAAAAGAGAAAAGTGATTTCAAATAGATCCAAGGGTCCTTTGTTCCACAGACACACAATCTGAGTCAGCCTTGCCCAAAATTATTGTGTGGATGTGATCCCTTTCTGGGAAATAAGAAAGTGTATTTATTCATTCATTTTATGGGTATTTATTGAAAGCTTTCTAAGTACAAAGCACTGTGCTAATGCCTAATCACCTCTGGTGAAGTAACTTCTCAAATTGACTTCAAGCCAGTGACAAAATTCTATTTGAAATTTGATGCTCAGGAAGATGCTGTTGAGTGAGCCAGTTCGAAGAATTTTCCCCTGGTAGAGAGAATTTTCATACACGAAAAGTAAAAGGTACAGTAAAGAATGTCTGGTTTAAATAATAAGATTGATAACAGAACTCATCTCGACAGTTAACGAACTTCCCAGAGAGGCTATAAATTACATCATGCCTTGAAATGTTCTCCTAAGCCACGCTTGAAGACAGTTTTATCACTTTTGCAAAATTTTCTCTTGAAAGCAAAACAGTTTTGATATAACTACTACTTTAAATAAAAGTACTACCAAGAAGAGAACTATCCACGGTAATATTACCAAAAGAAAAAAAAAAGAAAGAAATTGTTAAAATGCAATCTATATGTCATTCTCAAGCCTCTAGTAAATACAGACCTTAATGTTAGAGAAGGATATTGACAATGAGAACTCCAATATACTGCCAATGGTAGTGAAAAATAGTCCAATAATTACAGAAAACTTTAGCTTAATTTTCTACAGTTGAAGATACACACTTCCTATGATCCAGCTAATAGAAATGCATGTACATGTGAACCAGGAGAGAGAAACCATATGGTCATAGTGCAGCTGGAAATCAGAGACTGGAGAGACCAAGTGCAGTTCAGGAGGGTATATTTTAGGTGTACACCGGCTCAGCGGACATGCATCCTGAAAGTCTGAGCAGCAAACAAAGAAAACGAACGCGTTGGGCCGGGCGCTGTGGCTCGCGCCTGTAATCCCAGCACTTTGGGAGGCTGAGGTGGGTGGATCACGAAGTCAGGAGATCAAGACCATCCTGGCTAACACGGTGAAACCCCGTCTCTACTAAAAAAAAAACAAAAAAAACAAAAATACAAAAAAATTAGTGGGGTGTGGTGGTGGGCACCTGTAGTCCCAACTACTCGGGAGGCTGAGGCAGGAGAATGGTGTGAACCCAGGAGGCGGAGCTTGCAGTGAGCCGAGATCGCGCCACTGCACTCCAGCCTGGGCGACAGAGCAAGACTCCGTCTCAAAAAAAAAAAGAAAGAAAAGAAAAGAAAGAAAAAGAAAACTAACGCCTTTTATGCACCTTGAGGCGGGAATTACATGATGCAGGAAGCTGGCTTACTAAAGCGAGAACAAAGCAATTAATTATCAGGTGACATTCTTAGGACTCAGCTTATATCTTGGGAAAACATGTCTTGCAACTCATGCTTATCTATCTTGTGACCTTGCAGCTGCACAGCAAGAAAAACAGGAGCTTACAGAACTTAGAAAATATGTGGGGGAGAGATATGGTTAATGCTTCACAGACCTTACAGAGGAGCAGTTAATAATCTTTCTTAACTCTTACTTCTGGTAGGGGGCTACTTCATGCCTATTCTAGCTTAACCTTAAACTGTAGATTTAATTTCTTTTAAGTTTTCCACTTTAATAGTAACATTACCCCTAACAGCCCCAAACTGGAAGTAAACCAAAATGTTTATCTGTTGTAGAATGTTTAAGTAAGTGATGGTTCGAGTCAGGCGCAGTGGCTCAGGACTATAATCCCAACACTGTGGGAGGCCGAGGCAGGCAGTATCGCTTGAGCTCAGGAGTTCAAGACCAGCCTGGGCAACATGGCAAAACCCTGTCTCCACCAAAAAACAAACAACAGACAAAAAAATCCATAAAATTAGCCGGGCATGGTGGCACGAGCCTGTGGTCCTAGCTACTGAGGAGGCTGAGGCGGGAAGATTTCTTGAGCCGGGGCGGCAGAGGCTGCAGTGAGCGGAGATGGTGCACTGCACTCCAACCTGAGTGATAGCGACCCTATCTCAATCTTTTTAAGAAGTAATGGTTCATTCATACAGTGTACCAGTATAGAGCAGTAAAAAATTGTCAGAATACAGATATATGCAACAACATGACTTTCACAAACTTACTGTTGAATAAAGAAACCATCCAAACGTATAATAGTATGATTTCATTTATGCAAAGAACAAAAACAAGCAAAATTTAATACTGTACTATTGTTTAGAGGTGCATGCTGAGTTATTAAATTGTAAAGAAAAACAAGGAAGTGATGATCATAAAGAAGAAAGAGTGTTATGATTAGAGGGAGGGAGGGCCAGAGAGTGATGGCGATGGGGCATGTGAGGAGATTCTAGGATGCAATATTCTATTTCTTGACCTCAGTGGTAGTTACAATGATGTTTTTCCATTATGATCTTTTATTAAGATGTACATTTATGTATTATGCATGTTTCCATACAATTCACAATAAGGAAACTTCTGTGTTTATTCACTGATACTGACTTGTAGTATATTTTATAGACCAACAACTATTGTCCAAGTGGACAATATTTCAGGATTAGGCAAAAATAGTCACTATTGGCCAGGCACAGGTGGTTCAGGACGGTAATCTCAGCATTTTGGGAGGCCAAGGCATGAGGATTAATTCAGCCCAGAAGTTCAAGACCAGCCTGGGCAATATAGGAAGACTCCTCCTCTACAAATAATTTTGAAATTTTCTTGGTGTGGTGGCACATGCCACATAGTGGTCCCAGCTACCTAGGAGGCTGAGGCAGGATTGCCTGAGCTGGGGAGGTCAATGCTGCAGTGAGCCATGATTGTGCCACTGCACTCTAGCCTGGGCAACAGAGCGAGACCCTGAATCGTGTGTGTGTGTGTGTGTGTGTGTGTGTGTGTGTGTGTGTGTGTGTGTATATATAGAGAGAGAGAGAGAGTCACTGTTGATAGATGTGCTTATTGCATTCCCAGAGATGGCTTAAATATAAATGAGTTCCCTTCTATCTTTTCACTGCCATCCAGTAATTGCTCGTGATTTTACAGGTCACAGGCACATGAAAATCTTCAACACCCCCAGCAACTCCAGCACCTTCACTGGCTTCATCCTCCTGGGCTTCCCTTGCCCCAGGGAGGGACAGATCCTCCTCGTTGTGCTCTTCACTGTTGTTTACCTCCTGACCCTCATGGGCAATGGTTCCATCAACTGTGCTGTGCACTGGGTCAGAGACTCCATGCCCCCATGTACATCCTGCTCGCCAACTTCTCCTTCCTGGAGATCTGTTATGTCACCTCTACAGTCCCCAACGTGCTGGCCAACTTCCTCTCTGACACAAGATCATCTCGTTCTCTGGCTGCTTCCTCCAATTCTACTTTTTTTTCTCCTTGGGCTCTACAGAATGCTTTTTCCTGGGAGCTATGGCATTTGACCTATACCTTGCCATCTGCCGGCCTCTACGCTATCCAACCATTATGACCAGACGTCTCTGCAACATTCTTGTGGGCAGCTGCTGGGTACTTGGTTTCTTGTGGTTCCTGATTCCTATCAGTGTCATTTCTCAAATGACCTGTGGATCTAGGATTATTGACCACTTCCCATGTGACCCAGGTCCTCTGTTAGCCCTCACCTGTACCAGAGCCCCTCTACTAGAGTTGACTAGCTCCACCTTAAGTTCTCTACTTCTATTTATTCCCTTTCTCTTCATCGTGGGGTGCTATGCTCTGGTCCTGAGAGCTGTGTTGAGGGTTCCTTCAGCATCTGGAAGAAGAAAGGCTTTCTCTACCTGTGGCTCCCACCTGGCTGTAGTTTCACTGTTTATGGCTCAATGATGATCACGTATGTGAGCCCAACATCTGGGCATGAATTCGGAATGCAGAAGACTGTGACTCTGTTCTATTCTGTGGTCACTCCCCTTATTAATCCTGTCATATACAGTCTGAGGAACAAGGAAATGAAACATGCAATGAGGAACTACACTGTAATGTTTTATTTTCTAGAATTCATAGGGCTACAAGAGATGTCAAAGATGTATTCTATCTCTTTAATTTTCCAAATGATGGGCCTGTAAATTGAAAAAATTTGGTTGAGTTTGTTGGGGAAATATAATTAAAAACAAATCTCTTACCAACCCAGAAAACTTCTCCACAAAGGTATAAGAGAAAGAAAGTAGTTTTATTATTGAATAAGTATTAAACCAGAATGTGATACATGTCACAGACAATCCACTGAGAGACTGCAAGGACAGAAAGACATCTCACCCTTTTGTATAGCAAAGTAAATACAACCCAATACATGCATGTTCTCAAAATAAACAATAACTAGTCCTCAAGTCACACATAGTTCATCCTGGGTTCACCTGGTAATTGGAGTGGCCATTGGTATTTGTTCATTGACTTTATACAAAGGAAAAATAAATTCATATCTTTACGACAGGAAATAGTTTTGCAATTTAATGACTAGACTGCCAAAATTGGCTTCTACCCTTTCACAGAAACTGGGAGATGGGAGCACTAACTTCCTTTTTCGAGGTCCTTGAGAAAGATATTCCTGGGTCATAAAGCTAGCCAGAGGCTTTGTTTAGCTTTTGCAAAAATTTATAGGCCAGATGCAGTTGCTCACACCTCTAATACCAGCACTTTGGGAGCCTGAGGCAAAAGGATCACTTGAGGCCAGGAGTTCAAGACCAGCTTGGACTCAAACCAGCCTGGGCAACATAGTGAGATCCACTTCTACAAAATAATTGTTTTAATTAGCTGGGTGTGGCACACATTTGTAGCCTTAGCTACTCAGAAGGCTGAGGTGGGAAAATTGCTTGAGCCCAAAAGTTCAAGGCTGCAACAAGCTATGACCGCACCATTGCACTCCAGGCTGAGCAGGAGTGAGACCCAATCCCTAAGATAAGGAAAAAAAAATTTACATACATCTTTCCAAAAAAATTATAGGTTTTCTAAAGTAAATGCTCTATGCAAAGGAGAGAAGAAAGTCTCTTCCCTTATTTTCAACAGGGATCATTAAGCCTTTTATTTTTTTTATTTGTATTTGCCCTTACAAGTTACACATGGTCATAACCTTAGGGCAAAACCTAAAGTTTTCTATTTCCCTTTCAGCAACAATAAGTTCACTTTATTTCTTTAATTGAGCTTATATTTCTGTCTTCCAGAATATTCTTCATGGTAATATTATTATAGACAAAAGATTAGTATCTTTGATATGTCAATATATCTTCAGATCAATAAGAAAAATACCATTAGCACAACCATAAAAATTCTAGAAGATAACATCGGAAAATCCCTTCTAGACATTGGCTTAGGCAAAGACTTCATGACCATTAGCACAACAGGAAGAGTGTCAAATATCTGAAAAAAGCCAACAGTAAAAAGCTTTTAAGCAAGTAAAAAGACACTCTGTTTTATCATAAGGCAAGAAAAGCAAATAAAACTATAATAAATATACATGTTTTTCCCCAAAATTAACAAAGATCAAAAATGAAGTTGGAAAAAATGGCAGTTTTTGCCAGTAGAGCATACATTGGTACAACATCTATGGAGGACATCTTGCAATAATTATCAAAATTTAAAAGTCATTTCCTGTGATTCAACAACTCCAAAATCCTAGACGCTTATCTTACTGGTATACTCACACAAGAAAAATGACACATGTACAAGAATATTGACTACTGCTTCTAATAGCAAAAGATTGGATCTATCTAAATTCCCACTAAGAACTGATCAGGTAAATTAGTGTATAATCATAGGGTGGAATACTATGTAACTTTTTAAAATGAGGATCTGTATGTATCTTTTAATATGAATGTATCCTTATGCTATATTGTTAAAAAGCAAGGTGGAGGAATGCTCTATCTGCCTCTCTTTCATATGAAGAAGAAAGATTGTACAGATATGTACATATTTATGTTCATAAATACACAATATGTTTCTTGAAGAAGAAACTAGTAACAGTGATTGCTGTTAGTAAGGAGAATTGGGTTTCTGGGGGCAGAGAGAGGAATATTCCCCTTGACATGCCTTTGTATTTTTAAAATGTTGTTCTATGTGCATGTATTGCGTTTAAACAACATCTAACGTTAACATTAAAAAATAAATGTTAAAACTATCTCACCATAAAATTAGAAACAGGGAAACATTTCTTCATAACTATTTGATCCTTTAGGAAACTAGGAAGAGAGCTGATTATTGATGGAAAATGAAAAAAGAAGGCAATTGACACACTCTTAGTGACATCTCACTCAAATGCTTTGGCTTTGTTAGGAAGAAATAGGAAAGGTCCTCCTTCCTTGAGGACCTGTGAGAATAAATAAACCATGAAAAACTGAAGTTGGTCATTTTTTATCATTGTGTATCATCTTCATGGCCACTTTTTTATTTTAAAAATTAGACTCATTCAGTATTCTAGGCCCTGAGCTAGAGGGTGAATCATACACATAAGTGAACAAAACACAGTTCCTTCCCTTGTGGGGCCCATAAGCCAGTGGGAGGCCGGTAGCAGATGCCCCAAGATATGCTACCAACCAGGGCCATTATAAATTGCTATGGGAGCAAGTAGAAGAACAGCACAGATAAAAGCCAGGAGTATTAAGGGATGAGGGAACAGGTCAAGTTCTGAAAACTGCATATAGACATCCTCAGATTACTGTCTATTTAGAAGCATATCACAATATACAGAATGAAAGTGTTCTATGGATACGTGGAATAAGTATCCATACAGCATTTACTATCCATCATAATTTATAATTAGCCACACCTATTGACTTATTAATGGGCATCCTTAATCAAATAAGTATGGCTCAAAGATGTAATATAATTTACAATTCAACGAACAATTAAATAGAGACATATAGATAGATGAAAAGAAAAAGAGGGCAATAAATATGTCATTTGGGTATTGAAATATGAAAATCAGTATTCAAAACACATTAAAGTTCAAATATTATACTGATATTTAAAATATTACACTCAGAACTCGTTTTCCTTTGAGACAATCACATTATCTGGAGTGTACCTTGTGTATCTGACCTTCTTTTATGAATTCAGTATTTAGCTTTCTTTTTAACTCCAAGGGACACAGTGACATTTATTTCTATTCAAGAAAGACTTATTTAATGCAATGGATCTTTTTGTTCACAATAAGAAAAAATAGCTTACTCTTTTATCAATACATAAATAATACTCACTGTAATAATTATCAAACAGTATAATATAAAAAATATTTAGAAATCATCTAAAATCCCACCACTCTGAGTAATCACCATTGATTTTAGTGAACCTCTTCCATGTATGCTTTCATACACACATGCACACACACATACTCACAAGTGCAATTGGAAGTGCTGTAGATGCTGATTTTTTAGACTCCTCTGTTTTTTCCTTACTACTTCCCCCCACCACCACCACTTCTTCCCCAATCTGCTTTTCACTCTACCACCTTCCATCTATGCTAGATAAGCAGCATTAACAACCCAGTATATTCTTTCATACTATTCTCCATGCTTCTAATTCTATATAAATATTTATTATCATATATCAGGTTTTTTCATTATCTTACAAAAATCAAATTATACCACATAGTCTTCTCTATATCTTGCTTTTGCATTTAACCTTACAATATGCAAATCCCTCCAAAATAAGATTAGGTATACCAAGTATTTTTACTTCATATAGTAGGCCAGAAATAAATAATTAAGAAAACCAGGGTCCTTTGACAGGGCAGGAAGAACTGTTCCTGAGCTTTGGCTAATACTCATTCCATAAAAAAAAAACTGAAGATAGGTTTTAAGTTCATATTGAGTAAGGTGTAATTGACAAAGTTTAAAACTAGAGTCTTTATGGAGGATATCATTATGATATTGTGATTTGTCATCTTCATTTATACTAAATGGTCAGATATGAGATTCACACACATCATCATATGGTTTCACAGAACAGAGACACCACTATTAAGTGAGACCCACGGATAGAAAAGGCATTTTGATGGCTAGCTGCTGAAAGCAGCTGAAGCATAGCTCTTAGGATCAACGTATATGGTCCAGGGATGTACAAAATACTGAGAATGATAATAAGAAAATTTACATAGTGCATGTTCTGAGATGTGGCATCGGTGTAGGGAAAGGCTGTCAGCGGGCCCATGTGTTGTATAATGGATGTTATAATGTGCTGCCCAGAGCTTTCCTTCAGGCCTGAGGCATGCATTCCCCCAGCTGCCAGAAGTATAGTACGCTGATGACTAGATCATAGCTAAATCCCTTGCCAGAAGTTGCCCTAAGCCAAAGGGACTTGTCATTGATTTTCCCTCCTTCCAGGGGCAGCTCAAATCCAACAGTTGGTCAACGCTGGTGTACAAAGGCCTGACACTTGGTGACAAGTATAAATGGCCATCCCAGTTCCAGAGCTCCACATGGCATCAGCTGAGACTTTTGCTGCAACTTCATCACAATTCAACTTCTGCCCGATCCTACTTTCATCACTCCCTTATAGGTATTGTTCTCAAGAGAACTCCACAAGAAACCTTATGCATACAAATGATAGGATCTGTTTCCAGGGAACCCAACCTACAACATCGTGTCACTTAGAAAGAAAGTTTCAAAAGAAAAAAAAAGACACTTCATGGTGTGTCTCTCTTGGCTGGTCAATTTCCTTAAACATTCGATCTCTATTTTCATCAGTCATGAGGATAAGGTAGTGCAGTGGGTGGCAGATGGCCAAGTGCTGACCACTGTCCATGACAGAGTGAATTGTGATGAAGCCATGCTAGCAATATTTCAAAATGAAGATTGTTATCAATCACATTGTACAGTTTCTCCTGCCACATATTCCTGAGTAGAAGTATCCCTAAAAAGTTGTCAGATTGTTCCTATTTTGTTACTATTTAAATTGATTCATTTCACAAGTGTAAATGAACTGCTAGAATAAAGTGAGTAGGCTGTAAAATATAATACAAATAACAATTGATAATCCAGTCTACTAATTTAAATATAGATAGATGATTAGATAGATAGTTGAGATAGAGATCTGATATATACAAGCATATATACTTGAGAAAATACAAAAAATATTTCTCAAGAGATGTCACAAACTATAAATATACCACTGGAGAAGCTCTCACATTTTACTTCAGTGATAGAGTCTCATGAAATAGGTTTTGGGTTATGAAAGGACCTTTATATTTACAATATACATCTATTTCTATCTCAAGGTAAATGCCCTGTAGAGATCCAAAATTCTTATTTGTTAAATAATTTTATAAATTATCTTATCTGTGGCATCTTTTTAAATTTTTATTTTAAGTTCAGGGGTACATGCAGATTTATTACATATGTAAACTTGTGTCATGGGGGTTTGTTGTACATCACGCAGGTATTAAGCCTAGTACCCATTCATTATTTTTCCTGATCCTCTCCCTCCTCACACCCTCTACCCTTCAACAGGCCCCAGTGTATGTTGTTCCCTCTCCCATGCATGTGTCCATGTGTTCTCATTATTTAGCTCCCACTTATAAGTGAGACCATGCAGTATTTTGTTTTCTGTTCCTGTGTTAGTTTGCTAAAGATAATGGCCTCTAGCTCCATCCATGTCCCTGTAGAAGACACGATCTTGCTCTTTTTATGGCTGCATAGTATTCCATGGTGTATGTGCGACACATTTTCTTTATCAAATCTATCATTAATGGGCATTTAGATTGATTCTATGTCTTTGCTATTGTGAATAGTGCCATAATCAACATACTCATTGTTATGTCTTCATAATAGAATGATTTATATTCCTTTGGGCATATACGCAGTAATGAAATGACTGTGTTGAGTGGTATTTGTGTTTTTAGGTCTTTGTGGAATCACCACACTATCTTGCACAATGGTTGAACTAATTTTCACTCCTACCAGCAGTGTATAAGCATTGTTTTTCTCATGGCATCTTTTTAATATTTTTTTCTGGAATATTAGTGTTAATTTTCCCATGATAAATAAATGCCTTGTATATGAGGATAATCTTTTACAGATATTTGAATGTCTCTACTTTTCCAATTCTCATATTCATTCTCAACCCAGAAAACTGGTATATACATAGTAAATGTTAACTAGCTGCTGACCGATTTCTGGAAGTTGTATGCTTAGCCAGGCATAACCACAAAATATCTTCAGCAGAAAGCAGAATTCTGTCTACCTAGTTACAGGTCACTACAACTAAAATCATTCCATACAGTTTTGCCCACATTTTGCATTTTTCCTTCTTGACATCTTCACTAGGACCCAGTTAAATCATAAGGAAAATTGAATTTTTCTTTGCAAATGTTTAGAGAATGTTCTTTCAAATGTGACCTGGAGAACAAAAAAAAAGCATACTTGATAAGTACAGGTAATCTAATAATTTTTTGTAATTTTTTATTTTGAAATAATTTCAGATTTACAGAAAAGTTGCAAGAACTTCCATATTCCCTTTATCCAGATCCCAAACTGTTAACATTTTACCACAATTGTTTTATTTTTTCCTTTCAGCCCTTCTGTTGCTCTGTCTTTCTCTACATATATACCTTTTGAGAGCACATTACAGATACCTTGCTCTTCACCCTTAAGTGCTTCTGGTGTGTCTTTTCTAGATGCAAGACTTGAAAGATAGTGCAGTGCTATGTTGCCTTACTAATCAGGATATGGATTTTGAGATTTTTTTCAGTGGCCTTGGGAAACATTGAAGGTGCTTAAACGAAGTGAGATGTTTAAGATGAAAATTTCTAGGCTGGGTGTGGTGGCTCACACTTGTAATCCTAGCACCTTAGGAGGCTGAGGTGGGTGGATCACTTGAGGCCAGGAATTTGAGACAAGCCTGACCAACATGGTGAAACCCTGTCTCCACTAAAAATACAAAAATCAGCCAGGCATGGTGGCAGATGCCTGTGGTCTCAGCTACTCAGGAGACTGAGGCAGGAGGATCACTTGAACCTAGGAGTTGGAGGTTGCAGTGAGCCAAGATCGCACCACTGCACTCCAGCCTGGGTGACAGAGCAAGACTCTGTCTCAAAAAAAAAAAAAAGAAAAAAAAAGAGAAAGAAAAAAAAAGAAATCCTTCAAGGAGTAGAAAAGGACAGATAATGAGTTGTACTAAAAGACTTGCTCTTTTGTTGGGGATGAAGAAACCTTGAAGTCCAAACCCCAATTACAGCTTCTCTGCACACTGCTGCAGAATGGCCCTGCTATGGCTCCCTGACCAAGAGCACCTTGAGGCCTGGTGAATGTCCTATGAGAGGCAGTGCTCTTCAGTGAAACTGTTGTGACCCAGAAGCTCTAATTGAAAGAAGAGAGAGAAAGATCACTAAGGAGGCCATGGTTGTCCTGGGGAGAGAGTGATACCCGTTGAAATTCCACAGCCCCCTTGCCTAAGATCCATTACTCCCCCAGCCAGTCTACCCTTTCTCGTGGGAATGGGTGATCTGTCCTTAGAACCCACAATTGACATCAACTTATCAGAAGGCAAAATTAAACTCCTGCAATACAGATGTCTTACCCTGGGTGTCCAGACAAGAATGGGGGTGAGTAAGGGAATACCCAGTAGAGAGCTGTCTCCTAGCACTGTTCTTCTGCAGGCAGTAAATGAATCCTCAAGGAGCAAAGGACAGGCTCAACTTACAGTACCTGAATTCTACGACGAATACATTTGCTCATCTCCATCCCAACATATTTTCACACCTACTCTCCCAGCTGGTATTACAAAGACACCTGCCTCTGTCCTCGGGAAAGCCTACAAAAAGCTGACTAAGAAGCCCCCATGGAAATTCCCTTTCCTGCTTTCAGGAAAGAAGGTAATGTAGTGCTTAGATGAGAAGACATATTAAAATATAGCTGGAAAATCTACACCTCTGGGAAAAAAAAAAGAGTCTTCTGTTAACTCTGTGACAGTTTTAGATAAACAAATGGAAAAAACATTCCATGATCATGGAGTGGAAGAATCAATATCCTTCCACTAAAATGGCCATGCTGCCCAAAGCAATATACAGATTCAACGCTATTCCTAATAAATTACCAATGTCATTTTTCATAGCATTAAAAAAACTATTCCAAATTTATATAGACCCCAAAGAGCTCAAATAACCAGGGCAATCCTAAGCAAACAGAACAAAGCTGGTGGCATCATACTGATGGATTTCAAACTATACTATAAAACTACACTAACCGAAACATCATGATACTGATACGAGAACAGACATATAGGCCAACTGAACAGAATAGATAACTGAGAAATAAAGCCGCATACCTATAGACATCTGATCTTCAGTAAAGTCAACAAAAATAAGCAATGGGGAAAGGATTTCCTATTCAGTGGGGAAACCACTCCCTATTCAATTCAATACTGCAATAGTAAGCTAGCCATGTGCAAAAAATTGAAACTGGACCCTATCTTTCACCATATACAAAAGTTAGCTCAAAGAGTAGAACAAAGATTTAAATGTAAGACCTCAAACTATAAGAATCCTAGAAGAACCCCTCCAAAACAGTATTCTGTTCATGGACCTTAGGAAAGAATTTATGACTAAGTCCTCAAAAGCAACTGCAACAAAAACAAAAGTTGACAAGTGGGACCTAATTAAACTAAAGAGCTTCTACATCGCAAAAGTAACTATCAGCAGAGTAAACAGACAACCTACAGAATGGGAGAAAATATTCATAAACTATGCATCCAACAAAGGTATCATATCCAAATCTATAAGGAACTTAATTCAACAAGCAAAAAACAAACACCACCATTAAAAAGAGATCAGAAGACATGAACAAACTCTTCTCAAAAGAAGATAGGCTGGGCATGGTGGCTCACACCTGTAATCCCAGCAATTTGGGAGGCCAAGGTGGGTGCATCATCTGAGGTCAGGAGTTCGAGACCAGCCTGGCCAACATGGTGAAACCCCACCTCTACTAAAATTACAAAAATTATCTGGGCGTGGCATTGCACGCCTGTAATCCCAGCTACCTGGGAGGCTGGGGCAGGAGAATTGCTTGAACCTGGGAGGCAGAGGTTGCAGTGAGCTGAGATCGTGCCACTGTACTCCTGCCTGAGCAACAGAATGAGACTCCATCCCAAAAAAAAGAAGATATACAAGTGGCCAACAAACATAGTTTTAAAAATGCTCTCAACATCACTAATGATCAGAGAAATACAAATTAAAACCACAATGAGATATCCTCTCACACCAGTCAGAATGGCTGTGGGTAAGAAGTCAAAAAACAGTATGTATGGGTGAGACTACAGAGAAAAAGGGAATGCTTATACACTACTGGTGGAAATGTAAATTAGGTCAGCCCCTGTGGATAGCAGTTTGGAGATTTCTCAAAAAACTTAGAACTACCATTCTACCCAACAGTCCCATTATTGGATATATAACCAAAGGAAAATAAATCATTCTACCAAAACATACATGCACTCATATGTTCATCACAGAACTAGTCACAATAGCAAAGACATGGAATCAACCTAGGCGTCCATTAGCACTGGGTTGTACAAAGAAAATGTGATACATATACACCATGGAATAATATGCAACCATGAAAAACAATGAAATCATGTCCTGTTCAGCAACATGGGTGCAGCTGAAAATCATTATCCTAAGCAGATTAACACAGGAACAGAAAACCAAATATCACATGTTCTCACCTACAAGTGAGAGCTAAACAGAGGGTGCACATGGACATAAAGATGGCAACAATAGACACTGGAAACTACCAGATGAGGAGGGAAGGGATGAAGGGCTAAAAAGCTACCTACTAAGTACTATGCTTAGTAGGTACTACTAGGTACCTACTACCTGGGTGACAGGATCAATTACATCCCAAACCTCAGCATCACACAATATAACCATGTAACAAACCTGCACGTGTACTTCCTGAATCTAAAATAAAAGTTAAAATTTTAAAACATAATAATATGTTAGAGCTGAATCATAGGGGGTTTTATTTGCCAATTTTAGATCTAATGCTGTCAACAGAGAAAAAAAATCAAAGCTGCTGAAAGGAGGAAGTAAAATTAACTAAGTCTTTGAGATAAAACTTCTTCCATATTTGGAGATAGAAGGACAGCAAATGAGTTGTGCTGAAAGACCTGCACCTGCATCAGGGATGAGAAAGGCTTAGAGCCCAACTTCAGATGCAACTGCTGGGGAAGAGCTAGTGCCCTGCTCTGGCCTCTCCTGGGCCTGGCAAGTGTGCCCTGAGAAGCAACTGCTTGGGAGTCACAGACCTCAACCCCAAGCAAGAAAGGAAAAGGTCTATAAGAAAATCATGGTGGTCCTGAGAGGAGATGGATTCCTGCTGTCATTACACTGCCCTCTATGCCTGAGATCTCATCACAAATCCAGCCATCTCTTTTTTCTCAAAAAAATCAGAGGTAACTCTGTCCCCAAAACCCATAACTGACACCACTCACTAGAGGCCCAGTGAACAGCTTTCTGCATCACAGCCATAACACCCTGTGTTACTTTGGTAGACTTTCCCTTGGATACCTGGTAGGTGCTCTGAGTGAGCTTGAAGACTGATTATATCTCATACCATCCCTGACAATTTGGAGGCTGGAAAAGATATTTTCTTCTCTACTGGAAAACAAAGGCAGGAGGCACCAAGGATCTCCAGAGAACGGAGGCCCCAGAGGAAGGAAAGAACCAGCACAGAACAGTCTCCTGACACTGTTCCTCTAGCTGGTAAATTGATCCTCACTGAGCACAGGACCAGAGCTCACTCCCTGAGGGCTCTGTTCATAATGCCTCCATCCTCCAGCAAACACCAAGAGACCTTCTCCCTATTTCTGCTCCTTCATTCTTTGATGGCTAACATAGAAAAGGCTACCTCTCCTCTCCAGGACAATCAGACAGTCTCAGAGAAACTTCAGGTTTGTGATCCCCTTTTGTCCATGAAAGGAGATGATGCAATGGACAAAGTTTCCAGGATTGGTAAAGCCTAGGTTGTAATTCAAGTCCTAGGCTCCTTACTCAAATCCACTGTTTTTCTACTATGCCTGAGTTGCCTACCCCTTCTCATAAAGGGAAAAGCTGTTCTTATTTTCAAGGACTTTGCAGAAAGTAAATAGGTGTAATGATATGTAGTCAAAATCAAGTGAAGCAGATGGATGTGTGCTGCTGAGATCAGAACAATAATGCTTCCGATCCACACTGCCTTTTTGAGCTAGCCTTGGGGAAAAAGTAAAACATCAGAGAAATGCTTTTGTCTCATATTATGTATTATAGCACAGGAGCTGGCTAACTTAATGTGGGTCTAATCCAACATTTCTGAGATATAATGAGGGTGAAGCTGTTGTTTTCTTGTTTGGAAAGTTAATTGACCCAATCCAAGCATCCTGTACAGCATCCACAGCTTTAACACCACTGAACCTGTATTCACACTTGCTTCTGTAACCAACTCGGGGGAATCTGCCTGCCACTTTGGACAGCTCCAGTTTAGCCCTGTGCCAGGTAAACACTGCTGCTGCTCTCTGTACAGAGGAGCTAGGTAATAAAAGGTGAGTAACATTACACTCTTGTTAGAAATATCTTTTTTCTGTCACACGCTCTTGATCTACTTAAGTCAAGCGTCAAATGGTGACAGCACACAGAGAATCATTTTCACACCCTTCTTGTTTTCTAGGGCAGCTTTGTTAGACTCTCAAAGTCGAAAAATTGCCCTGAGGGGGAACTTGCCTGGAAATTTTGCCTTCGTGTATAAATGTCAAACTACCCAACTGGCATTTTTTTTTTTTTTTTTTTGAGACAGAGTTTCACTCTGTCACCCAAGCTGGAGTGCAGTGGCACGATCACGGCTCACCACAACCTCTGCCTCCCGGGTTCAGTTGATTCTCCTGCTTCAGCCTCCCAAGTAGCTGAGATTACTGGCACATATGACCATACCCGGCTAATTTTTGTAGTATTAGTAAAAACGAGGTTTCAACATGTTGGCCAGGTTGGTCTCAAACTCCCGACCTCAGGTGATCTCCTGCCTCGGCCTCCCAAATAGCTGGGATTACAGGTGTGAACCACCAAGCCCAGCCCCCAAATGGCATTTTCATCTGAGAGACAAATGCAACAAACATCACCTCTAGATCCATAAAGTCTTCATATCATGTATACATGTGGGATACTTGGAATAATAGTATTTCATAATGAAAAGGAATCAAAAATCATATAATCCAACTCCCATTTCATATAAAGAAAATGAAGCTTATACAGGTTAAAAGACTACTAGAACCCCTCCACAACTTTGTTGCAATACTGAAGCTAGAATTTCCCTCTAGCTCTGTCCTAATTCTATATCCAAAGCTGTGGAACAATAATTATCTTTAGCAGTCAGGAAGAAACTCTCTGGGATGGGACATGTTCTATCACCCAGAACATTCGATTTCCCATGGCTTCCTTTGAATGGAATTCCTCTCAAGTCTAGGACAACACTCTAGTAGCCTAGGGTAATTTGAAGTCTCTCTTATATATTTCATTTCCTCAAATTTCATCTCTCCTTCATTTTGAAGTTCAATGAAGTAATTGGTAAATATCTATCGATGTATTGTCTATCTATATCCTCTATAACAGTGTAGACAATCATTTTTTAACAAATATTTGAGAAATACCTATTATCTTCCTCAGACTATGTGGGGCACTGGCGATAAAGAGTGAACTTGAAGTACAAGAGCAAAAATCCTGAGTCCTGAAAGTACCCGGCTGTTTGTAAAAACTGAAAGAAGGCCAGTGTTATATTGCTGAAGTTTTGAGGAGGAAGGGTGTACATGTTATGTGTGTGCATGCATGTGTATAGAGAGGAGACAGTCAGAGAGGCAAATTCCAATGGCTTTGGAAACATAATTTAGCTGAAAGTTGGCCCAGAGGTCTGAGTTAGTTCAGCAGAACAGACTGATTCCAGCTTTCACCTCTAGAAGTCCCCTCTGTTTGTTTTTTGTTTTGTTTTGTTTGTTGTTTTGGTTTTTGTTTTGGGGGTTGTATTGAGGCAGAGTCTCACTTTGTTGCCAAGGCTGGAGTGCAGTGGTGCAATCTCAGCTCACTGCAACCTCTGCCTCCTGGGTTCAGGCAAATTCTTGTGCCTCAGCCTCTCGAGTAACTGGGATTACAGGTGGTGCGTGCCTCCAAGCCTGGCTAATTTGTGTGTTTTTAGTAGAGACGAAGTTTTGCCATGTTGGCCAGGCTGGTCTCGAACTCCTGAGCTCAAGTGATCCTCCTGCCTCGGCCTCCTAAAACACAGGGGTTACAAGTTCCTCTCTGTTTCTAACAAAGGTATTTGCCTCACCAAGGAGCTTCTGTTGTTCCACAGTCAAATGGATGTTCCTTGTTCTGTTTTCCCTATAAATGTGTACAGTAGGGGTTAGCAAACTATATCCAATGTGCCAAACCTGGCCTGCTGCCTATTTTTGTAGGGCCAGCAAGTTAACAATAGATTTTACATTTTTAATATGTTTAAAAATTGATAGAAAATGAGATTTTGTGACACATGAAAATTATATGAAATTCACATTTCAGTAGACATAATAGTTTTATAGCAACATAGGCACATACATTCACTTACATATTATGTATGGTTGCATTTGCAGTACACAGCAGAGCTGAGTAGTTTTGACAGAGACTATAGAGCCCATGAGACTAAACTATTTAAGAAAATGTTTGCTGACCCTGGTGTGAGTATCACAGAGATGGAATCCCTCGGTATGGAATTGTTGGCTAGTGTGTGTGTAGTCCAAACGTGCACACCCCTCAGTGGGAGCAGGAGAGCCCAGGGAATGATGTACACTCTGTTACCCTCTGCTTGCGAGTGTTTTCTCCAGTGAATCCTTATTTTATATTTGCAGCGCTTGTGTTAGTGGAGCATCTTTGTGCCTACTTTGTACAACAGAGTGTGTGTTTGTGTGTATGTGTGTGAGAGAGAGAAAGTTTGAATAATAGAATCATGAGATGATGTTGGAAATATTATGAAGGGTCAAACCAAAGATTACATTTTCAAAGTTTTATTTTATTCAAAGAGCATTGGGAAGCTAATTGAAATCTATGTGCAAGGAAAGGAACTGGTCTGATTTTCTTTCTTTAAGGAGTTACTCTGGCTGTGGCATGGAAAACAAGTTACAGACAGGCAAGAGTGGAAACAGGAAGCCAGTTAGAACAGCAGCATCACATGGTCCAGGGGAGAAAAGAGAATAGCTTGAACTAGGATGTTGGCAGTGGAGATGGGGAGAAGTGAGCAGACATGAGACTTATTTTTGAGACAAAACTAAAAGGAATTATTTGTGAATGAGATGTGAGGGTAGAGGAAAAGAAGGAGATACTACATTGAAATAAGTTCCATCAGAAAAAAATTGATTAAACATTTAATCCAAGAAGTCAAATTATTCGACTGTTGAGCAGATGCTTACCCCTAAAATAAAATTTTAGGAACACTAGCAAAAAAATCCTGGTCAAAAATGCCTAAGCATTATTAGTAAGAGTTGTTCTTAATTGATCATAATAAAGTTATATTCCTCTGAATTAGTACTAGTCATATACACTTAATCTTTTTTAGAAAACATGAAGGACCTTCACACATCATAGCAGAATTCTTTTTTGTGTGTTTTTATTCATTAGTAATTCATTAGTTTTATTCATTAGCCATGAATGGCTCGTGTGAAGCTAAGGTAACTTTTAAAACACCCTACAAAGGCAAAGGTGTGACATAGAAATGACTAAATGCTTAATGTCCTTAATCATGAGTGAAACTGGTGCAGAGTGACTTTATTTTAGAAAATAATTAGACCCGTCCACTGTCTGCTTTGAGTTCCCTTTATAAAAGATAAATATGCAGTCTCAGAAGTTTTCTGGGCCCCTAAACAAATGACTTTAAAAGTGGAGAAGCAGAAAAGAAAAAACTTATAGAAAATAGAAGTTTATGGTACAGTTACCAGAACCTATTCCACCCTATTCCCACCAAAAGCCAAGTACATTTAATCCTTATTTTGCTTATATATGTTAAAATAGAGTCTGACAGAAACTGTGGAGACTCTTTTGTCTCCAGGCATCCTCCATGTCACGGGAATTAGGGAATCCTGAGTTACAAATGACCTATAGGGTGTTTTAAAAAATTATGTGGCTGGGCGCAGTGGCTCATGCCTGTAATCCCAGCACTTTGGGAGGTCGAAGGGAGCAGATCACTGGAGGTCAGGAGTTCAAGACCAGCCTGGCCAACATGACATGAAACTTATCTATACTAAACATACAAAAATTAGCCGGGCTGGTGGCTTGTGCCTGTAATCCCAGCTACTCATAAGGCTGAGGCACGAGAATTGCTTGAACCCAGGAGGCGGACATTGCAGTGAGCTGCAATTGTGCCACTGCACTCCAGCCTGGGTGACAGAGCAAGGCTCCATCTCAATAAATAAATAAATCATTATGGATTGTGTTAAAATTTCTCCCTCAGTTCACCCCATCACCAACAAAACTGAATTCTTCCAACATAAACCTCTAAGTACTCACATCTGTACTTGAAAAGGATGTCAACTTGCTGCCGGCATCTTTTGTTTTTGGTCTTATAAGTTATACAGAATTTAAATATTCTGCTAAGAAATTAGTAGACTCTGCAGGGGAGGAAAAAATTTTTTTTCTCCTATCTAGGTTCTTCGGCTGGGGCCTTATAAGTAAGACTGACAAAACACAAATCAACAAGAGAAAAACAAACATAAGTTTATGAGCATACGCATCATAAATACACATGGGAGCACTGGGAGATGAGTAACTCAAAGGTGTGGTTAGAAGTTAGGCTTACATAGCATCTCAGCTAAAGAATAATAATTTTTTTAGAGAAGTGACAAGACAAAGAAAAAGGACTTTGCATTTCTAGGGTGGGAAACTGTGGGAAAATAAATATTATGGACAAACTAATGGAAGATACAGACTAAAGTTGGTAAAAATTGTTATATAGATTCCTCTGGTGCCATCTCCAGGCGGAAAGGGTTTACAGTTGTCTCTGGTAATTTTACCTCGTCCTCCCTGGTAGAGAGGAGAGGAAGGCTACCCTTGCAAAGTTATCCTGTTTCTATGCAAATAATAGGGGGAAGACAGAGAGCTTTTCTTGTATCTGCTTTTTCTCAATTGCCTTCAGCTGGAAATAATCTTATGCCAAAGTGGCATGTTTAGGGGCAGCAGATTCTGCTACCTTAAAACTTCCTGGGTCCCTGTGCCAACTTCAAAAAGCAAAATGTGGATCTAAACATAGAAGGAGGGACACAAACTTTCTTTAGTTTGCTCACTTATGCGCTTATTTAGAAAGGGCTCTAACTAATTCCAAGGCTTGATTACATGATTGTTTCACAAAGATATTCTAATTCATTTAAAACAAATGAAAGGCATCATGCAGATATTCAGCCTTCAAAAGCCACTCTGCCTTGAGATGTTCCTAAGTGGTTACTGGGAGATGGACCACAGCTTTAGTCTAATATCGCCTACAAACCCACTGTTATTTAGAATTGCATGTTATCAATTGTATCCATAATTTGTATTATTGGAATAGAATTATATCTTTAACTATAGTCTAGGCAAATTTATATATTCTTCACGGCAAGCACAGACGTGTTTCAGCATGGCCAGTTAATTCTTTCAGCCTGGTCTACTGAGGATGGCTAGGACTGCTGTCCTAACACAAAAGAAACTGACAACAGCTAATTTCCTCTAATTGATTTGACTGTGTTACTCATGAAACAAGTGAATGATATTATTAAGTTAATAAGTTAACCATTTAATTTAGAATAAGGCCAGTGTCAAAAGTGACATAAAAGAAGTAATTCAAACAGTTTTATGGTCTCATATTACATGGCTACACAGTTTCACTCAGTCTCTGCCACAAAAAGCTGCAATGATTTCACCGTCTGAAAATGAAATTCATTTGTGTAAGAATATATCCATAAATACATATTCTGTTATATATTTATACAAAGGCTCTTGAAGGAAAGTGTTGTAAACATGCCTGAAAATTATAATGGCTTTACACCTAGTAAAATGTAAATGACAGCTTATCAATTTTGGTCAAAAGTTTTCTTGAGCCTATGGTAAAAATGTGAACGCGAGCAAAGAATCAATCCAGATCAATACGTCAGTTTAAAAGAAAAAAAGTGACTATTGACATATCTGCATTCTGTTTTTTACTTTTTACTTTTATTTCAATAGTAAATTTATGCATTTTCTTTCCCAAAATGATTTAAATATAAATCTGATTCCCCATCTATGTTTGCACCGTCATTCAGTAATTGCTGGTGCTTTTACAATTCACAGGCACATGAAAATCTTCAACAGCCCCAGCAACTCCAGCACCTTCACTGGCTTCATCCTCCTGGGCTTCCCTTGCCCCAGGGAGGGGCAGATCCTCCTCTTTGTGCTCTTCACTGTTGTTTACCTCCTGACCCTCATGGGCAATGGTTCCATCATCTGTGCTGTGCACTGGGATCAGAGACTCCACGCCCCCATGTACATCCTGCTCGCCAACTTCTCCTTCTTGGAGATATGTTATGTCACCTCCACAGTCCCCAGCATGCTGGCCAACTTCCTCTCTGACACCAAGATCATCTCGTTCTCTGGCTGCTTCCTCCAGTTCTACTTTTTCTTCTCCTTGGGCTCTACAGAATGCTTTTTCCTGGCAGTTATGGCATTTGATCGATACCTTGCCATCTGTCGGCCTCTACGCTATCCAACCATTATGACCAGACGTCTCTGTACCAATCTTGTGGTCAATTGCTGGGTACTTGGTTTCATCTGGTTCTTGATTCCTATCGTCAACATCTCCCAAATGTCCTTCTGTGGATCTAGGATTATTGACCACTTCCTATGTGACCCAGCTCCTCTTCTAACTCTCACTTGCAAAAAAGGCCCTGTGATAGAGCTTGTCTTTTCTGTCTTAAGTCCTCTGCCTGTCTTTATGCTCTTTCTCTTCATTGTGGGGTCCTATGCTCTGGTCGTGAGAGCTGTGTTGAGGGTCCCTTCAGCAGCTGGGAGAAGAAAGGCTTTCTCCACCTGTGGGTCTCACCTGGCTGTGGTTTCACTGTTCTACGGCTCAGTACTGGTCATGTATGGGAGCCCACCATCTAAGAATGAAGCTGGAAAGCAGAAGACTGTGACTCTGTTTTATTCTGTTGTTACCCCACTGCTTAACCCTGTGATATATAGTCTTAGGAACAAAGATATGAGAAAAGCTCTGAAGAAATTTTGGGGAACATAAAATGTTAATCAAAAAGGTCCTTGCGTAATTAATCTTGTCTTTAATTTTGGGGTTTAAAAAAAAAACTGGTCTTGGCCAGGCGCGGTGGCTTACGCCTGTAATCCCAGCACTTTGGGAGCCCGAGGCGGGTGGATCACGAGGTCAGGAGATCAAGACCACCCTGGCTAACACGGTGAAACCCTGTCTCTACTAAAAAATACAAAAAATTAGCCGGGCGTGGTGGCGGACGCCTGTAGTCCCAGCTACTCGGGAGGCTGAGGCAGGAGAATGGCGTGAACCCGGGAGGCGGAGCTTGCAGTGAGCCGAGATCGCGCCACTGCACTCAAGCCTGGGCGACAGAGCGAGACTCTGTCTCAGGAAAAAAAAAAAAAAAAAACTGGTCTTATACAGTTAATTGTTCATCTTACTATTGGCCAAAGCTAAAATACCTGTGAGCATGTTTCTGTTATTTCTCCTTTCAGATCTTGATTATTTGCCCAGTTGTGTAACATGCCTCAATGTTTTTTAATTGACTGGTGGGCATTGTATTTTAAAAACTATAAAGACAATATATGCAGTAATGAAGGTTTTGTTCTAGCAAGTAGATGGAGTAGAGGCAGATCACATTGATTCTATTTAAGCACTACTTGTATGTGTTTTTAAAATGATCTGTGCTCGTTTTAGTTTTACTCTTAGGGTGTGGCTCTTACTGCAGGAACATAGCCTTTCTGAGACCTCAGGGACAAATCTGGACTGTTTAGAAGGTCCCTCCGCTTCAGCTGATCCTAGCCTCCTATTTCAGTACTTCTTGAACCCCATGACTCCTGAAACTTCCGCTTTGCTCTTTAGACTCTCAGCTTTTGTTTCTGCTAGCTATTTTGGGGTCTCACCGTGTACACACAGCTTAGAAATCCAAAAATGCCTTGAAGGGGAATTGCATCATATTTTTAGCCTAGCTTCTGTGGTCCTTCCCTCTCCAGGATTTCTCAAACGCCAGGTGCTTTGGCAACTTTCAAATTCTCTACCTTCTCAGTTCAGTAAAACTACTGCTTTCTGCTCAGTCCTTATTCCTCCTTTCCTCATACTCTCCCAACCCAGTAAATGGTCAAATATCCTCAGGGAAATACACATGGGGAATGTGAAACTCACCTCCCTTTTCTTCCCTTCATCTTGGACTGTAGCCCATGAAGGCTTGCCTATGTCAGTTGCTCTGAGTGCCTTCAAATGGTTGTTTTATGTATTTTGTCCAGATTTTACTGTTGATAGAAATTATTTTGGGTTTAGTACAAGTTTTTCAGTCATGACCAGAAAGTTTTTTCTATTCTATCTAGATTCCATACATTCTCACTTCTTCCTTCACTTTCAGGAGATTATCATGTAGCATGTGTCTTCAAAAGCCCACAAATCAGAGAGACAGGTGGATATAGAGGCTGGCATAAACACAAATCTGGGATGCACACCTGCTTTTCTTTTCATTGCAACCAGCAAAGAATCCCTGAGGACTCTTCCCCTGCAGGAAGCAGGGGAAAGGTTACCTATGGTAAAATAAATGATAAAATCAGGACCACAGATTTTGGCCTTTTTTTAATGGAAGGCACCCAGTAATTGTAGATCAGTAAAAATAGTCACCCAGAATTTGTATTAGAAGCTTGGGCTAGTTCTCCTTGAACTTTCCCCTAGGCCTGGAGTGAAAGGTCATGCTATGATTGAAGTGTCTTCACTAATCCAAATACCTGTTTTTCAGGTTAAATAAATAGGAATTGGGAATCAGGGAGCAATTTGCTGAGGATAATGACTTAATTCCAAAAAAAAAAAAAAAAAAAGTTCCTATCCACCACCCTTTTAACTAGCCCAAGTTCCCTTTGCTTTGAAAAGTAACCCTGAATTTCTCTTTAGGACTTCTCACTTATTTGCCAGTCATATCACAATAAGTTTGTTTCCTTAATATAAACGAAGCTCTGTAAAATAGTAAGAGAACAGAACAGTATCCCAGTAAGAAAATGAGCAAAAGGATATAAACGAATAACATCCAGAAAAAGATTCTTAAACATGGAAAGGGCACTAACTAATTCATAAAAAGGTAAAAGTAGAATAAGCCTATAAATATATCTCACTTTTTATCTATTAAATTGACAAAGATCAAGAAGTTTGATTACACATTGCGTGTCTGAGGATTGTGAAATGGGTTCTCTCACACTTAGCTGGTGGGCGTATCAGCTTTACAAACTCTATATAGGGTGACAAGGCAACCTCTATCAAAATTTAGAAGACACATATCCTTTAAAACAGCACCTCAACTTTTAAGTTGTTTAACCTACAGATATTTTTACACATGTGGGAAATGTTTACTGCAGCATTGTTGTAATAGCAAAATATTGAGAAAAACATCAGTTCCCATTAATAGAAGACTAGTAAAATGAGCTATGGTGAGTTATACCATGGAATATTATGTCTTCAATTTATAAACTATGAAGCAGTTCCATATGCAATGATATATAATATGTCCAAGACACACTGTTAAATGAAAAAAGCAAAGTGAATAGCAGAGTGTATTGTAGCTGCCTTCCATGGAAATGTGTATATCTCCTGAAAGAGCTCCAAAAAACTGATAACAATGGTTGCTTCAGGCAAGAAGAATTTTGTGTCTAAGGAACAAGATAGTAAAGGAGACTTTTTTTTCATAACTCCTTTTGTGCGTTCAAATTCTTTATCATGTGCCTATATTATGCATTGAAAAAATAATAAAACATATTTTGTAAAATTTTTTTATTTCCATAGGTTATTGGGGAACAGGTGATGTTTGGTTATATGAGTAAGTTCTTTAAACAAAGAACAATTTTCAATTTTTTTTTTTTTTTTTTTTTTTTGAGATGGAGTTTAGCTCCTGTTGCCCAGGCTGGAGTGCAATGGCGCCATCTCGGCTCACTGCAACCTCCACCTCCCACGTTCAAATGATTCTCCTGTCTCAGCCTCCTGAGTAGCTGGGATTACAGGTGCCCGCCACTACGCCTGGCTAATTTTTGGTATTTTTAGTAGAGATGGAGATTCACCATGTTGGCCAGGCTGGTCTCGAACTTCTGACCTCAGGTGATCCACCCACCTCGGCCTCCCAAAGTGCTGGGATTACAGGCGTGAGCCACTGCACCCGGCCAACAAAGAACAATTTTCTAGGAGAACTTTCTGATCATTAGATTTGGAAAATCATTTTTTCCCGCAATTCTAGGGTTCCTTAGGAGCCTGTTTATTGATAGAAATGTTGAAGCGAGGTCTTCAGAGCCCCTTAACATAATTTCACTCAGATAGTTTCGTACTTTAGAAAAAACCTGAGATACAGCTTCCTCATCTTAGGGCTTGTGTAAATATACTGTTATAAAACTTTAACGAGTTTTATCACAGTTATATTTAGACATCATCTCCCTTATTTTTCAATTACTGATTTTTATTGCCCTTGTTCGGCACCTGCAATGTACCAAACATTGAGCCAGGAAATAAATTTGAGACAAAGGTATATAAGACACATTTTCTTCCCTCATAGGATTCACAGTCTTGTGATCGAGAAAATTGGAAGGTTTTCTTTTTGTTAAGTAGCAAAAGTTCAGTGAGAGGGGAAGGCCTAATTACAGTGGAAGCTCACGAGAAGCTGCATGTATGTAAGTATGGAACTTGTGTGAAAGAGGTTGTAAGCACAGCACAGGCATTGTCTTTTTGCAAGTGCACCTCAGGTTACAGAATAGAAGTGCTTCTAGAAATTATTTTACACCATCGTATAATCAACCACTGCTAGTGGTTACTACTAAGGTCCCAGAGACAAAGCAAGTATGACCATAAAATATAATATAGGCTGGGCGTGGTGGCTATGCCTATAATCCGAGCACTTTGGGAGGCCGAGGTGGGTGGATCACCTGAGATCAGGAGTTCGAGACTAGCCTGGCCAACATGGTGAAACCCTGTCTCTACTAAAAATACAAAAAAAAAAATAGCCGGGTGTGGTGACGTATGCCTGTAATCCCAGCTACTTGGGAAGCTGAGGCGGGAGAATCCCTTGAACCCGGGAGGTGGAGCTTCCAGTGATCTGAGATCATGCCATTGTGCTCCAGCCTGGGCAACAAGAGTGAAACTTCATCTCAAAAAATAACAATAATAATAGTAATAATATAAATTGAATACAAAAGAGAGATATTATTTAAAATGTTAAGTAAATATAGATTTTAGTAATAGAATGTTGAATTGCTTCGATCTACCATCTTGCTGTGATCAAATAAAAATACTAAATTTAAAAAAAAACTTAAAAACATTGACAATCTGAAGAGAGAATAGAAAATGGCTAAGTCATTTTTTTATGAAAGCCTGAGAGGTGAGCACTAAGGCCATTCATGCTCAGAGAGCACTTGACTGTAGTTCATATCCTTATGCTTCAGGACAATTCCTGGCTGAGGAGATAGAAATAGGAACCTGGTGCTGGTGGGGAGGGGGTGGTCACAAAAAGCTGGTGCTCTAATGGTCTTCATCCTCAGGTAAGGATGAACCAGAGCTAGACCTGATGCCACTCAGAAGGGAATCACTCATCCCTGGAAGTTTGTGGCCATGGTTTAGCTCTCGTTTGAATTTTCTTCAATTTCCCCATTACACTAGCAATCTCTTCATCTTTTTTTTTTTTTTTTTTTTTTAGTTCAAAGGTGTTAGGCTTTCTTTTTGTTGTTGTTGTTTGCAGTTTGGGGGTTTTTTTAGATAGTATCTCACCCTGTCACCCATGCTGGAATACAGTGGTATGATCACAGCTAATTGCAGCCTCAACCTCTTGGGCTCAAGCAATCCTCCCACCTTAGCCTCTCAAGTAGCTGGGACCACAGGCACATGCCACCATGCCTGGCTAATTTTTTTTTTTTTTTTTTTAGAAATTGGGTCTCTCTATGTTGCCCAGGCTGTAGGCTTTCTATTAAAGACTTTGCCATCCTCTTTTTCCTTTGTTTCATTTTATGAATGGACACAACTCAAAATTTTTAAGTAAAATATTTTAATCCTCCAGCCTACATGAAATGTTAAGTCACAAAACAGCCTTAATCATTTTGAAAGATTAAAATCGTACCTATCTTTCTCAAATCACAATGGAATAAAACCGTAAATCAACAGCAAAAAGAAATATCCACAAATATGTGGATATTCAACAACACAATCTAAACCAAGCGATGAGTCAGAGAAGTCACAAGGGAAATTATAAAGTATCTTGAGACAAATAAAAATGAAAACACAACATACCAAAATTTACAAGATGAAAAGAAAGCAGCACTAAGAGAGAAATTTATAGCTATAAAGGCTTACATTATAAAAGAAGAAAAATCTCAACTCAAAAACCTAACTTTATGCCATAAGAAACTAGAAAAAGAAGAACAAACTAAATTCAAAGCTAGCAAATGGTAGGAAATAATGAAGATTACAGCAGGGATAAATGAAGTGAAAATATAAAACTGTAGAGAAAATGAACAAAACCAAAAGTTTGTTATTCAAAAAGATAAACTAAGTGGACAAGACTTTAGCTAGATTAAGAAAAAAAGAAGACTCAACAAAAATTAGAAATTAAATGAGGACATTACAACTGATTTTCTAGAAATTAGTTTTTATAACTTTTCCTATGAACAAAAAGAAGTTATCTCGAATTCCACACAGACGTCTCATCATTGCCTTTCAAAACATTCTTCTTGCCTTTGCTCTGGGGTCCAATTTGCCCTAAACTACATGAAAACTGTGGATGGAAGAAAGGATGCTATGCCAAGGACTCTTGAGGGAGTCATAAACCAGCCCAAGGGAAGACTGAAGTCATCACAATAATCTCCAAGACAAAACTTTAATTGCACCCCTGAATCACAGTGACACATTTCTTCATTCACCTGCACCCTCTTTCTGAAATCTCTTCATGAGGTTCATATGCCACTGCTTTTGTGGCACTATTCTGCCACAAAAGTAATTCATATATAAAACTCACCTGTTGACCTTTCTCTGCTGGATGAGACAATTGGAAGGTCTGGGTGCCCGGAGGTGACTGAGGTCCTTTATGTAGCCCTTGATGAAAATAACCACCCTGTCAGTCGAGGCCTAAACCTCAAGGGCTGACCATAGGAGGAGTGTGCTTCTTTCCTCTGGCTATAACTGTTACCCAAAGAATTACCTGTAAGTGTTCCTTTTGAGCACTTCAGGAAAGGAGAAAAGGGAGTTTCAACAGTTACCTTTATATATCCTAGGATTCTCTGGGTCAGGCTCCAGGTTTTGAGTCCACATAAGGCAAAGAGATGTATCAATGAGAAGGCACAGGCTCGGTTTGTATTCCTAGGACTCTATCATGAAGGGTAAGTAACTTTTTCCCCTGTCTAGGATTCACTTGACTTCTTCTAAGACATCTACACATGGATGCTAGCTCCAGTGAAATGCCTTTATAATATGAACATATTTTTGCAAAATTTTGTGAGTTTCTAGACGTGTGATTTCATGCACCGCATCTCCAGTATAAGTGTTGTAATGAACTGTTGACATCTGTGCCCAGCTACCCAGATCCTCCTCAGCTGAACACTTCCTTAAACGTTCTTGCCTAATTATTTGCAAAGGAATGCCTCATTATTTGGAAATTTGATAAATTACATAATTTGGTATTAGAAGTCATGCTTAATAACTCACTTTCTACAATGCCTCTGATTAAATATAACTTATTCCCATTACTTTTATGCACATCCCAGGAAATGTAATGCCCTTCCTTTAATACTTTATCTTCTGCCTTTTGAATTATTAATACTACTGTGTTTTTATGTCTTCTTTATGTTAGACCGACCTGTATGTTTCTAAGTGCCAGAATATACAAGAAGGTCGAAAAAATGAATCTGACCAACTAAAAGGAGCTGCCCATAGCTTCACTATGAGATAATATGAACATGAAATATTCATATTTGAATGACATATGACTTTTTAATCTAGTCATTCAGGTTCACTTAAATTCATTGGACGGGTGCAGTGGCTCACGCCTATAATCTCCGCACTTTGAGGGGCCAAAGGTTTGTAGAGAAAGCTTCTCATCATGTTCCCTAGGCTAGAGACATGATGAGAACATGTCTCTACAAAACATTTAATAATTAGCCTGGCATGGTGGCATACGTCTATCATCCCAGCTACTGAGGTTAAGGCAGTAGGATCGCTTGAGCTTGGGAGGTCAAGGCTGCAATGAACTATGATCCCGCGACTGCACTCCAGCATGGGTGATAGAGTAAGGCCCTGTCTCAAAAATAAACAAATAAATAAATAAAAATTAAAAATTAATTTATTGTTTTTCATTTAGGTTTTTAAATGATTCTGCTAAAAAATTATCCTAGTAACTTTGTAATTATATTTATTAGTAGTATTATTATGAACACTAACAGCTATGAATGTTGCAGGTCCTAATATATTCCAGGAACTGCACTAGGCACTACAACATGTACTAGGAAACTGTACTTCAACAATACTTTCACAAAAGCTCAGCAAAACAATGGTAACTTGCCTAGAGGCACATAGTATGCTGTACAGTATTTGAACCCAAGTCAATCTGATTTTATCATTTATTTTAAGTAAGTACCTTATATAACAGGATTACTTCATTAAGTATTACTGGAGTGAGTCTATATATATCTATATCTATGTATATCTATGTATATACATGTATATCTATGTATATATCTATATCTATGTATAGATCTATATCTATAGATATAGATATCTATGTATATCTATGTATATATCTATATCTATAGATATAGATATACACACACTTTGAGAAGGAAAATCAACAGGATTTGGAGATTGACAGCATATGGGAGGTGACAGAATTAAAAGGTTCCTTCAGTGCTTCTCAAGTTTCTGGCTTTAGCAAATGCTAACTGGATTGGTGAACGAAGAGTGGAGCCATTCGCTAAAAAGCAAGTACAAAGTGGGAGCTCTTACAAAGAAAAAGATGGAATAAAGATAAATACTGGGCAAAATGGTGACTACATGTTTAAAAATATAAATGACTAGAGAGGCCAATATTTAGAGTGGGATGCTCACAAATGACAGGGTCATAAGGCAAGGTGGAATTAGTGGATCACAAGGTTTAAATGTGATTTTGCTAAATGTGACCAAACTGACAAGTTACACAAGACTGCCCAGTGACGTTCAGACTGAGGACTCAGTGATGGTGATGTTCATAAACTCAGATTAGCTTTTTGGTGGCAGGGTTGGCAAGCCTGAAATTCACCCAACCATTAATTTATTCAACAAGTGCCTACTGTGTACCAGAAACTGAGTCATCTGAGAAATGAAAGATAAATTAAACATCATTTGTGAATTATAGACATTTTCAGTCTAGAGGGTAACACGAAACCATATGATTTGGTCGTTATGGTGCACGCTCTAGTAGAAAAATTTATAACATGCTACGTAAATATTAAACAGGAAATTTATCTTATATGTTACAGAGTTTTGTCTTGCTGACTTTAATATATGATAGGTATCAAAAGGATATCTAAAATCATCATCAAAATCTAAGACATCCTATATTGACAAGTGTAATTATTAATTTTTTAAATCTTGATAAGCTCAGGCTTTATGGGTCAAACTGTACTAAGATATACGTCCAAGAATATTAATCACAGTGGTGATTATAATAGAAAACATTGATAACAACCTGAATCTGTCATTAGAGGGTCGATTGAATGTATAGACAAGAAGAACAATGAAGCCATTGAGTTGATGATTCAGAGCTATATTTTTGACATGGAAAAAAGACAGATTAAGTTTAAAAACAAATTATAAAACAATTAATTTTGAAAATTTCCATTTTAATTATAAAGAAGAGAAGAACACACTCCTCCAAAGAGTTAAAATTTGTTTTCTCTGGGAGGTAGATTTTTTTTGTCTTTTTCTATACCTTTTATGTTTATAATTATAAAAAACAAGTACAGTATTTTGGTAAATTTTGAACAGTATAGCATTAATAAATTTAAATAACAAGACATAAGCATTTTAGATCATTTGAAATGCATTGAAAAACTTAACATTAATAAATATCCTTACATTTGGAAAAGGCTTACTGAATATTCTTTACATATATATTTTCTTTCATCACCAAGTGAAAGAAAATATTATGTGTTCAGCAAGAATTTACCATTAGCAACATTTAGAGCTATGTTTATTTATGTATGACTTTTTTAATTAACAAATAAAAAATTGTATATATTTATTATGTGTAACATGTTGTTTTGAAATATGTATACATTGTATAATGGCTACCTCCAGCTAATGAATATGCATTACCTCATATACTTACCACTTTTTTGTGGTGAGAACATTTAAAATCTACTGTCTTAGCAATTTTCAAGAAAAAAATACATTATTAACTATAGTTATCCATGTTATACAATAGAGCTCTTGAATTTATTTCTTCTATCTAACTGAAGTTTTGTATCCTTTGACCAACATCTCCCCAACCTCCCAGTTCCTGTAACCACCATTTTACTCTCTGCTGCTATAAATTCAACTTTTTTAGGTTCCACATATACATATAAGTGAAATCATACAGTATTTGTCTTCCTGAGCCTGGCTTTTTTCACTTAGCACCATGTCCCTGGGTTCATCCATGTTGTCACAAATGACAGGATTTCCTTCTTTTTTAAAAGCTGAATAGTATTCCATTGTGTGCGTATACTACACTTCCTTTACCTATTCATTCTGTTTGACTTTTGATCATTGACCTTCCAAACTTATCTAGATTCTGACTTTCTTGTAGGTGGGAAGTAGAGATTACAGTCGAGATGTCGAAACCTACAATCTGTAACATGTAACAGTACAAGAATGAATTCTTGTAGCAGAACAATATATTGTAACAAATTGTTTATTTTAATGAGAGAGATTTATGTTTAAATGATTCAAAACTCTGCATTTGTTTATGGTAGTAGAAATTCCATTTACAGGGAAGTTTAAAAGTGTGAAGTAAATTTAAGGAACAATCTCAGGTAACTATTAACTCTCTACTCTCCAGAAAAATATTGCCATGATATTTTCTCTTGGATTCTATGCTTAGACTTAAAATTCACTAATACAGAGTGAATAATGGCCACTCATAGCTCTCAAGTATCTGAGAAGTATGTCAAGTATTTTCCACCTTGGGAAAGATGTCAGAAAAAGTAGTTATTTTACTCCTAATTCTTGGTTTAAAAATTAAGTCAAACTAACAAGCTGCTTTATTAGAAATAATTAACTGTGGGTGGGAAAAAGAAATACAAACAGCCACTTTGCTGGCTTTCATAGAGGATAATGGTTCTGAGCTTTCAAAATTTCAAAGGGAAGGGAGAATTCTTAAAAATCACCCACTGATGAAAAATATCTGAATAATGTAGATTCTATTGTTATAACCCTAATTTTAAAGAAATCTGGGGCCAGGCACAGTGGCTCACTCCTGTAATCCCAGCACTTTGGGAGGCTGAGGCGGGTGGATCACCTGAGGTCAGGAGTTCGAGACCAGCTTGACCAACATGGAGAAACCCCGTCTCTACTAAAAATACAAAAGTAGCCGGGCATGGTGGTGCATGCTTGTAATCCCAGCTACTCGGGAGGCTGAGGCAGGAGAATCGCTTGAACCCAGGAGGCGGAGGTTGTGGTGAGCTGAGATTGGACCATTGCCCTCCAGCATGGGCAGCAAGAGCAAAACTCCGTCTCAAAAAAAAAAAAAAAAAAAGAAATTTGGGATCATTAGCATTGTTGATTTGTAGCTTCTGAATAAAAGTTAGGAGTCAGTGGATGGGTTATTGCAAACTAATTGCCAAATAGCCAACATATATAGCTTACACAGATTTACTACAAGTCTTTCAGAAAACAAAACTGTTTGTATAAATGGTGTTTTCTGTCATCTCTACAGCCCTGGAATTCACAAACAATTCAGAGACAAGCACTATGACGGAATTTGTTCTCCTTGGCTTTCCTGGTTGTCAGGAGATGCAAAGTTTCCTCTTCTCCCTGTTCTTTGTGATCTATGTATTTACCATAATAGGAAATGGGACCATTGTCTGTGCTGTGAGATTGGACAAACGGCTTCATACCCCAATGTATATTCTCCTAGGGAACTTTGCTTTCCTTGAAATCCGGTAAGTTACTTCCACTGTACCCAACATGCTAGTCAACTTCCTCTCAGAGACAAAAACCATCTCTTTTGTTGGCTGTTTCCTCCAGTTCTACTTTTTTACTTCCCTTGGTACAATAGAAGCATACTTCCTCTGCATCATGGCATATGATCGGTACCTTGCTATCTGCCGCCCATTGCACTACCCAACCATCATGACCCCACAACTCTGCTACATATTGATGTCTTTTTGCTGGGTGTTTGGATTCCTCAGTTACTCTGTCTCCACTGTGCAACTGTCTCAACTGCCTTTCTGTGGGCCCAACATCATCAATCACTTTTTGTGTGACATGGACCCACTGATGGCTCTGTCCTGTGCCTCAGCTCCTATCACTGAGATTATCTTCTATATCCTGAGCTCCCTCATTATCATTCTCACTCTTCTGTACATCTGTGGCTCCTATATGCTTTACTGATAGCTGTATTAAAAGTCCCTTCAGCAGCTGGCCAGCAGAAGGCCTTTTCCACCTGTGGATCTCATCTGACAGTGGTGTGTTTATTCTTTGGGGCCCTACTGGCAATGTATGTGAGCCCCACAACTGATAACCCAGCTGCAATTTAGAAGATTATAACTTTGTTCTATTCTGTGGTGACCCCCTTCTTAAACCCCCTGATTTACAGCTTACGAAACAAAGAGATGAAGGCTGCGTTGAAGAAAGTCCTGAGGATAGAATGAGAATAAAGTCATCTACATGAGACCAAGCAAACCATTGTTCAGACATAAAAGATTAACTAAGAAATACCTGATTTTCTGATTCTACTTCTCCAATACACCCTTTAAAGAAGATATTTTCTCAGCGAGGTCCCTCATTGTTTTATTTCTTAACTAACCTGGCAGAGCTAAACCATAGTTGATTCATATTCCATTCCAAATGAAACAATCATATTTTCAACACAGGTGACTCCAGTAGATGATATTTGAGGGTATTTTATCTGTCCTATTTCATACTGTATCGTTTTGATTACTGGAGACAGGGGTGGAAGATAGAAGAGCAGTTATGCTTAAGATATTTCTTAAGACTGTTCAATATTTTTAAAGTGAATGAAGAATCAAATTTAAATGTCTAATGAATACAGAACTAAAGGATTTAGTAACAGAGCAGTTTTCTTGCCCCCTTGGCTCTTGATGGCTGAAAGTCTTACAGACAAGGGACAGACTGAAAGTTTAATGCTTATGTAAGCAGCATGTGTTTTAACATCACATAAAATAGTAAAATCATGGTCATTCTTTCATTCAACAAATATTAATTGAATACCTGTTATGTTCTAGGCACTAGATATATACTATGATCAAAAGAATCAAAACCACTATCTACCTGGCATTTACACTCACATAAGGGAGAAACGGACGATAAAAAAATAAGTAAAATATATAGCATATCAGAGAGTAGTAAGCGCTATGCAAAAAGGACAAAGAGGACAGGAAATGTGGGAGAAAGAAAAGAGCTGCCATTGTTAAACACGATGATCAGAGAGGCTACACTGAGAAGGCAACATTTAAGCAAATGCTTGAAGCGGATGAGGGAATGAGCCATGTAGACAGTGAGAGAAGAGCATTCTAAAGAGAGGGAAGCAAATTATCTTAAAGATCTGGAGGCAGGATTGTATCCAAGTAGCAGCAAGGAGGTTGGTTTGACTGGAGTAAAGAATTTAAGTCTGGGAACAGTGGCTCACACCTGTAATCCCAGCACTTTGGGAAGCTGAGGAGGCTGGATCATGAGGTCAGGAATTTGAGACCAGCCTGGCCAATATGGTGCAACCCTGTCTCTACTAAAAATACAAAAATTAGCTGGGTGTGGTGGCACGAGCCTGTAATCCCAGCTACTCAGGAGGCTGAGGCAGGAGAATGGCATGAACCTAGGAGGCAGAGGTTGCAGTGAGCCGAGATCACACCACCGCACTCCAGCCTGGACGACAGAGCAGGACTCCATCTCAAAAAAAAAAAAAAATTTAAGGGGAAGAGTAATAGAGATGAAGTCAGGGAGTGAACAGCATTCCAAATTCTGTGGGACCTTGTAAACTATAGTAATAACTTTTTTAAAAATTATAAATTGACAAATTAGAGTTGTGTATATGTATGGGGAACAAAGTGATGTTATGATTTATGAATATAATGCAGAATAATTGAATCAGCTAACATATCCATCACCTCAAATATTTTCTGTAGTGAGAATATTTGAAATCTATGGCCGGGCACAGTGGCTCACGCCTGTAATCCCAGCACTTTGGGAGGCCGAGGCAGGCAGATCACCCGAGGCCAGGAGTTCAAGATTAGCCTGGCCAACATGGTAAAATCCCCTCCCTACTAAAAATACAAAAATTATTTGGGTGTGGTGGTGCATGCCTGTAATCCCAGCTACACAGGAAGCTGAGGCATAAGGATCACTTGAACTCGGGAGGCAGAGGTTGCAGTGAGCCATGACTGCGCCATTGTACAACAGCCTGTGATAGAGTGAGATTCTGTCTCAAAAAAAAAAAAAAACAAGAATATTTGAAATTTATCGCTCTCCCTCTCCCTCTCCCTCTCCCCACGGTCTCCCTCTCCCCAGGGTCTCCCTCTCTTTCCACGGTCTCCCTCTGATGCCCAGCCGAAGCTGGACTGTACTGCTGCCATCTGGGCTCACTGCAACCTCCCTGCCTGATTCTCCTGCCTCAGCCTGCCCAGTGCCTGCGATTGCAGGCGCGCGCCGCCACGCCTGACTGGTTTTCGTATTTTTTCGGTGGAGACGGGGTTTCGCTGTGTTGGCCGGGCTGGTCTCCAGCTCCTAATCACGAGTGATCCGCCAGCCTCGGCCTCCCGAGGTGCCGGGATTGCAGACGGAGTCTCGTTCACTCAGTGCTCAATGGTGCCCAGGCTGGAGTGCAGTGGCGTGATCTCGGCTCGCTACAACCTCTACCTCCCAGCCGCCTGCCTTGGCCTCCCAAAGTGCCGAGATTGCAGCCTCTGCCCGGCCGCGACCCTGTCTGGGAGGTGAGGAGCGTCTCTGCCCGGCCGCCCCATCTGAGAAGTGAGGAGACCCTCTGCCTGGCAGCCACCCCGTCTGGGAAGTGAGGAGCGTCTCCGCCCGACAGCCACCCCGTCCGGGAGGGAGGTGAGGGGGTCAGCCCCCCGCCCAGCCAGCCGCCCCGTCCAGGAGGGAGGTGAGGGGGTCAGTCCCCCCGCCCAGCCAGCCGCCCCGTCCGGGAGGGAGGTGGGGGGGTCAGTCCCCCGCCCGGCCAGCCGCCCCGTCCAGGAGGGAGGTGGGGGGGGTCAGTCCCCCCGCCCGGCCAGCCACCCCGTCCAGGAGGGAGGTGGGGGGGGTCAGTCCCCCCGCCCGGCCAGCCGCCCCGTCCGGGAGGGAGGTGGGGGGGTCAGTCCCCCCGCCCGGCCAGCCGCCCCGTCCAGGAGGGAGGTGGGGGGGTCAGTCCCCCCGCCCGGCCAGCAGCCCCGTCCAGGAGGGAGGTGGGGGGGGTCAGTCCCCCCGCCCGGCCAGCCGCCCCGTCCAGGAGGGAGGTGGGGGGGGTCAGTCCCCCCGCCCGGCCAGCCACCCTGTCCGGGAGGTGAGGGGCGCCTCTGCCCGGCCGCCCCTACTGGGAAGTGAGGAGCCCCTCTGCCCGGCCAGCTGCCCCGTCCGGGAGGGAGGTGGGGGGGGCAGCCCCCCCGCCCGGCCAGCCACCCCATCCGGGAGGTGAGGGGCGCCTCTGCCCGGCCACCACTACTGGGAAGTGAGGAGCCTCTCTGCCCGGCCACCACCCCGTCTGGGAGGTGTGCCCAGTGGCTCATTGAGAACGGGCCATGATGACAGTGGCAGTTTTGTGGAATAGAAAGGGGGGAAAGGTGGGGAAAAGACTGAGAAATCGGATGGTTGCCGTGTCTGTGTAGAAAGAAGTAGACATGGGAGACTTTTCATTTTGTTCTGTACTAAGAAAAATTATTCTGCCTTGGGAAAAAAAAAAAAAAAAGAAATTTATCATCTTAGCAATTTTAAAATTTATAACACATTATCATTTACTATGTTTACCACCCTGGGCAATATATCGCCAAAAAAAAAAAACAAAAAAAAACTGATTCCTCCTGCCAGAGGCTTTGCACCCTTTGTCCATCATTGCCTCACCATTATCCACACCCCACTTCCCTGGCCTGCTTCCTTGAGTTTGAAATTTGGAGATTCCACAAATAAGTGAGAACATGTGGTATATTTGTCTTTCTATGCTTGCCCTGTTTCACTTAGCATAATGTTCTCCATTTCCATCCATGTTGTCACAAATGACCAAATTTCCCTCTTTTTAAGGCTGAATAGTATTCCACTATGTACATACACCACATTTTCTTTATCCATTTATCTGTTGATGGACATTTAGGTTGATTCCATAACTCAGCTATTGTGAATAAGGCTGCAAGGAACATAGGAGAGCAGACATCTCTTTGACATACTGCTTTCAAATCATTTAGGCAAATACCCAAAACTGGGATTGCTAGATCATATAGTAATTCTATTTTTAGTTTTCTGAGGAAGCTCCATACAGTTTTTCATAATGACAGTACTAATTGACATTCTCACCAACTGTGTGAAAGGGCTCTCTTTTCTTCACATTCTCATCAACACCTGTTATCTTTTGTCTTTTATTATAACAGCCATTCTGATAGCTGTGAGGTGAAATCTCATTGTGGTTTTAATCTGCATTTTCCTAGTTATTAGCGATGGTGAGCAATTTTCATATACCTGTTGGCCATTTGTGTGTCTTTTTTTGAGAAATGTCTATTCAGGGCCACTGCCCATTTTTTAATCTGATTATTTGTTTTCTCTCTATAGAGTTGTTTGAGTTCTTTATGGATTTGGATATTAACCCCTATCAGATGTATGGCCTCAAATACTTTCTCCCAGTCTGTAGTTATCTCTCCATTCTATCAATTGTTTCCTTTGCAGATTAGAGCTATACTGACATGATCCTATTTGTTTATTTTTGCTTTTGTTGTCTGTATTTGGAGGTCAAATCTGTACAATCATTGCCCAAATCAATATTGGGTAGTGTTTCCCCTATGTTGCCTTCTCATTGCTTAGAGTTTCCGGTCTTATGTCCAAGTCTTTAATCCATTTTGACTTGATTTTTTTTATATAGAGTGAAATAAGAATCCAATTTCATTCTTGTACATATGAATATGCAGTTTTCCCAATACCATTATTAAAGAGACTGTCCTTTTCCCAATGTGTATTTTTGACACCTTTGTCAGAAATCAATTGACCATGCATAGGTTCACTTCTGAGCTCTCTATTCTTTTCTATTGGTTGATGAGTCTTTTTTACACTAATTTTAATTGACATGCTGTTTTAATTACTATTACTTTGTTGTATAGTTTGAAATCAGTGTGATGCCTCAGCTTCGTTCTTTCTGTTCATAACTGCCTTACTATTTGAGGGATTTTGTGATTCCATATGGATTTTAGGGCTGTGTTTTCTATTTCTCTGAAGGCTGTCATTGGTATGACAGGGATTAATAGGGATTACATTGACTCTGGAAATCACATTGGGTAGTCTGGACATTTTAACAATATTAATGCTTTTAATTCATGAACACAAGATATCTTTCTGTTTATTTGTGTCTTCTTCAATTTATTTTATTTATGTTTTATATGTAATTCTGCATAAGATGAGAAGCATTTGGGAGGTTTTGAGCAGGGAAGTAACATACTCTTATTTACATTATAAAAGAATTATCCCCCTGACTGTTTTGTTGGCAATACACTAGAGAGAGAAATGGGCATTTTAAAACTCTTATTTCTAATTGTCAAATTTAGAAAGTTTTGGTTTTTTATACTTTTTTTCAAGACAGTGTCTCATTCTGACTCCCAGGCTGGAATGCAGTGATGCAATCACAGCTAACTACAGCCTCAACCTTCCCAGGCTCACATGATGCTCCCAACTCAGCTGTCCGAGTAACTGGGACTACAGGCGTGTGCCTCCATGCCCAGCTAATTTTTGTATTTCTTTTTTTTTTTTTCTTTTGTAGAGACAGAGCTTCACCATGTTGGCCAGGCTGTTCTCAAATTCCTGGGCTCAAGTGATCCTCCTGCCTCAGCTTCCCAAAGTGCTGGAATTATAGATGCTCACCACTGCTCCCCGCTCGTTTCTTTTTAAAGGAATTTGTATCTGTAACCTATTTGAGGATATATATTTGGGGAGGGGAAAAGAGTCCTCTAGTTGCCCCAGAGGCATAGGAAGTCCTCTAGACCCTAAGAAATTCTAATTCTGGAATGGTTCCATGATATTAATTAAAAGACAATGCCTCTGGGGCTGTTTAATGACACTTAATCATAATTATAATTATATAGACATTTATAAAATATTTTCAAGTCTATTATCTCATTTAATCCTCTTATTAGCCCTATGAGTTACACAGGAAGGATAAACATGGCTTTAATATTTGAGGAAACCAGAGCACACCAAGCTCCTACAGCTAATAAGTGAAACTATTCAAACTAAGACTCATACTTTCTATGTCATGATTTTCTCTATATTTTCTCACTACCTTCTGTTTAAGTTCAACTCTGTTCCCACCCAAGTGCTCCCTGTTTTTAACCCAGGTCACCCCATTTCATACAATGCCTGAATAATCTTCTCCACCATTTTCTGCCTATCCCAAACCTCTTTCAAAAGCTCCTCTAGATGTTTAATCTAGTAACGCTTTTCTAAATACCTAAGTCTTAGCCTGACATAGAATATCACCTGCAACTTAGTTCCATGGGCCAGTTATCCCTTCAAATATCACTCTTAACCTTGTCTCCCAAACATGTTTAATTAATTCCCAGTTCTACGGAAATCCCTCCCACACTTAGAAGTGCTTTCAAACATTCCTAACCCGGACTCTAACGTTTTATGATCATCCGTAGTGGCTTTCAAGCTTCCACGTGCATTAGAAACACCTAGAGACCGGGCATGGCGGCTCATGCCTGTAATCCCAGAACTTTGGGAGGCCGAGGCATGTAGGGTCCAGCGCCACAGGGTCGGTGGGTCTCTCCCCGTGTGCGGAGATGAGAGTGTAGAAATAAAGACACAAGACAAAGAGATAAAAGAAAAGGCAGCTGGGCCCAGGGGACCACTACCACCAAGTCGCGGAGACCGATAGTGGCCCCGAATGCCAGGCTGCACTGATATTTATTGGATACAAGACAAAGGGGCAGGATAAGGAGAGTGAGCCATCTCCAATGACAGGTAAGGCCACGTGGGTCACATGTCCACTGGACAGGGGACCCTTCCCTGCCTGGTAGCCGAGGCAGAGAGAGAGAGGAGACAAAGAGAAAGATAGCTTATGCCATTATTTCTGCATATCAGAGACTTTTAGTACTTTCACTAATTTACTACTGCTATCTAGAAGGCAGAGCCAGGTGTACAGGATGGAACATGAAGGCGGACTAGGAGCATGACCACTGAAGCACAGCATCACAGGGAGACAGTTAGGCCTCCAGATAACTGCGGGCAAGCCTGACTGATGTCAGGCCCTCCACAAGAGGTGGAGGAGTAGAGTCTTCTCTAAACTCCCCCTGGGAAAGGGAGACTCCCTCTCCTGGTCTGCTAAGTAGCTGGTGTTTTTCCGTGACACTGAGGCTACCGCTAGACCACGGTCCGCCTGGCAACGGGTGTCTTCCCAGATGCTGGCGTTACCGCTAGACCAAGGAGCCCTCTGGTAGCCCTGTCTGGGCATAACAGAAGGCTCGCACTCTTGTCTTCTGGTCACTCCTCACTATGTCCCCTCAGCTCCTATCTCTGTACGGCCTGGCTTTTCCTAGGTTATGATTATAGAGCAAGGATTATTATAATATTGGAATAAAGAGTAATTGCTACCAACTAATGATTAATGATATTCATATATAATCATATCTAAGATCTGTATCTAGTATAACTATTCTTGTTTTATATTTTATTATACTGGAACAGCTTGTGTCCTCGGTCTCTTGCCTTGGCACCTGGGTGGCTTGCTGCCCACAGAGGCAGGTAGATCACCTGAGGTCAGGAGTTCAAGACCAGCCTGGCCAACATGGTGAAACCCCATCCCTACTAAAAATACAAAAAAAATTAGCCTGGCATGGGGGATCATGCCTGTAATCCCAGCTACTTGGGAGGCTGAGACAGGAGAATTGCTTGAACCTGAGAGGTGGAGGTTGCAGTTAGCCGAGACCATACCACTGCACACCAGCCTGGGCAACAAACTCCGTCTCAAAAAAAAAAAAAAAAAAGGAAGAAAGAAAGGAAAGTAAAAGAAACATCTAGAAAGTTTGTTAAGACAGACAACTGGGCTCCACATTCCAAGTTTTTGGCTCACTAAATCTAGGTAAGTACTGAGAACATGGATTTCTAACAGGTCTCAAGTGATAATAATACTGCTAGTACAGGGATTACATTTTCAAGAATCTGCTCTACACTTAAACAGCCTTACCCTTAAGCTCAGTCATGTTCTCTATTTGAGCTCTTGCAATGTTTATATTCATCTCAGGTTCTCATCTCAGTTTGTTTGTTCTCTTTCCCCTTATATCACTGAAAAAATTCATAACCATTTACAGTGCCAACTTTCATTTTCACTAATATTGTATCATGTCAGTCAACAGAATTACAAATCTGCCTTTACAGATAACTGAACTTTTTCAAACACCTATGTTCGAGCTATACTTAAAATTGATAAAGGAGATTTTTTTTTTTTGAGATGGAGTCTTGCTCTGTCATCAGGCTGGAGTGCAGTGACGCAACCTTGGCTCACTGCAACCTCCACCTCCCGGGTTCAAGCGATTCTCCTGCCTCAGCCTCCCGAGTAGCTGGACTACAGGCGTGCACCACCAAGCCCGGCAATTTTTTGTATTTTAGTAGAGACAGGTTTCACCATGTTGGCCAGGATGGTCTCAATCTCCTCACCTAGTGATGCGCCCACTTCGGCCTCCCAAAGTGCTGGGATTACAGGCGTGAGCCACCGCGCCCGGCCAGGAGATTCTTTATTTTATGTTCACTATAACAAAATTAAGCAAACAATATATAGATAAAAAAATTTTTAAGTGTTTGCAGGTTAGGCACCAAGTATGAAGCAAGTCTAGTTCCCTTATATAATAAAGATTTGCTTCATATCTTTTTATTTGAGCCCAAAACAAGTATGTAATCTCTGTGAAGTCTTGACCTTGTTGGCTCCTGTCTGTGTATACTCAATGTTTAACCCAGAGTCTGGCACATAGTAGGTGCATAGTTGATGCATAACTGACAAATGTTTGTTAATTATATGGAATTCTTTTAAAAAAAAATGAAGTTTATTCTGGAGAGAAAATCACACACAAATATACACAAATACATAAACTCAGATACACACATGTACACACATATTCTTTCTCCTCCTCCTCCATTAACCTCCCACCCCCATCCCCAGGTAGATCAGTTCCTTAAAGGGAGGATATCTCCACAAAGGGGAAAGTGTTTATGGTATCTTTTAGATAACTATCCTGACTTCTGTGTCTCACTAGTCAAACCATTGGGGAAAACATAAACTATAAACAGATATAGAAGGAATTTGATACATGCTCAGAAATACAGGCAAAGGAAGTAGGTGCCTGCCAGTGAACACAGGGGAACTATGGCTCCTATTCACAAGAGACTTGTAAACTCTTAATAATTGCTGATGTGAAAAACACATTTCATTTGGTTTGGAATACTAAAGGAAGCAAGTTTCTGGAACCACAAATAACACTCTCCAACCATGACTCAGCTTTTTGGTTGTGTAAATGACGAGATTCCTGCAGCTGGAGTTTGTCTCACATCTTCCTCTTGGAACCAAAAATGCCATTAGGTATGTAAGGAAAGTCTGCCTGCAGCGGTACACCACCGTTCCTGTGCATTCAGTGCTGCCAGATGCTAAGAATACGTGGTTCTTCTGCAAATCTGTGAATTCTTTGTTCCTTAGTTCTTTGCACGAACATTGGCCCCTCACTTCTCTTCTCCCAGCATACTCCTAAAGAATGCCCGGGTGATATATTCACATTAAGGGCTCACTCAGGTATCTCAGAGTTCCCACTATACAACTCAGTTAGGGAAAATAATGTTCAAAGTTCTTGCTTATTTGGGGGGACCATTAAATTCCCTTCAGTTAGAATGTACCGAGTCTTTTACCTCCTTGTTTGTAAATTAGTCACTGAAGTTTTTATTGACAGACTCTTCTTCAGCTGGAACAATTAAAGCAAGCTGTTATTTTTTTCAGAGTTGTTGGCAAGTGACAAATGGCAAGTGAAAACCTCTTGTGAAAGAAGTAGAACAGCAGACTCTCCTTTCCTTTGGATTCACCTACAGAGTAATTTTTAAAACATAAATACTTAAGAGAAGAGCCCCAGCACTTATAATTCTAAAAGTGCTCTTCCGTGGGCAAGTGTCTTAAATTCCCAGCAAGCGGATGGGGCTGGAGGAGGATGTAGCTCCCTTGTCGGTTCACATAGAATGTGTTGCCCAAGCGCTTTGTTCCTCCTCTTCTCTCCAATTGCCCATTTGTACTCTCACTTGAAGTGAATAGAAAGACAAAAGAGGTGAATTTAAACTTACTATTTGAGTTCCTAGTAAATGTACTTTGGTGATGGAGGCAATAGAAATGAATGCAGTGAGGTTTTTTTAATTATCTGTGAAGTTTAGTTATCCATCTTTCTCTGACCCTATATTCCATAGATAATTAAAATTTCACTGTGTTTGAAATAATGTCATCAAGGTCTTGAACATTACGAAGTCAAATAATGAGCAGGTGGGGACTGGGCACAGTGGCTCACACCTGAAATCTCAGCACTTTGGAAGGCCAAAGCAGGTGGATCACATGAGGTCAGGAGTTCAAGACCAGCCTCACCAACATGGCAAAACCCCGTCTCTACTAAAAATACAAAAATTAGCTGGGCGTGGTGGCAGGCGCCTGTAATCCCAGCTACTTGGGAGGCTGAGGCATGAGAATTGCTTGAACCCAGGAGGCAGAGGTTGCAGTGAGCTGAGATCATGCCACTGCACTCCAGCCTGGGGGATACAGTGAGACTCTGTCTCCAAAAAAAAAAAAATTAGCCGGGTGTGGTAGCCCAAGCCTGTAATGCCAGCTACTCAGGAGGCTGAGGCATGAGAATCCCTTGAACCCAGGAGGCGGAGGTTACAGTGATCACACAGTGCAGGGAGATCACGCCACTGCACTCCAGCCTGGACCACATAGCAAGACTCTGTCTCAAAAATAATTAATAATAATAAGCAGGAAGGAGTCAATTATGAGGTCCGGTTCCAGATCAATTATCATCAGTTGGAATTATATTTCTTTTCTCAGTACCAAAAATTTCCTGGCCTGTGAGTAGGATAAATTAATTCATGTCTCATTCTCTACCTACTGCCTTGAAAAGCCCAAAATATCTAATTATCTAATTTATGCCAAGCAAAATTTGTTATCATGTCCCCTGTACTACAAAGATTTATTCAAGTTATTTCTAACTGGAGTAAATATCTTTTTTCAGACCCACAGCATGCAGTTGGACGTGCTGCAAAAATACACAGCTCAAGGAACCCCCAGCCTATGCACATGACTGTGCAGATATAGGTTGTAATCTTGATAGTTTTTATAAAACCTGAGTTCCAAAAGGGGAGGAATTTTATTTTGTATATTCACCATTATAACCCCAGAACTCAACACACTGCTAGCAATATAATAAATGGTGAATAAACATGTGTTAAATTAAATTCTTGAATAAACAAATAAATACATGAAATGCTACGATTTAAATTTAACATCCAACCTTTTTTTATTTTTTATTTCTTTTGTTTTAGAAACTTTTTTTTTATACTTTTAAGTTTTAGGGTACATGTGCACAACATGCAGGTTTGTTACATATGTATACATGTGCCATGTTGGTGTGCTGCTCCCATTAACTCATCATTTAACATTAGGTATATCTCCTAATGCTATCCCTCCCCCCTCCCCCCACCCCACGACAGGTCCTGGTGTGTGATGTTCCCCTTCCTGTGTCCATGTGTTCTCATTGTTCAATTCCCACCTATGAGTGAGAACATGCAGTGTTTGGTTTTTTTCCTTGCCGTAGTTTGCTGAGAATGATGGTTTCCAGCTACATCCATGTCCCTACAAAGGACATGAACTCATCATTTTTTATGGCTGCATAGTACTCCATGGTGTATATGTGCCACATTTTCTTAATCCAGTCTATCATTGTTGGACATTTGGGTTGGTTCCAAGTCTTTGCTACTGTGAATAGTGCCGCAATAAACATACATGTGCATGTGTCTTTATAGCAGCATGATTTATAGTCCTTTGGGTATATACCCAGTAATGGGATGGCTGGGTCAAATGGTATTTCTAGTTCTAGATCCCTGAGGAATCGCCACACTGACTTCCACAAGGGTTGAACTAGTTTACAGTCCCACCAACAGTGTAAAAGTGTTCCTATTTCTCCACATCCTCTCCAGCACCTGTTGTTTCCTGACTTTTTAATGATCGCCATTCTAACTGCCAACCGTTTTTTTAAATTGCAAGCCCAGTAATTATATTTTCCAAGAATGACATAGCATGTAGTGTGGGAAATACAAGCAGTTATGGAGAGTATATTTGAGAGTAATTACAACTGTCCTAAAAATTCTGATGCATGTGATCATGATAATTATTATTCATTAAACTGAACTGCTTGGACAAAATTTACATTTTCCTAAAAATCATGTTTATTAGAGAAATTGTTGTATTATTCTTAAAATATTGTTAACATGAATATCCAAAGTTACCTCGGCAATAAAACATTTATGCTTTTGGGTTTGCTCCAGGTTTGATCAAGTACTGAAAGGCAGGCCTCTCGCTCTCTGTGGATCATATAAATGATGTAAAGATGGAATTTTGTGAGTATCTTAACAGTGACGCTAATAATACAATAAATTATCCTAATTTTAAAGTCATTATATTGCTAAATTTAAAATATTGATAGTGGCTTACCCAGCCAAATATTCTGAACTTTAACAAGGATATTTGAGGACACAGAAATAAGCCTGCTGGACCAATAGTTTCTAGAAAATTGTTAGCAAAATATCTAAGTTATTTATCTTGTCTCAACTCCTGATTTAGAAAATATCAGAAAGATCTTTCTGTTCTCTGCACATCCTGAGGTGACTCTTTTATTCATTATTTAATTTATGGAAAAGCAAGATAATGAAGGGACAAATTATAAAGTTTAGGACTTAATTTCTAGCAAAAATAAAGGCACATGGCTTTATTACTAGAGAAATTGATTTACCCAACAGCAAGCTCCCTCAAGAGCTAAGTCATGATGTAGAATAGTACAATTTGTTGGAGAAGGAGGCTGACAAGCAGGGAAAATGGTGGCCTGCCAAAGAAGTCATAGGTAAGGGACATAACAGCTGCCTTCAGTTATTTAAGACCTCACTACCACCATCATGGGAGAGGAATTAGACTTATTTTGTGTAGTTTCAACAAAGTCAAAGTTTACCTGCTGACTTGGGGAGTACCAAGATCAATGGGTAAAAGTAATAAAGGATACAAAGTTTGCTCACCATAAAGAAGGGCTTTGAGAGAACTAGAGCTCCTCACGAGAAAAAGGGGCTGGATTATTCAGCAAATCCAGATGCCACCAGGGAGAATGTGATCTGGGGGGAACTAGATTTGTAGCTTTCAGACCATTTTACAGATTCCTAAGGGTTCTGCAGCACCTCCCTGAGAGTAGCAAAAGGAAGGGAGCTGAAGACTCCCCAAAGTTTAATTCCTATCTGCTTTTTATTGGACTTCTACATATGAGGCTCTAAGAAGGCAATTTTAATATAGCAACTATTCTTGCTTCAGATTTATACTCAATTTTGCTTTAAAGTAAAAGAATATATCCAAAGTTTATATTTATATGTAGAGTATCTAAGGGGCAGTGATTTTACCATTAAAGATGAAACATTACTGAGACTCAGGGTTATAGAAAATTTGAAGTGAAACATGATTTGTTCCAAACCAATCTCCAAATAGGCCAGTGTATCTGGGCGTTACTGGCTTTGTACATATGTTTAAGTGAACCCTTCTAATCTCTTTGAACTTCAATTACCCTGTCTGTGAAAGAGAAGGGTAAAGAATACCTCCTCGCAGCTCAAAGAGTCATTAGGAAGACCAAATGAGATAATGTATGTAAAAATACTTAGTACATCATCCAGCATGAGTTAGCAAAATCTCCAAATGTTCTTTATTATTCATTCTTTGGTTACTTCTGTTTTTCTAACAGCTTTGGGACCCCAGAACAGAACAATGCATTTTGTGACTGAGTTTGTCCTCCTGGGTTTCCATGGTCAAAGGGAGATGCAGAGCTGCTTCTTCTCATTCATCCTGGTTCTCTATCTCCTGACACTGCTAGGGAATGGAGCTATTGTCTGTGCAGTGAAATTGGACAGGCGGCTCCACACACCCATGTACATCCTTCTGGGAAACTTTGCCTTTCTAGAGATCTGGTACATTTCCTCCACTGTCCCAAACATGCTAGTCAATATCCTCTCTGAGATTAAAACCATCTCCTTCTCTGGTTGCTTCCTGCAATTCTATTTCTTTTTTTCACTGGGTACAACAGAGTGTTTCTTTTTATCAGTTATGGCTTATGATCGGTACCTGGCCATCTGTCGTCCATTACACTACCCCTCCATCATGACTGGGAAGTTCTGTATAATTCTGGTCTGTGTATGCTGGGTAGGCGGATTTCTCTGCTATCCAGTCCCTATTGTTCTTATCTCCCAACTTCCCTTCTGTGGGCCCAACATCATTGACCACTTGGTGTGTGACCCAGGCCCATTGTTTGCACTGGCCTGCATCTCTGCTCCTTCCACTGAGCTTATCTGTTACACCTTCAACTCGATGATTATCTTTGGGCCCTTCCTCTCCATCTTGGGATCTTACACTCTGGTCATCAGAGCTGTGCTTTGTATTCCCTCTGGTGCTGGTCGAACTAAAGCTTTCTCCACATGTGGGTCCCACCTAATGGTGGTGTCTCTATTCTATGGAACCCTTATGGTGATGTATGTGAGCCCAACATCAGGGAACCCAGCAGGAATGCAGAAGATCATCACTCTGGTATACACAGCAATGACTCCATTCTTAAATCCCCTTATCTATAGTCTTCGAAACAAAGACATGAAAGATGCTCTAAAGAGAGTCCTGGGGTTAACAGTTAGCCAAAACTGAGATATCTTTGAAAAAGAAGCCAAATTGGCCACTTCTGACCTTAATTTTTTATAACTATAGAGAGTAGCTTCAGTAGTATGTTCTGGCTCACACTCAGGTAGACAGACTTATCTTTCACAGTTCCTTAGCAGTTAAATTCAGCTCATTAATGATAAATGCCAATGCTCAATAAAACATTTTAAACATATGTGGCCTCACTGAGTAGTTATGTGGTGGGTGGGTGTATATATACGTATATTATTTTTCTGTGATGTATCTTTGCTAGTTTTAATCTTAGCTGACAGAAGAAATCAATTGCATGTGTACTGAAACCTTTCAAAAGAGTGAGATCTGGCTGGGCACGGTGGCTCACGACTGTAATCCCAGCACTTTGGGAGGCCAAAGCGGGAGGATCACCTGAGATCAGGAATTCGAGACCAGCCTGGGCAATATGATGAAACCCTGTCTCTACTAAAAATACAAAAATTAGCTGGGCGTGATGGCACACACCTGTAATCCCAGCTACTCAGGAGGCTGAGGAATGAGAATTGCTTGAACCTGGGAGGCTAAGCTTGCAGTGAGCTGATATCACGCCACTGCCCCCTAGCCTGCATGATAGAGCAAGACTGCATCTTAAAAAAAAAAAAAAAAAAAAAAAAAAAAAAAGTGAGATATTTTCAATTCAGAAAATATACATATTTTTGTTTGTTTGTTTGTTTGTTTGTTTCTGAGACGAAGTTTCGCTCTTGTTGCCCAGGCTGGAGTGCAGTGGCACAGTCTTGGCTCACTGCAATCTCCGCCTCCCGGCTTCAAGTGATCCTCCTGCCTCAGCCTCCCAAGTAGCTGGGATTACAGGTGCCCACCGCCACACCTGGCTAATTGTATTTTTAGTAGAGATGGGGTCATTTTTGTATTTTTAGTAGAGATGGGGTTTCACCATGTTGGCCAAGCTGGTCTCGAACTCCTGACCTCAAGTGATCCACCCCCCTACCCTTGACCTCCTAAAGTGCTGGGATTACAGGCGTGAGCCACCACACCCGGCCAGAAAATAAATATTCTTAAAGAATATTTGTGTGTCAAGAGGCCACCAGAAAAAAACATAGTAATAGACATCTTCCATTATTTGAGGTTGTCTTTCACACCAAGAACAGAGTATGCTTTAAACCTCTATGCTTCATACCTCTATCCCTTAGACATAAAAACCAAACTCTTTGCCATTCAAGGCCTTCACTCAACACACTGCTCCCTTCAGTTTTCTCTCCTAGTGATCCACTGTACAAGTCTTGCATTTCATGATGATCAGTCCTCAAACATATTTAGTCCCAACTGGGTATCTTTACTCACAGTACTTCCTCTCTAAATTAGTCATGACAACCCCAATATTATTTATACTAGGAATGATGCCCTAAACATATTTTTATTTGTACCCAGCAGTTTTCATGTCAACCACAGAGCAACAGGTGCCTCTCAGAGGCTGTAGGGCAAAGTCTAAGTTAGAAAAATATTCAGAGAAAATTATGTCAAGAACAAATTTCATTTTAGTATCCAAACTCTAGGCTGAAACAAAAAGGCAATCAACTAAGAGTTGAATCTACTTAAAATGAAAACACACCTTTTAGTTATGGCTACCCCACAATGAAATCAGGTGGGGCAAGGAAGATGGGCCTGCCGGTGCTAGGTGATGTAATGCTCCCAAACCGTGTTTGTCAAATCTTTCCACCAAAGCATGTTTAGCAAGAGTGGTCAGAGAACATGGGGTATTGGGGGATAATATTTCTTTAAATTCAAAATTGTATCTCAAAAATTGTCATAAATTATACTTCCTAATTCATAGTACATACATATTTGGTGTGATATAAAATTATCTTTCTAGGTAAAATTGGCCCCTCAGGAAGACATTTAATCTGGGGCTTTTACGTATCCTATAGCACATGCTGTTTGAGCACAACTCAAGGAGACCATGGGGTTTCCTCAGAGTTAATATAACATGTTATTTTTAATAATCCCTACAGGAAATGTTAACAAAAATATCAATTAAACCCCCAGGCAAGATGTATGAAGATCCCTAGGGACAGCACAGAAAGTTACAGAATCACAAGAACATGAAGGGAGACCTGAGAATTCTCAACAGTGCCTCAAATGAGGCATAAATTAAGACCAACACATAGTTCAACACCCTCAGTGAGAAACAAGCCACTAGACTCTTAGGGTACAAGAGAAGTGAAATAAGCCACTGGTGAAGCTCTGACACAGGACTTCCATATTGGAGCCAGTGAAGGAGAGAATCCGTGTGGCCTCCCTGCAGGCTTTCTCAGGGATGACCTAGGAAAGCTTCCTGGTATGTAGGAGAGGTATTCTTCGTTGAGCGTTGCTGCTGTTATACACGACAGATGGACTACTCACCTATACATTTCTTCATTCAACATGCTTCAGAGATTGAGTATCAAAGAATATTGGTCTATCTTTCAGCTCAAAAACCAAAAGAAAAAAAATCCCTCAGAGTGTTGAGATCACCATGCAATTCACACTTTCCAAAAGAAGTACACTAATCATCCACAGGTCTTCTCCTTCTCAGGAAGTGCCTGAGGCACCAGGAATGCTATGACGTTTGTAGAGATTTTGAGCTTAACAGTATGGAACTAGCTTTATCCACTGGGACTAAAACCAAAAGAAAATTGGAATTTTTTTTAATCTTCTCTCTGTTTTCCTCTCTCTGTCCCTTTCATTACTCACTTTGCACCTTCAGGAGAAGTGACATTTAAAAAAAAAGAAAAGATAAAAATAAAATCAATGTTTTTGTGGACTAAGAACTCACATAGATTTAGTGGTGAATATATTAGGAACTGTTTCTTACAAATATGTTGGAAATTATCTGTGAAATTTATTTACCATGCTTTCCCTGTGGCTAATTGTTTTTCTGCAAGGTTTTTGTTTGTTTGTTGTTTTTAATGTCAATGAAAGTAGTCTAAGCTCAAAGAAGCAGCTCGGTCTTGTGCATTTTGATTTTGGGTCAAAGTCTGTGAATCTGAGTTCAAAAACATTGTTGCTCCTTCTCTGTTCCAAGCATAAGTGGCTGCTCCCTGCATCACTGCTTTCTCATCTTGTTGAGGAGAGAGGTTTCTTGCTCGGAAAGGAGAATGTATAGAGGACCCATAGTGGGGAGCCATTCTTTTATGATATCTTACAAAAATGACCATCGATGCAGGTTTAGTTTAGTTCTTCATAATCATCCTAGTTTAAAAAATTAAAAATCACTGATCCCCATCTTGCAGTTTCTTTCTCTTTTTGGCTTCTTGTCCACCAAACCACAACCTTTTGCAAAACCAGCTCTATGAAAAGGTCTATGTTTCCTTCTAGATGGGTAGATTCATAGTTCACCTTGTGCATTACTAACTGCAACAGCTGCATGATCATAAATATATTTCTTATTTAATATAACCTCACTGAATAGGAGGGTTTTTTCTATTTGATTATGTTCAGTGAGTACTGTAAATATATATGCATACAGACAAACACACTATGTATATATGTGTGTGTGTACATATATGTATATACCACCTTGATCAAATACTATATATGTGCTACTTTAATTGAAAAAAATATAAGGCAAATTATCCTCTTAACAATCAAAAAAGTTAAAGGTATCTTGTTAAAATTTTTCTGAAGAGTCCCATATGTTAAAGCTATCATTTACTCTTTTCTTGGAGTTGTATTTGATTCTTGAAAATATATCTTCTTTGGTGATGGTGTTCTAAAGGAAACAAACCAACTCTCGGAAAATGGGTAAATAATTATGTTTGAAATAACACCTTTGATTCTCTTGTATCTTGTTTTTTTGAATATTTGGAGGCTATTATTTTACATGGACTAAAGAAAGATCTTACAAACAGTGAATTTTAGAGAAAATTCTGGCAAAAGTAATAAGAGGAGCTTTAGAAGAAAATATCCCAGTAACTGTAGTTATCTTCGCTATCTTATATGTTATCTTTAATGAAATATTTCTTTTTAAAGGTATATGGAGCATGATAAATTATAATGTGAAATTAATCACCAGGAAATGAATAATTATGACATTTTATTGCTAAAAGCAAATGATTAAATACCAAATTGTAAATAAGCTGTAGTACAATATAAATGTCTCTAAATAGGAAAAAGCAAAATATATAAAGAATTTTATTATCTAAATATCCTTGTTGACTTTCTCCTGGTATCACTAAAAAAATTGGAAGAAAATAAATACTCTTAACAGAAATAGCTCCGGAAAGAAAGAATCTGAAATAATGTCAAAAGTACAAACTACTCAAAGCTGTAAAAAGTCTCAGACTTGAATATATTAAAAATGATGGCATATGTCTTCATAATTTGAAGTGAACAGCAATAAGTAATTGCTATATATGAACATCTTTCACTGAAAAACAAATTAGATATAAAACAAACCATTTTTGCCTCTATTTCAAGAATTTCTTTATATCAAAAGAAGATGAAATGTTGATTTTTGTCCATTGCCACAGAAAATTCAAACAACCTGAAGTTTACAAGAATCAGACCCACAGGACTCATTTGAGAAAGATAAACCAGGTGTGCTTAAGAATTCTTTTAGAATATCCAATATATTCACCTGCAAGAGTCAAACTCCTTATCCCAAAAAAAGCTTCAAGATGCTTCATCAGCAAAGCAAATTGTCATTGACCATCGGTGTTCTCTCCACAGTCTGGGAAGCATGAATAACTCACAGATATCTACTGTGACGCAGTTTGTGTTGTTGGGGTTTCCTGGTCCCTGGAAAATTCAGATCATCTTTTTCTCAATGATTTTGTTGGTCTACATCTTCACTCTGACTGGGAATATGGCCATCATCTGTGCAGTGAGGTGGGACCATCGACTCCATACCCCTATGTACGTGCTCCTAGCCAACTTCTCCTTCCTAGAGATCTGGTATGTGACCTGCACAGTCCCCAACATGCTGGTAAATTTTTTCTCCAAAACTAAGACCATATCATTCTCTGGATGTTTCACTCAGTTCCACTTCTTCTTTTCCCTGGGCACAACTGAATGCTTCTTCCTCTGTGTCATGGCTTATGATCGGTACCTGGCCATCTGCCACCCACTGCACTATCCCTCCATTATGACTGGCCAGCTCTGTGGCATCTTGGTGTCTCTTTGTTGGCTCATTGGTTTCCTTGGACATTCAATTTCCATTTTCTTCATTTTTCAACTACCTTTCTGTGGTCCCAACATCATTGATCATTTTCTGTGTGATGTAGACCCACTGATGGCATTGTCCTCTGCCCCTACTCACATCATAGGGCATGTGTTCCATTCTGTGAGCTCTCTTTTCATCAACCTCACCATGGTGTACATCCTTGGGTCCTATACCTTGGTGCTCAGAACTGTGCTTCAGGTTCCTTCTTCAGCTGGATGGCAAAAGGCCATCTCTACCTGTGGGTCACACTTGGTTGTTGTGTCTCTGTTCTATGGAGCCATAATGCTGATGTATGTGAGTCCCACACCTGGCAACTCAGTTGCTATGCATAAGCTCATCACACTGATATATTCTGTGGTAACACCTGTCTTAAACCCCCTCATCTACAGCCTACGCAACAAGGACATGAAATATGCCCTCCATCATGTCTTCTGTGGAATGAGAATTATCCAGAGATCATGAATAGGGTTTTTTATAACCCAATGACTCTTAATGCGATTGGAAGAATAATCCTCTTCTTTTAACACTAACTGACTTGATTTTATTCATGGTCATCGCCATCCTTTTGTACAAGCAAAACTCTTCATGTATCTGATCATATTTTGACGAGCTTCTAGTTTCAGAAATGTGCTCCATGGGAGCAGGTTGGCCCCAATATATGGTAAAAATAACACATAAAAATCTTAATATCTTCATCCATGTCCCTACAAAGGACATGAAGCCATCATTTTTATGGCTGCATAGTATTCCATGGTGTATATATGCCACATTTTCTTAATCCAGTCTATCATTGTTGGACATTTGGGTTGGTTCTAAGTCTTTGCTATCGTGAATAATGCCGCAATAAACATACGTGTGCATGTCTCTTTATAGCAGCATGATTTATAATCCTTTGGGTATATACCCAGTAATGGGGTGGCTGGGTCAAATGGTAATTCCAGTTCTAGATCCCTGAGGAATCGCCACACTGACTTCTACAATGGTTGAACTAGTTTACAGTCCCACCAACAGTGTAAAAGTGTTCCTATTTCTCCACATCCTCTCCAGCACCTGTTGTTTCTTGACTTTTTAATGATTGCCATTCTAACTGGTGTGAGATGGGATCTCATTTTGGTTTTGATTTGCATTTCTCTGATGGCCAGTGATGATGAGCATTTTTTCATGTGTCTTTTGGCTGCATAAATGTCTTCTTTTGAGAAGTGTCTGTTCATGTCCTTCACCCACTTTTTGATGGGGTTGTTTGTTTTTTTCTTGTAAATTTGTTTAAGTTCATTGTAGATTCTGGATATTAGCCCTTTGTCAGATGAGTAGGTTGCGAAAATTTTCTCCCATTTTGTAGGTTGCCTGTTCATTCTGAGGGTAGTTTCTTCTGCTGTGCAGGAGCTCTTTAGTTTAATTAGATCCCATTTGTCAATTTTGTCTTTTGTTGCCATTGCTTTTGGTGTTTTAGACATGAAGTCCTTGCCCATGCCTATGTCCTGAATGGTAATGCCTAGGTTTTCTTCTAGGGTTTTTATGGTTTTAGGTCTAACGTTTAAGTCTTTAATCCATCTTGAATTTATTTTTGTATAAGATGTAAGGAAGGGATCCAGTTTCAGCTTTCTCCATATGGCTACCCAGTTTTCCCAGCACCATTTATTAAATAGGGAATCCTTTCCCCATTGCTTGTTTTTCTCAGGTTTGTCAAAGATCAGATAGTTGTAGATATGCGGCGTTATTTCTGAGGGCTCTGTTCTGTTCCATTGATCTATATCCCTGTTTTGGTACCAGTACCATGCTGTTTTGGTTACTGTAGGCTTGTAGTATAGTTTGAGGTCAGGTAGTGTGATGCCTCCAGCTTTGTTCTTTTAGCTTAGGATTGACTTGGCAATGTGGGCTCTTTTTTGGTTCCACGTGAACTTTAAAGTAGTTTTTTCCAATTCTGTGAAGAAAGTCATTGGTATCTTGATGGGGATGGCATTGAATCTGTAAATTACCTTGGGCAGTATGGCCATTTTCACGATATTGATTCTTCCTATCCATAAGCATGGAATGTTCTTCCATTTGTTTCTATCCTCTTTTGTTTCATTGAGCAGTGGTTTCTTGTTCTCCTTGAAGAGGTCCTTCACGTCCCTTGTAAGGTGGATTCCTAGGTATTTTATTCTCTTAGCAGCAATTGTGAATGAGAGTTCACTCATGATTTGGCTCTCTGTTTGTCTGTTGTTGGTGTATAAGAATACTTGTGATTTTTGTACATTGATTTTGTATCCTGAGACTTTGCTGAAGTTGCTTATCAGCTTAAGGAGATTTTGGGCTGAGACAATGGGGTTTTCTAGATATACAGTCATGTTGTCTGCAAACAGGGACAATTTGACTTCCTCTTTTCCTAATTGAATACCCTTTATTTCCTTCTCCTGTGTAATTGCCCTGGCCAGAACTTTCAACACTATGTTAAACAGGAGTGGCGACAGAGGGCATCCCTGTCTTGTGCCAGTTTTCAAAGGGAATGCTTCCAGTTTTTGTCCATTCAGTATGATATTGGCTGTGGTTTTGTCATAGATAGCTCTTATTATTTTGAAATACGTCCCATCAATACCTAATTTATTGAGAGTTTTTAGCATGAAGTGTTGTTGAATTTTGTCAAAGGCTTTTTCTGCATCTATTGAGATAATCATGTGGTTTTTGTCTTTGGTTCTGTTTATATGCTGGATTACATTTATTGATTTGCATATATTGAACCAGCCTTGCATCCCAGAGATGAAGCCCACTTGATCATGGTGGATAAGCTTTTTGATGTGCTGCTGGATTTGTTTTGCCAGTATTTTATTGAGGATTTTTGCATCAATGTTCATCAAGGATATTGGTCTAAAATTCTCTTTTTTTGTTGTGTCTCTCCCTGGCTTTGGTATCAGAATGATGCTGGCCTCATAAAATGAGTTAGGGAGGATTCCCTCTTTTTCTATTGATTGGAATAGTTTCAGAAGGAATGGTACCAGTTCCTCCTTGTACCTCTGGTAGAATTCAGCTGTGAATCCATCTGGTCCTGGACTCTTTTTGGTTGGTAAGCTATTGATTATTGCCACAATTTCAGCTCCTGTTATTGGTCTATTCAGAGATTCAACTTCTTCCTGGTTTAGTCTTGGAAGAGTGTATGTGTCCAGGAATTTATCCATTTCTTCTAGATTTTCTAGCTTATTTGCGTAGAGGTGTTTGTAGTATTCTCTGATGGTAGTTTGTACTTCTGTGGGATCGGCGGTGATATCCCCTTTATCATTTTTTATTGCGTCTATTTGATTCTTCTCTCTTTTTTTCTTTATTAGTCTTGCTAGCGGTCTATCAATTTTGTTGATCCTTTCAAAAAACCAGCTCCTGGATTCATTAATTTTTTGAAGAGTTTTTTGTGTCTCTATTTCCTTCAGTTCTGCTCTGATTTTAGTTATTTCTTGCCTTCTGCTAGCTTTTGAATGTGTTTGCTCTTGCTTTTCTAGTTCTTTTAATTGTGATGTTAGGGTGTCAATTTTGGATCTTTCCTCCTTTTTCTTGTGGGCATTTAGTGCTGTAAATTTCCCTCTACACACTGCTTTGAATGCGTCCCAGAGATTCTGGTATGTTGTGTCTTTGTTCTCGTTGGTTTCAAAGAACATCTTTATTTCTGCCTTCATTTCGTTATGTACCCAGTAGTCATTCAGGAGCAGGTTGTTCAGTTTCCGTGTAGTTGAGCAGTTTTGAGTGAGATTCTTAATCCTGAGTTCTAGTTTGATTGCACTGTGGTCTGAGAGATAGTTTGTTATAATTTCTGTTCTTTTACATTTGCTGAGGAGAGCTTTATTTCCAAGTATGTGGTCAATTTTGGAATAGGTGTGGTGTGGTGCTGAAAAAAATGTATATTCTGTTGATTTGGGGTGGAGAGTTCTGTAGATGTCTATTAGGTCCGCTTGGTGCAGAGCTGAGTTCAATTCCTGGGTATCCTTGTTGACTTTCTGTCTCATTGATCTGTCTAATGTTGACAGTGGGGTGTTAAAGTCTCCCATTATTAATGTGTGGGAGTCTAAGTCTCTTTGTAGGTCACTCAGGACTTGCTTTATGAATCTTGGTGCTCCTGTATTGGGTGCATATATATTTAGGATAGTTAGCTCTTCTTGTTGAATTGATCCCTTTACCATTATGTAATGGCCTTCTTTGTCTCTTTTGATCTTTGTTGGTTTAAAGTCTGTTTTATCAGAGACTAGGATTGCAACCCCTGCCTTTTTTTGTTTTCCATTTGCTTGGTAGATCTTCCTCCATTCTTTTATTTTGAGCCTATGTGTGACTCTGCACGTGAGATGGGTTTCCTGAATACAGCACACTGATAGGTCTTGACTCTTTATCCAATTTGCCAGTCTGTGTCTTTTAATTGGAGCATTTAGTCCATTGACATTTAAAGTTAACATTGTTATGTGTGAATTTGATCCTGTCATTATGATGTTAGCTGGTTATTTTGCTCGTTAGTTGATGCAGTTTCTTCCTAGTCTCGATGGTCTTTACATTTTGGCATGATTTTGCAGCGGCTGGTACCAGTTGTTCCTTTCCATGTTTAGTGCTTCCTTCAGGAGCTCTTGTAAGGCAGGCCTGGTGGTGACAAAATCTCTCAGCATTTGCTTGTCTGTAAAGTATTTTATTTCTCCTTCACTCATGAAGCTTAGTTTGGCTGGATATGAAATTCTGGGTTGAAAATTATTTTCTTTAAGAATGTTGAATATTGGCCCCAACTCTCTTCTGCTTGTAGGGTTTCTGCCGAGAGATCTGCTGTTAGTCTGATGGGCTTCCCTTTGAGGGTAACCCGACCTTTCTCTCTGGCTGCCCTTAACATTTTTTCCTTCATTTCAACTTTGGTGAATCTGACAATTATGTGTCTTGGGGTTGCTCTTCTCGAGGAGTATCTTTGTGGTGTTCTCTGTATTTCCTGAATCTGAACGTTGGCCTGCCTTGCTAGATTGGGGAAGTTCTCCTGGATAATATCCTGCAGAGTGTTTTCCAACTTGGTTCCATTCTCCCCATCACTTTCAGGTACACCAATCAGACATAGATTTGGTCTTTTCACATAGTCCCATATTTCTTGGAGGCTTTGCTCATTTCTTTTTATTCTTTTTTCTCTAAACTTCCCTTCTCGCTTCATTTCATTCATTTCATCTTCCATCACTGATACCCTTTCTTCCAGTTGATCACATCGGCTCCTGAGGCTTCTGCATTCTTCACGTAGTTCTCGAGCCTTGGTTTTCAGCTCCATCAGCTCCTTTAAGCACTTCTCTGTATTGGTTATTCTAGTTATACATTCTTCTAAATTTTTTTCAAAGGTTTCAACTTCTTTGCCTTTGGTTTGAATGTCCTCCCGTAGCTCAGAGTAATTTGATCATCTGAAGCCTTCTTCTCTCAGCTCGTCAAAGTCATTCTCCATCCAGCTTTGTTCCGTTGCTGGTGAGGAACTGCATTCCTTTGGAGGAGGAGAGGCACTCTGCTTTTTAGAGTTTCCAGTTTTTCCATTCTGTTTTTTCCCCATCTTTGTGGTTTTATCTACTTTTGGTCTTTGATGATGGTGATGTACAGATGGGTTTTTGGTGTGGATGTCCTTTCTGTTTGTTTTCCTTCTAACAGAGAGGAACCTCAGCTGCAGGTCTGTTGGAATACCCTGCCGTGTGAGGTGTCAGTGTGCCCCTGCTGGGAGGTGCCTCCCAGTTAGGCTGCTCAGGGGTCAGGGGTCAGGGGTCAGGGACCCACTTAAAGAGGCAGTCTGCCCGTTCTCAGATCTCCAGCTCCGTGCTGGGAGAGCCACTGCTCTCTTCAAAGCTGTCAGACAGGGACATTTAAGTCTGCCGAGGTTACTGCTGTCTTTTTGTTTGTCTGTGCCCTGCCCCCAGAGGTGGAGCCTACAGAGGCAGGCAGGCCTCCTTGAGCTGTGGTGGGCTCCACCCAGTTCGAGCTTCCCGGCTGTTTTGTTTAGCTAAGCAAGCCTGGGCAATGGCGGGCGCCCCTCCCCCAGCCTCGCTGCCGCCTTGCAGTTTGATCACAGACTGCTGTGCTAGCAATCAGCGAGACACCGTGGGCGTAGGACCCTCCGAGCCAGGTGCGGGATATAATCTCGTGGTGTGCCATTTTTTAAGCCTGTCGGAAAAACGCAGTATTCGGGTGGGAGTGACCCAATTTTCCAGGTGCCGTCCGTCACCCCTTTCTTTGACTTAGGGAACTCCCTGACCCCTTGCGCTTTCCAAGTGAGGCAATGCCTCTCCCTGCTTCGGCTCACGCACGGTGCGCGCACCCACTGACCTGCACCCACTGTCTGGCACTCCCTAGTGAGATGAACCCGGTACCTCAGATGAAAATGCAGAAATGGCCCGTCTTCCGCGTCGCTCACGCTGGGAGCTCTAGACCGGAGCTGTTCCTATTCGGCCATCTTGGCTCCTCAAGCTATATATTTATATATTATATATAAATATATAGTATATATATTTATATATTATATATAAATATATAGTATATATATGAATATATAGTATATATATTATATATAATATATAGTATATATATTTATATATTATATATAAATATATAGTATATATATTATATATAAATATATAGTATATATATTTATATCTTATATATAAACATATAGTATATATATTTATATTATATAAATATATAGTATATATATTTATATATTATATATAAATATATAGTATATATATTTATATATTATATATAAATATATAGTATATATATTTATATCTTATATATAGTATATATATTTATATATTATATATAAATATATAGTATATATATTTATATCTTATATGTACTATATATATTTATATATTATATATACTATATATATTTATATATTATATAGTAAATATATTTATATATAATATATGGTATATATATTATATATTATATATAATATATATACCATATATTATATATAGCATATATAAATATATACCATATGTTACATTTGGCACATATAAAATATATACCATATATTACACATGGCACATATAAAATATATACCATATATTACACGTGGCACATATAAAATATATACCATATATTACACGTGGCACATATAAAATATATACCATATATTACACGTGGCACATATAAAATATATACCATATATTACACGTGGCACATATAAAATATATACCATATATTACACGTGGCACATATAAAATATCTACCATATATTACACGTGGCACATATAAAATATATACGATATATATCACGTGGCACATATAAAATATATACTATATATTTCACGTGGCACATATAAAATATATACTATATATTACATGTGGCACATATAAAATATGTACTATATATTACATGTGGCACATATAAAATATGTACTATATATTACATGTGGCACATATAAAATATGTACTATATATTATATGTGGCACATATAAAATATGTACTATATATTATATGTAGCATATAAAAAATATATACTATATATTATATACCACATATATAAAATATATACTACATATTATATATCGCATATATAAAATATATACTATATATTATACATATACTATATAGTATATATTCATATAGATATAAATATATCTATATATATTTTATATATTTATATTTATATTTATATACATATATTATATATATAATATATTTAAAATATATATATTATCAAATATATATAATATATTATATATAATATATATAAAGTATATAAAGATATATACTTTATAGTATATATCTTTAATATAAATATATATACTTTATAGTATATATCTTTAATATAAATATATATACTATATATACTATACATACTATATAGTATATATAGTATATATACTATTTATACTATATTATATATAGTATATATACTATATATATATATATACTATATATATACTATATATATAATATAGAATATATTATATATAATATAGAATATATTATATATAATATAGAATATATTATATATAATATAGAATATATTATATATAATATAGAATATATTATATATTACATATTATATATATAAATATATTACATATTATATATAATATATTATATATTATATATAATACGTATTATACATAATATATTATATATTATATATAATACATATTATATACATATTATATATATTATATATATTATATATAATATATATTATATATAAATATATACTATGTATATTTATATAGTATATATAATAGATGGTATATATATGCTACATAAATATATACTATATAAATATATAGTATAATTATCTAAATTATATAATTATAATTATATAATTATATAATTCTTAATTTATAATATATAAATTTATATATTTATATATAAATAAATATATAAATTTATATATTTATATATAAATAAATATATAATATATAATTATATATTCTATATAAATATAATATATAATTTATAAATATATAAAAATATAATTATATAAATATATAAATATATATACTATATAAATATATACTATGTATAACATACACTATATAGTATATAAATATATACTATATATAATATATAGTATATAATATTATATATAATATTACATTATATATATTTATTATAAATATATATTATATATATTACATATATTATATAAATTATATATATTTATTATATATTATATATAATCTATATATAGTATATATATTATATATAAATATATATACTATCTATTATATATAAATATATATATACTATCTATTGTATATATTATAGATGAGCCCCAGTGTTGGAAAGAGAACGCACTCCAGGGAAACTTGGGTAAGCCACTGAAACCATATGGGGAGAAACACAGGGCTTTACAGTAATCCCTGAGTGAAAACATAGATGTAATACTGATTCGCATGTTAAACCTCTCAGCAAATTCTGAGAAAAGCCTCTGGAGTCTCCAGGAATGAAGGCAGGGCAATAAACCACATATAATGCCCTCACCTGGAGTTTTCCTCAACAGAGCCAGTGAAGAGGAGATGCTTGATGCTGAGGTTATGCTCAATTCTGCCTCATTTCTGCCGTGCGCACCGCTGTCTCCAAACTGAGCCAGAAAAGCCATGATTGTAGGTAAGAAACCACTGCTATGATATGCTACAGAGTCTCTTTGACTTTATAAATCTGATTAGGCACTGTTTCTCTGCAAAGACTCAAAGGAGGCAGTATAATAGTATAGTATAAAAGTTCCATATGTGAATCCAGGACACATATTTATTGGGTAAAAAGTCATGCCCCTCTCTGAGCCTCATTTGTAAAATGAAGTTAGATCATTATACCATTTCTTCTAATTCTATGATTTTATGGTCATTAACAACCATCTTTCTGAAAACAATCTTACTTTCCAGGAATAATCAGGTGGTGTGTTCCTTCTCTCAGGACACCTGGGAAGACAATATACTAAGTGAGGGGCATTCAACAGAAGGCTATTAAATCAAGCTATCACACTTATGGTAGGTGGACTGGTGGGTTGATTGGTTGGTTGGTAGTTTCTTGTACTGGAAAGGAGTACAGTACATGAAAGAGCTGGTTTCGGCCGGGCGCGGTGGCTCATGCCTGTAATCCCACCACTTTGGGAGGCCGAGGCAGTCCGATCACGAGGTCAGGAGATCCAGACCATCCTGGCTAACACGGCGAAACCCCGTCTCTACTAAAAATACAAAAAATTAGCCGGGCGTGATGGCGGGCGCCTATAGTCCCAGCTACTCAGGAGGCTGAGGCAGAAGAATGGCGTGAACCCGGGAGGTGGAGCTTGCAGTGAGCCGAGATCGCGCCACTGCACTCCAGCCTCGGCGACAGAGCGAGACTGTCTCAGAAAAAAAAAAGAAAAAGAAAAAGAAAGAGCTGGTCTCCTAGGATTGTAGCTCAAATAATGATATATCTCAAAAATCAGGAGAAACAGTATGTTTGTGTCATAAAATAATGAAGATTCTATTCTAATTACCTAACTATTCCCAGACAGCGTTTTGGAGACTTTGGAGGGTGGTGTTATATAAAACTTTGTGGAAACAGTTTATTCCGTCAATGCGAAAACTCTGAAATTGATTACTCGGGTCTTTCTATTAAGCTCCCCAGCTTTTGATCATTCCATTACTTATCTACACTTCTCCAAAGGCTTCAGAAAAAACAATGTTGCTGCTAATAAAGCACTTGCAGAGTAGGGTAGTAGAAAAGACGAAGTGTAGTGTAAAGTTGTCAGTGTATAATGGAGAATGTCCTAAACTGTTATTCTCATCAAGCAGGCATTCAGAACAAAGGGCGGGAGGCTCAGATCTCACAATTCTGGTTCCCAATTTAAGTCTGAGCCTGGACTTGTTCTCTGACCTGTGTATAGCAGAGAAAGGGATGTATTTATGCTTCGTAAACAACAATCTGGAAATCACCTATTGAGCACCTTATTCAAGGAAGATGGTAAACAAATGCCTTTTAAATTCAGCATTGATTGGAAAGCTGGACAACTTTAGAACTCAGATGCTCCAAATTTCCCTTTTTATGCATCCTTAAAAACTACCAAAGAACTAGTGATGTTGAGATTCAAATCTTCGTTCCCAAGAATACCTGATCCTTCCTTCAACTTCTGTGTTCTTTGTTGCCTTTCACATTTTTCTTTTACATTTCTGACAAAGTTATGACTGGTGACCTGCAATAAACAAGACAAGAGATCTAAACTTAACAAGAAACTCAATATTGAAACTACCTTCTTTTTTTTTTTTTTTTGAGGTGGAGTCTCGCTCTGTCACCCAGGCTGGAGTGCAATGGTGTGATCTCGGCTCACTGCAACCTCCACCTCCTGAGTTCAAGCAATTCTTCTGCTTGGCCTCCCAAGTAGCTGGGATTACAGGCACGCACCACCACACCCAGCTAATTTTTGTATTTTTAGCAGACAAGGGTTTTCACCATGTTGGCCAAGCTGGTCTCAAACTCCTGACTTCAGCGATCTACCCACTTTGGCCTCTCAAATTGCTGGAACTATAGGCATAAGACATTACGCCCAGCCAAAACTACCACTTTTTTAAGACTTAATCAGCACATTTTAAGTATTAATCAAGTATAAGATTACTGTTGTTTAAACACATTTGTGTATTTTATTTAATTCTTAAATACATAAACTTGTTGCTACTGAAAAGTACATACCTAGTCAAATATTTGAAAATGTCCTTACCTTCCTTTCAGTAAACAAAATTCTAATACATAGGATTGCAGATGAAGCCCCATTTCATCTCAGATTCTTTTAGAAAATCCCTTTGTTTTCACCACCGAAAAAGCTCACTAAATAAACTAAATTTTTGTATAGAAAACATCATTTTCCTTATTTCATCTACATGGTATCTGATTACAAAAAGTAAGATAGTTCCTTTTTGTATAGTATGTGTAAAAAACATAAAAATAAACACTGCCGTTCGTTAGAGATGTTTTTAAAATATTATCATGGAGTTGTATCTCCATGCAGCAGTCAATCTATTTTGTTTTGTTCAAACATCTAAACCAATTTTATTTTTTTCAGTTATCCTCAAAATGTCTTTTCTAACAACTTGTGCTAAATAAGAGAAAATTGATGAACTTGTGCTAGAAAACCCATAATCAACATTGGAAAAACAAATCAAAAGCTGAAAAGGTCTTCTCAAGCATCCAAGGAAAAGAAAGAAAATAAATTTGTCTGGTTCTGCCACTAGTGTCTGGAGAGGTGGCCTGCCCCTCCACACCTGTGGGTATTTCTGGTCTGGTAGGACGAGAGACTGAGAAAAGAAATAAGACACAGAGACAAAGTATAGAGAAACAACAGTGAGCCCAGGGGACCGGTACTCAGCACACCAAGGACCTGCACCGGCACCGGCCTCTGAGTTCCCTCAGTTTTTATTGATTATTATATTCATTATTTCAGCAAAAAGGAATGTAGTAGGAGAGCACGGTGATAATAAGGAGAAGGTCAGCAAAAAACATGTGAGCAGAAGAATCTATGTCATAATTAAGTTCAAGGGAAGGTACTATGCCTGGATGTGCACGTAGGCCAGATATATAGTTCTCTCCACCCAAGTATCTCAGTGAAGTAAAGAATAACAAGGCAGCATTACTGCCAACATGTCTCGCTTCCCACCATAGGGCGGTTTTTCTCCTATCTCAGAATTGAACAAATGTACAATCGGGTTTTATACCTAGACATTCAGTTCCCAGGGGCAAGCAGGAGACAGTGGCCTTCCTCTATCTCAACTGCAAGAGGCTTTCCTCTTTTACTAATCCACGTCAGCACAGACCCTTTACGGGTGTCCGGCTGGGGGACGGTCAGGTCTTTCTCATCCCACGAGGCCATATTTCAGACTATCACATGGGGAGAAACCTCAGACAATACCCTGCTTTCAAGGGCAGAGGTCCCTGCAGCTTTCCACAGTGCATTGTGCCCCTGGTTTATTGAGACTAGAGAATGGCGATGACTTTTACCAAGTATACTGCTTGTAAACATTTTGTTAACAAGGCACATCCTGCACAGCCCTAGATCCCTTAAACCTGGATTTTATACAACACACGTTTTTGTGAGCTCCAGGTTGGGTCAAAGTGGCTGGGGCAAAGTGGCTGGGGCAAAGCTACAAATTAACATCTCAGCAAAGCAATTGTTTAAAGTACAGGTCTTTTTCAAAATGGAGTCTCTTATGTCTTCCCTTTCTACATAGACACAGTGACAGTCTGATCTCTCTTTTCCCTACAGTGTCAAAAATTCTAGCTGCATTGGATTGCATTGGATTCTAGCAAAATAACACAGAGAACCACAATCAATTCAAAATTTGGTAGGACATATTCCCACCTGGTCTCAGATTATCTCATGTATTTTCCTGTATACCTCAAGTTCTCGTCTCAGTAAAATCCTTGAGATACGTAGCAAGCAATTGGATTACACTCCAAGAGACTTGGATTACACTCATGTCTTTCTTCTTTGTAGACTTAAGACCCATGAACAGGTCAGCAACACACATCGTGACAGAGTTTATTCTCCTGGGATTCCCTGGTTGCTGGAAGATTCAGATTTTCCTCTTCTCATTGTTTTTGGTGATTTATGTCTTGACCTTGCTGGGAAATGGAGCCATCATCTATGCAGTGAGATGCAACCCACTACTACACACCCCCATGTACTTTCTGCTGGGAAATTTTGCCTTCCTTGAGATCTGGTATGTGTCCTCCACTATTCCTAACATGCTAGTCAACATTCTCTCCAAGACCAAGGCCATCTCATTTTCTGGGTGCTTCCTCCAGTTCTATTTCTTCTTTTCACTGGGAACAACTGAATGTCTCTTTCTGGCAGTAATGGCTTATGATCGATACCTGGCCATCTGCCACCCACTGCAGTACCCTGCCATCATGACTGTAAGGTTCTGTGGTAAGCTGGTGTCTTTCTGTTGGCTTATTGGATTCCTTGGATACCCAATTCCCATTTTCTACATCTCCCAACTCCCCTTCTGTGGTCCTAATATCATTGATCACTTCCTGTGTGACATGGACCCATTGATGGCTCTATCCTGTGCCCCAGCTCCCATAACTGAATGTATTTTCTATACTCAGAGCTCCCTTGTCCTCTTTTTCACTAGTATGTACATTCTTCGATCCTATATCCTGTTACTAACAGCTGTTTTTCAGGTCCCTTCTGCAGCTGGTCGGAGAAAAGCCTTCTCTACCTGTGGTTCTCATTTGGTTGTGGTATCTCTTTTCTATGGGACAGTCATGGTAATGTATGTAAGTCCTACATATGGGATCCCAACTTTATTGCAGAAGATCCTCACACTGGTATATTCAGTAACGACTCCTCTTTTTAATCCTCTGATCTATACTCTTCGTAATAAGGACATGAAACTCGCTCTGAGAAATGTCCTGTTTGGAATGAGAATTCGTCAAAATTCGTGAGCCAAAGATGTGCCATACTTACAAGTTCTAACGAAGAACAAGGTCGAGATGTTGTCAGTTCTTTAGCAGTCTTTCAGTCCTCAGTCTGAGTAGTTAGAGGTTGTATATTTTACCTGGAAGTGTGCCCAGCTTAAATATGTTTCCAGCACTGACTCTTTAAACCTTAATTAACTGGTCTTCAACATCCACTTAAAAGTTTTCAAAGCCTGTCTTTATTAGAATGATAAAATGGAATTTCTACATGAGATGCCCTCCTGCTGACATGCCCCATGGTTCATCATTGTATATCTTCTTCCTCATTGCAACAAGACAATAAACCCAACTTTGTTCAACTACAGGTATGCTCCTAGGAGTCTTTGTCTGATGGGAATCAATAGTGGCACAATACCCAGCAAACGGTAAGGCCTCAGACATGTTTTTTAAATATCTCTATCTCAATTTTTTTTACTTACAACAATAATATGTGATTGTTGTAATAAATTCAAGCAATTCAGAAGAATGTCCATCTTCACTCCCATATTCACCAATTTTCCTATCTGCTCCTCAGAGTCAATACATCTAAATCCCTCTGTCTGGCACTCGACACCCTTCGTAATACATCCCCACTAAATCTATTTCATTTGTTTTCCATTTCTTTGCCACATGAGCCCTTGGCTCTAGTCTGGCCAGTTACTTTATTTATTCCATTCTATCATCTTTTCACCTTTTCTTAGGCTATTTTTTTTTTTTTTTTTTGAGACAAAGTCTCACTCCGTCGATGGGCTGGAGTACAGTGGTGCAATCTCGGCTCACCGCAACCTCTGCCTCCTGGGTTCAAGCAATTCTCCTGCCTCAGCCTCCCAAGTAGCTGGGACTACAGGTGCAAGCCACCACGCCCAGCTAATTTTGTATTTTTAGGAGAGATGGGGTTTCACCATGTTGGCCAGGATAGTCTCGATCTCTTGACCTCATGATCCACCCACCTCAGCCTCCCAAAGTGCTGGGATTACAGGCGTGACCCACCACGCCTGGATAATTTTTCATTTTTAGTAGAGACTGTGTTTCACCAAGCTAGCCTGGGTGGTCTTGAATTTCTGACCTCAGGTGATCCACCCACCTCGGCCTCCAAAAGTGCTGTGATAACAGGCATGAGCCACCATGCCCGGCCTAGGCTGTTCTTTCAACCTAGAGAGCCTCACCTCATCTTCTGCCATGCGACTTGAGAAAGATATTTAACACTTAAATTCTTAACTTCTTATTTTATAAAATGGGTATAATTCATGCCTTGTAACAATGTCGTAAGAATTAAATCTGATCATTTCTGTAAGAGCCATAGCACAGAAAGACACATATAGGAGGCTCTGAGTACACGTTGTTCTCTTCTCCTTCCTGTCTTTCAAACCTGACTATGGATACTTTTCTGGTTATCTTTTAGATATTTTGCAATCCTCATGGAAACCTATATACTTAAAGATGGCTTATTTAAAAACCAGTTGGGATGGATATATATTTTATATAAATTTATATATAATTGTATATTTAAGACATATTTATATATTTTATATATGAAGTTTATATATGTAAAATCTCTTCATATATGTATATATAATATATACATATATAATATATACATGTATAATATATATGTATGTATATATACTAGATATATGTATATATAGATATAGATATAGATTTGATATAGATTTGGCAACCATAAAGAGATTGATTAGACTGCCAACTTTGAGTCAGACTTGTTGTGTCCTGGTTTATCTGCTTACTAGTTATGTGACTTTGGCAAACAAGCTGCTTAAATGCTATGAACTTCATCTGTAAGATAGGGTAATAATAACACCTTAGAGTTGTTGGTTTGTTATGACTTAATACTTATAGAGCACTTAGAACTATGCCTGGCAAACAGTAAAGTTCAATAAATATCAGCTTTAAAAAAATTATTTAACTCTGTAAAATATCATGGTAGCTTTCAAAATCAGCCCATATAATTTTTCCATTTAACAGATACACTGTTCCATTATATGAATGTTTCATCATTTATTCATTACTCAATGATAATATATCATATCATATTTTACAATTAAAACAATGCTGTAATTAATATCCTTGAATATGGCCTCATAGAGCCACATTGATATTCCATAAGTTAGAGGAAGAGTTTATGGAACACAGGAAATGTGCATTTTTAATTATGCTAAATACTGGTAAATTAGATGCCCTAAATAGAATGGGACAAATGGTGCTGGGGCAAGTAGATATCCATACGCAAAAGAAAGAAGTTGGATACCTATCTTACACCATTTACAAAAATTAATTCAAAATGGATCAAAGATCTAAATGCAAAAGCTAAAACTACAAAACCCTTCACAACCTAGGATTAGGCAGTGGTTTCTTAGATATGACACATAAAGCACAAGAAACTAAGGAAAAAATCAGTAAGTTGGACTTTGTCAAAAAAACAATTTTTGTCCTTCAAAGGATACCATCAAGAAAGTGAAATGACAACTGCTATGGCTTGAAGGTCCGTGTCCCGTCCCAAATTCATATGTTGAAATCCTAACCCCCAGAGCAATAGTGCTGGGAGGTGGGGCCCTTGGCTTTGATTAAGTCATGTGAGTGGACCCCTCCTGAATGGGATTAGTGCCCTTATAAAATAGGCGAAAGGAGCTCATTTGCCCCTTCAACCACATAAAGACACAGCAAGAAGTCACCATCTATGAACTAAGAAATGGACCTTCATCAGACACCAAATCTGTTGGTGCATTGATCTTTGACTTCCCCATCTCCAGAACTGTCAAAATTAAATTTATGTTTTTTATAAATTACCCAGTTTATGGTATTTTCTTATAGCAAACTGAACAAACTAAGACAAATATTTAGCCCCTAACATTTAGAGACCAAAAGTACATTAGTAGTGGCCAAGGACTAGGAGGAGAGGATGAGAAATGACTACTGCTAATGGGTACTCTGTTTCTTTGGGGGTGATAAAAATTTTCTGGAAACAGATAGTGGTGATGGTTGTACAACCTTGTGAATATACTAAAAATTACTGAAATATATGAGTAAATGTTCCATCAGGGAACTGTAGATTAAAACCATAATAAGATATCACCTCACATATGTTAGCATGGCTACTACCAAAAAGACCAAAGATAACCAGTGTTGGCAAGGATGGGAGTAAAGGGAACCCTCATATACTGTCGGTGGGAATGTAAATTAGCACAGCCACTATAGAATACATTATGGAAGTTCCTCAATAAATTAAAAATAAAACTACCATATAATCCAGCAATTCCACTTCTTGGTTATGTATCCAAAGGAATTGAAATCAGGATCTCGAAGAGATATCTGCATTTGCATGTTCATTTCAGCATTATTCACAATGGCCAAAACATGGAAGCAACCCAAATGTCCATCGATGAATGAATGGATTTTTTTAATGTGGTATAAACACACAATGGAATAGTATTCAGCACTATAAAGGAAAGAAATTTCACCATTTGCAACAACATGAATGAATCTGGAGGACATTATGCTAAGTGAAATAAGCCAGACACAGGACAAATACCACATAAGTGACGAATGCAAAATAGTTAAATTCATAGAAGCAGAGAGTAGAATGGTGCTTGCCTGGATTAATGGGAGGGTAAAATAGGGAGGTATTAGTCAAAGGGTACAAAGTTTCTGTTATACAAGATAAGTCCTAGATATCTACTATATAGCACAGTGCTTATAGTTAACAATATTGCTTTGTATACTTAAAATTTTGCTAAGAGAGTAGATCTCATGTTAAATGTTCTTATCACAAAATAATAGTAATGATTAATAAGTGGATGGGAAGAAACTTTTGAAGTTGATGGATATGTTCATGGCCTAGAATTTGGCAATGATTTCATGGATGTATACTTCTCTCCAAACTCATCAAGTTGTATATATTATATACCTACAAATGTTTACATGTCAATCATATCTCAGTATTTTTTTGTTTATCTAAATTTGTTCTCCAAATAAATCTGGAAAAAAAATCTTAGCTCTGTAGGACAGAACCTGGTCTTACCTATCTACCTGTGCTCTACTGACCTCTAATGGCCATTATGCTTCCATGGTACGCCTAAGAATGCAACAGGAGAAACCTCAACCCACCCAAAAGTAGTAAGAAAAGGAGTATAGGCCAGGTATGGCAGCTCACACCTGTAATTCCAGCACTTTGGGAAGCTGATGCAGGAGGATTACTTGAGCCCAGGAGTTGAGACCAGCCTAAGCAATATAGTGAGACCCCATCTCTGCAAAAAAAAATAAAAATTAAAAATTAAAAATTAACTGGGCATGATACACACGCCTGCAGTCCCAGCTATTTAAGAGGCTGAGATGGGAGGATCTCTTCAGCCCAGAAGTTTGAGGCTTGCAGTAAACTGTGATCGCACCACTGCACTCCAATCTGGGCAACAGAGCAAGACCCTGTCTCCAGAAAAAAAAAAAAAAAAAAAGAGAGAAAAGAAAGAAAGGAAAAGGGGTATATTGGTTAATAGAATTTTCTAGTTAACTGCTGACCAGAAAAAAAAAAAAAAAAACTTTGATACTGAGTATTAAAGCATTCCAGGCTGGGTGCAGTGGCTTTTCCCTGTAATCTGAAAAGGGAGGATCACTTGAGGCCAGGAGTTGGAGACCAGCTGGACAACATAGTGAGAACTCCATCTTTAAAAAAAAAAAATTAGCCAGGCGTGGTGGCGACTTGGGAGACTGAGGTGGGAGGATTGCTTAATCCTGGGAGGTTGAGGTTTCAGTGAGTTGTGATTATGCCACTGCACTCCAGCCAAGGAGAACTTGTCTCAAAAAAAAAAAATCTAAAGTCTATGTTCCCACCTTTATACTTTATTACGTTGAAAATAATTTAATCTTTTACCCCACAAGAACTCAGGAAGTGCAACATGTCCGAACAAACAGTGAACAGGCAATCAAATGATGGGGGTTTCCAATCCCAGCTCAACACCAACTAGCTATGTGTCCTTACACAGGACACCTGACCTCTCTGGTCTCAGCTCTCTTATCTGTAAAATAAGAAACTTGAACAAAGTGAATTTTCTTTCTTTTTTTTTTAAATTTTATTATTATTATACTTTAAGTTTTAGGGTACATGTGCACAACGTGCATGTTTGTTACATATGTATACATGTGCCATGTTGGTGTGCTGCATCCATTAACTCATCATTTAACATTAGGTATATCTCCTAATGCTATCCCTCCCCCTCCCCCCATCCCACAACAGGGCCTGGTGTGTGATGTTCCCCTTCCTGTGTCCATGTGTTCTCATTGTTCAGTTCCCACCTATGAGTGAGAACATGCAGTGTTTGGTTTTTTGTCCTTGTGATAGTTTGCTGAGAATGATGGTTTCCAGCTTCATCCATGTCCCTACAAAGGAAATGAACTCATCATTTTTTATGGCTGCATGGTATTCCATGGTGTATATGTGCCACATTTTCTTAATCCAGTCTATCATTGTTGGACATTTGGGTTGGTTCCAAGCCTTTGCTATTGTGAATAGTGCCGCAATAAACATACGTGTGCATGTGTCTTTATAGCAGCATGATTTATAATCCTTTGGGTATATACCCAGTAATGGGATGGCTGGGTCAAATGGTATTTCTAGTTCTAGATCCCTGAGGAATTGCCACACTGACTTCCACAATGGTTGAACTAGTTTACAGTCCCACCAACAGTGTAAATGTGTTCCTGTTTCTCCACATCCTCTCCAGCACCTGTTGTTTCTGACTTTTTAATGATTGCCATTCTAACTGGTGTGAGATGGTATCTCATTGTGGTTTTGATTTGCATTTCTCTGATGGCCAGTGATGGTGAGCATTTTTTCATGTGTTTTTTGACTGCATAAATGTCTTCTTTTGAGAAGTGTCTGTTCATATCCTTTGCCCACTTTTTGATGGGGTTGTTTGTTTTTTTTTTTTTGTAAATTTGTTTGAGTTCATTGTAGATTCCGGATATTAGCCCTTTGTCAGATGAGTAGGTTGCAAAAATTTTCTCCCATTCTGTAGGTTGCCTGTGCACTCTGATGGTAGTTTCTTTTGCTGTGCAGAAGCTCTTGAGTTTAATTAGATCCCATTTGTCAATTTTGGCTTTTGTTGCCATTGCTTTCAGTGTTTTAGACATGAAGTCCTTGCCCATGCCTATGTCCTGAATGGTATTGCCTAGGTTTTCTTCTAGGGTTTTTATGGTTTTAGGTCTAACATGTAAGTCTTTAATCCATCTTGAATTAATTTTTGTATAAGGTGTAAGGAAGGGATCCAGTTTCAGCTTTCTCCATATGGCTAGCCAGTTTTCCCAGCACCATTTATCAAATAGGGAATCCTTTCCCCATTTCTTGTTTTTGTCAGGTTTGTCAAAGATCAGATAGTTGTAGGTATGCGGCATTATTTCTGAGGGCTCTGTTCTGTTCCATTGGTCTATATCTCTGTTTTGGTACCAGTACCATGCTGTTTTGATTACTGTAGCCTTGTAGTATAGTTTGAAGTCAGGTAGCGTGATGCCTCCAGCTTTTGAACAAAGTGAATTTTCTACAGTTGCCTACACTCATGTTTCCTCAAAATGCACTATGTCTCATGGTACATACAGTGTAAGGGAGGGGAAACAGATAAATGAAAAGCCAATTTTAATTTAGTGTGGGAAATGCTATAACAGAGTGAGTATAGAATGCTGTCAGGGCACATGAGAGTAGCACATAACCCAGTCAAGATCTAAGGGTGTATGGGGAGGTGATGGGGAAATTGTTAAGGAGAAGTAACATCTAAGCTGCTGACACCTACTGGGTGAATAGGAATTATCTGATGAACTGAGATGGAAGAGAAGGAACAATATTTACAAAAGATCAGAAATGAAAGTGAGTAAGCATTCAGGAAACTAAAATTAGTTTGTTTTGGCTGGAATATACAGTGTAAGGAAGAAATGTCAAAACATAACAGGGGTAAGCATTGGCCAGCTCACTGAAGGTAATATACATCAAAATGAGAACTTTGGATTTTATCCTAAGACCAATGAGAAATGTTTGAAAGGTTTGACTCAGGAATGATATAATCATTTACATTTTTGAAAGATCAGTATGACCACAGGATAAAGAACACACTGGAGAATAAAGGTCAAGGTTTCTTTTGTTGTTTTTTCAGACAGGGTCTCATTTTGTAGCCCAGGCTGGAGGACAGTGGCATCATCATAGCTCACTGCAGACTTGACCTCCAGGGCTCAGGTGATCCTCCCACCTCAGCTTCCCGAGTAGCCAGTGCTACAGGCACACACCACCACAACCAGCTAATTTTTTGTATTTTTTGTAGAAATGAATTCTCACTTTGTTGCCCAGGCTGGTCTTGAACTTTTGGGCTCAAGCAATCCTCCTGCCTCAGCCTACCAAAGTGCTGGGATTATCTGCATGAGCCACCACGACAGGCCAAAGAACACACTGGAGAAGAAAGGTCAAGGGTAAAGGGAGGGGACAGATTATAAGAGTACTGCAGGAGTCAAAAGAGGATAGGACGGTGACCTAATCTCAGACAGTGTTTCTTAAAGTATGGTCTGCAATGAGAAAAGAACAGAAATTGAGAGAAAGCTTTAGAAACTTTTACAGCAATTCAATATTGTGGTAACATCCAAGCACATGATCAGTTGTCTCTTCTCCTTGAACAAGATATAAACAAGTTTGAGTATTGTAGTACTATCCATTTATACTAGTCATGCACAGTTGAACTGCATTAAGATGTAATATTTTAAAGTTGGTTTGTAAACTATAATCAAAAGTAAAAAAAAATTGAGAAAGCATATACTTTATTTTTATAGCTTATTTTCATAATCCTTTTAAATTGTTAATTAATAGTATAAATTTTGGAAATATAATTTATGTTATTTTTAATCCTAATTTATTTATGACAAAATAAACTTTACTGGACTCCTTTTCAAGAAAAGATACATCCTTTCTGAATGTAGACATTGTAAAAAACCAGACGATAGCAATGAAATGTTTCCCAAGAAATGAAGACTAGTCCCTACTAGTTTTACTCAAAAGTATGAACCTTCATGTATTTTTAATTACATAGCTATAGTTGAGTGTGAAGTACTAAAACCATAGTGTGTTATTTTGCAGAGATATATTGGCTAATGATGCAATGAAACCATCAAAAAGTAAGCATCTTTTGCATACAAAACATAGACCTAAGTTCAAAACCAAAGAATTTTTTAAGCAAATATTATTGAATTAAAAATTTTTTTAAAGTAAAGGCTCATTATTCCATGTGAACATATGGAATATGTTCTTATGGAACATATTTGAGCATTATCTCTTGCTAAACCTAAGCATTCAAGTTGCTAAACCTAAAAAAACATATACCATTCTGAGTCATTAGTTAAAGACTGTATCAAAGATGATTTCCAGCAAATCTTGAATGAATCAGTGGCAATGAAGATAGCTCAACTACTACTTTTTAATGACTCCATAGCTCAATGTATTAAATAACTAGACCATATGATGGTTGTACAACAGTATGAATTTGCTTAAAACCATTGAATTGTACATTTAATGGTGGTTAAGTTGGTAAATTTTCTGCTATATGTATTTTACAATTTAAAAAATGAAAAAAAAAACTAGACCACAGAATAAAATTAGCAAATTATTTTCCATCAACTTGATGAATGCACAGCTATTGCTAAAATAGCAATTATTTTTGTATATATGCAACCTGCTTTATTTTATTTTTTAATTTTATTTTAGGTTCAGGGGTACATGTACAGGTTTGTTATATAGGTAACTTGCATGTCACGGGAGTTTGGTGTACATACTGTAATATACAAACGGCAAATAAACACATGAAAAGATGCTCAACATCATGTCATTAAAGCAATAAATTAAAACTACAATGAATTGCCACTACACACCCATTAAAATGGCTAAAATCCAAAAGACTGACAATAATAAATGCTGGCAAGGATGCAGAATAGCAAACTCTCAATCATTGTTGGTGGGAATGCAAAATGATACAGCCACTCTGGAAGACAGTGTGGCAGTTTCTTATAAAACTAAGTATAAAACTTAACCATATAGCCAGCAATCATATTTCTAAGTATTTACCCAGGTGATTTTAAAACATGTCCACACAAAAATCTATATACAAACGTCTATACCAGTTTTATTCATAGTCACTAAAAACTGAAAGCAACTAAAATGTCTTCAACAAGGAAATAGATAAGCTGTGGTATATCCATACAATGGAATATTACTCAGCAACAAGAAGGAATGAGCCATTGAATCATGTAACAACACAGCCATAGATGATCTTAAATGCATTTTAGAAGTGAAAGAACAATCCAAAAGACTACATATTGCATGATTCCATTAATACAATAATATTCTGGAAATAGCAAAGCTATAGGGATGGAAAACACAGTAGTAATTGCCAAGGGATAAGAAAGAAGGGAGGCCGGGTGCAGTGGCTCACACCTGTAATCCCAGCACTTTGGGAAGCCGAGGTGGGCAGATCACGAGGTCAAGATATCAAGACCATCCTGGCCAACATGGTGAAACCCCATCTCTACTAAAAATACAAAAATTAGCTGGGCACGGTGGCGCATGCCTGTAGTCCCAGCTACTCAGGAGGCTGAGGCAGAAGAATCGCTTGAACCCAGGAGGCAGAGGTTGCAGTGAGCCAAGATCATGCCACCGCACTCCAGCCTGGTGACAGAGTGAGACCCTGTCTCAAAAAAAAAAAGGAAAGAAAAAAAAAGAACGAAGGGAGTGGTTGACAACAAAGAAAATGCACAGGAAAACTTTTAGAGTGACGGAATTATTTTTTATGGTACTGGGGTGGGTAGTAGATACATAACTCCATGCATGTGTCAAAACCCATAGAACTGTACATCACAAAAAGTGAATTTTAATGTACGCATCTAGAAAAGAATAAACCAAGATGTAGGGGAATCCAAAGATGGGATAAAGACTGTGACAAATGAATCTAACCATATCACAAATAAGTGACATATCTACACTGACAGGGGTAGGGAAAAGAGGCACTAATCTAAGTAACTTCAAAAAGGGTGCTTTGATTGGAAATTGTAAGGCTAAAGATAAAAGCAATTGTACATAAATACTGTGCTTTAGTTGGTTGATTTCTTTATAGTGGTGTGGTTAGCGATTCTGAAACTGCATCTAAAACAGCTTCAAAAGTATACTGTGGTTAAACAAGTAAGTAAATGATTGGTAGATGGTAGAATCCAGGTTCCTCAGTTTCTCATTGCTGCTGTGATATCATTTGGCTCTGTGTCCCACCCAAATCTCATGTCGAATTGTAATTCCCAGTGTTGGGGGAGGGACCTGGTAGGAGGTGATTGGATCGTGGGGGGGATATTCCCCCCTTACTCTTCTCATAATAGTGGGTTCTCACTAGATCTGATTGTTTGAAAGTGTGTAGTACTTTGCTGTCTCTCTCTTCTGCCATGTGAAGATGTGCTTGCTTACCCTTCACTCTTTCATCATGATTGTAAGTTTCCTAACACCTTTCCAGCCATGCCTCCTATACAGTCTGTGGAACTGTGAGTCAGTTAAACCTCTTTTCTTTAAAAGTTACCCAGTCTCGGGTAGTTTTTTGTTTGTTTGTTTGTTTGTTTTTAGATGGAGTCTTGCTCTGTCACCCAGGCTGGAGTGCAGTGGCGCGATCTCGGCTCACTGAAAGCTCTGCCTCCCAGGTTCACACCATTCTCCTGCCTCAGCCTCCTGGGTACCTGGGACTACAGGTGCCCGCCACCACGCCTAGCTAATTTTTTGTATTTTTAGTAGAGACAGGGTTTCACCATGTTAGCCAGAATGGTCTCAATCTCCTGACCTCATGATCCGCCCACCTCGGCCTCTCAAAGTGCTGGGATTACAGGCGTGGGCTACCGCGCCTGGCCAGGTAGTTCCTTACTGCAGTGTGAGAATGGACTAATACATGCTGCAACAAATTACCACCAATTTAGTGGCTTAAAACAACAAACACTTATTCATTATCCTGTAGTTCTGGAAGTCAGAAGTCCAGAATCAGCCTCACTAAAGTAAAGACGTCCAGGTTGCCTCTTGATGCTCTGGAGAATCTGTTTTCTTTGACTTTGCCAGCTTCTAGAGCCCACCTACATTCTTTAGCTAATGGCCTGTTCCTCCATCTTCAAATCTAGCAGCATAGGATCTTCTAATCTTAGTATCTCTCTTCATATCTCTCTCTCTCTCTCTTTCTCTCTCTCCCTCCTTCCATCCCTCCCTCCCTCCCCCCTTTAGTTATCACATTGCCTTCTTTGTCTTCAACCCTCCTGCCTCTCTCTAATAAGGACTCCTGTAATGACATTGACCCACCCAGATAATTCAGGATAAACTCCCACATTACAAGATCTTTAGCCTAATAATATATGTGAACTCTCTTTTGCCATGTGAAGTAACACATCTAAAAGTTACAGAAATTATAATATAGACATCTTGGGATGGCCATCTTTCAGCAGCCTACCAGCCCATCAAAGAGAGACATTACAGTAAAGCAAGAAAACAAAGCAAGAATAAACTCTGTGCTACTGGTTAGAGTCAGAGACACCCTTATAAATTCATATTTAGTGTAATATATACACAGATATAGAAATAAGTATGGACACGTGTATGTACATGCATAATATATGTATAAAGACATATATTATGTAGTTTTGTCTGCCAAAAGTGCCTAGAAGCAATAAGCACTCAGCACCCAGATCTTGGTTTTAAAATACCATTCTCCAATAAAAGGTAGTAGGGCTCCTTCAAGAAATGACTGTTTCTAGGGCTGGGACAAGGAAAATACAGAATGAACCCAGCGAATTTTGTAGTACCAAAAAGTACTCAAAACTCAAAAGGATAGAAACACATGAAGGTGATACAAGAGCCAATCTAAAAGAGCTCTCAAGATCAGCTGGCACAATTTGAGCAAGAAAATAATAGGGTAGTATTGGATTATAACCCAAACTATGAAATAAATATATGTAAGTACACACTGGTGTTAATAAATGACTGAATAAATAAACAGAAAAGGGGAGACAAATTTTCCTTACAGATGACTTCCAAATAATGTATGTATATACTCCCCCAGGAGGTGGAGCTTAATCCCCTTTCCCCAAAGGTGGCCTAGACTTAGTGACTTACTTCCTAAGAATATTAGGGAAAAGGGAAAATAGTAACTTTAGAGTGGCGAAACATGGCAAACACTACATTGACCAAGTGATGAAGACTAACATCACCAGTGATGTCATGTGATATTGTTTACCTCTGATATGATGCTGATATGGTTTGGATTTGTGTCCCCACCCACATCTCATGTCGCATTGTAATCCCCAGTGTTGGAGGTGGGGCCTGGTGGGAGTTGGTAAGATCATGAAGGCAGAATTCTCCCTTTGGTGCTGTTCTCATGATAAGAGTTTTTTATGAGATCTGGTTGTTGAAAAGTGTATAGCACCTCTGCCCTCTCTCTCTCTCTCTTCCTTCTGCTCCAACCATCTAAAACATGCCTGCTTCTCCTTCGCTTTCCGCCAAAGTTTCCTGAAGCCTCCCCAGAAGCCATTGTGCTTCCTGTGAAGCCTGCAAGACCATGAGCCAATTAAACCTCTTTTATTTATAAATTATGCAGTCCCAGGTATTTCTTTATAGCAGTGCGAAAATTGACTAATACAGATGTATTGAGAAAGGCACTTCATCTGCATGGTCTGTTTCCCCAAAATCCATTACTACAGTCTAATCATGCAGAAAAACATCAAACCCTGAATGGGGATCATTCTACACAATACTCCTCTGGACTGTCAAGGTCATAAAAAAAACAAGAAAAGACAGAAACTTTCACAGACTCGGATGGAGAGACATGACATCTAAATGAAATGTTGTACACTGGATCAGATCCTGAAAGAAAGAAAGGGCATTAATGGAAAATTGGTGAAATCCAAATAAAATCTGGAATTTAGTTACTAACAACATGTTAGTTAAGTAGTTAGCTTCTTAATGTACCATGGAGATGGAAATAGAAGTTGTTAACAGTGGGGGAAACTGGTAAGGAATATGTGGAGATTCTCTATATTATCTTTGAAATTTTTCTGTAAATATAAAATTATTCCAAAATAAAAGTTTATTTTTTAAAAAAATGGCTTACCTGATATTTCTGATCACCTGAATGATCTCATTCAAAAATACCAAGGCCTACATTAATTATATTAATGTACTGAAAATGTATATAGATTCAAAACAAAAGACAACTTTTAAAAAGTAAGCTTAAAGTGGTTTACTAGGCTGGGTGTGGTGGTTCACACCTGTAATCCCAACACTTTGGGAGGCCAAGGTGTACGGATCACTTGAGCTCAAGAGTTCAAAACCAGCCTGGCCAGATGGCAAAACCCCATCTCTACAAAAACAAACAAACAAAAAATTAGCTGGGCGTGGTGGCACACATCTGCAGTCCCAGCTACTCAAGAGGCACAAAAGTGGCTTGAGCCCAGGAGCCAGAGGTCACAGTGAGTAGAGACCATGCCACTGCACTCCAACCTGGGCGACAGACCGAGAGACTCTGTTTCAAAAAAACTAACAAACAAAAAACAGTGGTTCACTAGTAATGTTTAGTCAGGTTTATTATTTGAATCCTGAAGATTTATTAAGACTAGTAGAGCAATACTGGTATATGCTTGAGGGAAATCTTAGCCATTTTTTTATACTTGATATAAGAAAGTTTGATTCACTATTAATGTACTGTTAAAAGTTTCCTCACAAGACCCTTTAACATTACATTTGTCAATGACAGGAAAAGAAGAGCTATGAGACTTAAGGCATAATCACACCCTAAGCACAATCCATAAAAACTGATTTATCCAAGCTCTCATTAATAGAAAGATGTCCAACTATTATTATAGTAAAATATAAAAATATAGAAAAGGCAATATATACCTTCTACCACTTGCTACCATGTACATTGCAAAGAAAACTTCTCATCACTGGTGATTATCTAGAAGTTGAAGAGATCATTACTTGAAGTTTCTATCAGGAATTGTATGAACCAAACCAAGCAAAAAAACTAGTATTAAAAGTTACATATTTAAAATTTATGCCCAGGCACAGTGGCTCATGCCTGTAATCCCAGCACTTTTGGAGGGCGAGGGGGGTGAATCAATTGAGGTCATGAGTTCAAGAGCAGCCTGGCAATATATGAAACCCCGTCTCTACTAAAAATACAAAAATTAGCCAGGCATGGTGGTGTGCACCTATAGTCCCAGGTACTTGGGAGGCTGAGGCAGGAGCATCGCTTGAACCTGGGAGGCAGAGGTTGCAGTGAGCCAAGATCGTTATCACTGCACTCCAGCCTGGGCCACAGAGCAAAACTCCATCTAAATAAATAAATAAATAAATAAACTTACATATATATAAACAAGCTGAAAGTTTTTATTGAAAATTTGGTCCAAGTAGATGTGGTCAGTGAAAAGAAAAAAAAAGAAAAAAAGGAAAATATTTTATTTACAAATTTTATAGAAATTTAAAATTTAATACATTTGAATTTTTGTTATGAATTTAATCATATTGTTATATTTTTCTTCTAATAAAAAAATAAGACATTTTTCAACAAAATCTATACAGATGCCTCCAAATCCCTTCTAGTTTACTCCACTATGTCAAACATCATTTTCTTAATGTACCATTTTCTAAGCACTGCCTTAAAGAACAGCACGTCTGTTCAGTTGATGAATCTCTATAATATCCTGGTGAAATTAAGTTACTCTAATTCAGTTTCTCCTCCAAGAATTGTTCTTAAAGATGAATATATTTAGAGCTTTAAAACTTTATGAACTCGGCTGGGCACAGTGGCTCATGCCTGTAATCCCAGTACTTTGGGAGGTCAAGGTGGGTGGATCATTTGAGGTCAGGAGTTCAAGACCAGCTTGGCCAACATGGTGAGACCACATCTCTACTAAAAATGCAAAAATTAGCCAGGCATGGTGGTGCACGCCTGTAATCCCAGCTATTTAGGAGGCTGAGGTAGGAGAATAACTTGAACCCAGGAGGTGGAGGTTGCAGGGAGCCAAGATTGTGCCACTGCACTCCAGTCTGGGCGACAGAGTGAGACTCTGTCTTAAAAAATAAATAAATAAAGGAAAACTTTATGAACACTCTTGAGAGGTTGATCCTATCCAATACAACTTGTCTGTATTATTCTAATTCTGTGCTCTCCTCAGTTCTCTAAACATGCCATCCCTGGGCAAGCATTTTTTTTTTTTTTTTTTTTTTTTGAGACAGGGTTTCTCTCTGTCACCCAGGCTGGAGTGCAGTGGTGTGATCATTGCTCACTACAGCCTCCAACTCTTAGGCTCATGCAATCCTTCCACTTTAGCTTCCCAAGTAACTGGGATTTCAGGCACACACCACAATGCCCAGCTAATTTTTTTTTTGTATTTTTTCATAGAGACAGGGTCTCCTTATGTTGCCCAGGCTAGTCTTAAACTCCTGAGCTCAAGCGATCCTCCCACCTCAGCCTCCCAAAGTGCTGGGATTACAGGTGTGAGCCACCATGTCCAGCCTTCTATTTTTCATAATAGTATTTACTACAACCACCAACTCAATTTACCCCTTGGTTTAATAAGATCTTCTCATATTTTTTAGAATAAAATTTGCCATCATTCTGAGGTTTGACTTTGGCTGCTTACTTTTTCCTAGGGTCTTGAAAGATAATATTAAGAAAACTACCACACTGGTTATGTTCTAACAGTATAACTAGAAATCCAAAGAAGTGGTTTACTAAAAGGCTAGATTAACACAGTTTTATCCTCAATTATATATTTTTCTATAAAACAGGAAAGTATAAACATCAAATACATGAAAAAACTGCATTGAAAAATTAAATCTAAACACTCAAGAAGAATTAGGCACTGTATTCACTAATCTAAACAGAATTTAATCTTTCTTGCATTATATTTTCATGGGTTTAAATAAGAAAGCAATTATTTTCACTTTCCTACTTTGACATAATAACCCCACAAAACAGCCTGGCATAAAAGTACTGACTTGGTGGCAAGAGACCCAGACTTAAGCCTAGGCTTACCACTTACCAGCTGTATGACCTTATTCATCTTCAAACCCTTGTATGGCTATATCCAATACTAGAGAAGGTGTCCCATAAACACTTATGACTTTAGGAAGTAAAGTTTTCCTCTTTGCTTGCCTGTGCTACAGCAACAGGCAAATAAATAAAAGGAAGGATATAGTTCTCCCTCCCAATAGTTCAACCATCTGGCAGGGCAAACAGAAAATGACCACACCAGAAAAGGAGTACAAAGAGAAGCAAAACTGGAGAAAATGAAAAGGATAGGGGGCTTATCCCCTCACTGGGATTCCATATATCCTGGGAAGCATTGCTTTTTCCGTATCCACACTGGCCAACTATGTACTCTCCCATTCAGTGGGACCATGCTCTAAAATCCCATCACCCTGGATCTATTTCTATATTTATCTGCTGAGATTCTGGTGTAACCTCCTCTACAGCCATCCTGCCCTGAGCAAAGATAAACAGGACCATGAAGCTTTTTCTGTTTGTTTGTTTGTTTATCCTATCAATATAAATATGTAAATGCATGAAAAAAATGTGAGAATCTAATCTTATAAATCTAAAGTAAGCAGGTATAGAAAAATATGCGTTCAGAGAATTGTAATCAACAACAGAATAATGTTTATTCATTAAATATTTATTGTGTACTATAAATTGACACTACACTAGAATTAGGCACACATTTTAGAAAGATATATTTTCTATCTAGAAGACACCACAGTATCGTAGGAGATCTTTATAATTTACAAATCACTTATACATTACATAATAAAAATGTATACATACGATTGCTTTATCCAGAACACAGTTCCCAATAAACACTGATGAAACTATGTATAGACTGAGATTTCAGTGTCTTTCTTGGTTTTTTAAGCAAGTTTATCTATGGGCTAAAAAATACCCTATCATCCAGTAAAAAGGTTACAATTCAAACCTCAACAAGTGTTTTCCAACCGGACCTTAACTGTGGCCTGGCCAGAAAGTGTTAGTAATAAAGCACTCAAAGTCAAACCTACTGCATTGCTTGTCCAAGAACAGACTAAACTGCGTATCAAGAAAATTTCCTTTAATACTATCCATTTGTCAAAACAAAGGTTACAGGCCAGGCACAGTGGCTCACACTTATAATCACAGCACTTTGGGAGATTGAGGCAGGAGGATCACTTGAATCCAAGAGTTTGAGACCAGCCTGGTTAACATAGTAAGACCTCATCTCTACTAATAATTTTTTTTTTTTTTTTTGAGATGGAGTCTCGTTCTGCCACCCAGGCTGGAGTGCAGTGGTGCGATCTCGGCTCACTGCAAGCTCCGCCTCCCGGGTTCACGCCATTCTCCTGCCTCAGCCTCCCCAGTAGCTGGGACTACAGGTGCCCACCACCAAGCCCGGTTAATTTTTTTTTTGTATTTTAGTAGAGACGGGGTTTCACCGTGTTAGCCAGGATGGTCGCGATCTCCTGACCTCATGATCCGCCTGCCTCGGCCTCCCAAAGTGCTGGGATTACAGGTGTGAGCCACTGCACCCGGCCTCTACTAAGAATTTTTTTTAAATTAGCCAGGCTTGGTGGCTAATGTCCCAGCTATGTGGGAGACTGAGGTAGGAGGATTGCTTAAGACCACGAGTTTATGGGTGCAGTGAGCTATGATCATTCCACTGAACTCTAACCTGAATAACAGAGCGAGACCCTGTTCCCCCAACCCCCAAAAAAGAGGTTACACAAATATGCTTGGGTATGCCATAGATACACTTACCCTCTATTGTAGCTTTAGTATCATTCTAAAATTATTTTTAAATGTCCATTTTGAAAGGTAATCCATGGAGTAAGGAGTCAACCTGAAAAGGTACATACTCTGATTCCAATTTTATGACATTCTGAAAAAGGCAAAAGTATAGAAACAGTAAAAAGATAGTGGTTTCTAGCAAGGAAGCCCTGGGAGGCATAAGAAAAAAAAATTTTTAATTAAAAAATGAAAAAAGATAGTGGTTTCCAGGGGTGAGGGAGGAGGGGAGATAAGGACACACAGGTAGAACACATAGGATTGTACAGCAATGAAACGATTCTGTATGATAGTTTAATAAATACATGTCAGTATACATTTGTCAAAACCCATAAAATGTACAACACTAAGAGTGAACTCCAATATAAACCATGGACTTGGAGTGATAAGGATGTGTCAATGTAGGCTCATGAATTATAGGAAGTGTACCACTCTGGGATGGGACATTGATAATGGGGAAGGTTGGGCATAAGGTTGGTGAAGAGGTATATAGAAACCCTCTGTACTTTCTATTCAATATTGCTGTGAACCTGAAACTGCTTTAAAAGACAAAGCCTATTTTTAAAATAACTTTTTTAAATGTAACCCAATAATAATATTGGCCAAAGCTGCACAACTAGGTTTACTTTCCTCTGGGCAGTGACAAACAGAAGCAGACAAGGTAAGTTTTCCACAAGGCCTTTTGCTAATAGAGAAGCAGTATGTGGACCAATATGTTGAGGCTCACATTCCTCAAATGATATGCTCTTTCATCTTCTCTTTTCTCCTATCATTTGCCTCCCCCACTGTGGACACATGAAACAGATACCTAATCTTTTCCCCTCTCTGCCACCATGAATAAAAAGATTCAAGCTGAACACAATAGTTGGCAAAGTCTAGAAGATGCTGGCATTATTAAAACTGTCTCTGCAAAGGCAATGCCCAAAGGAACCCCATTCTCCCAGGCCTAATCCAAAGGCAAAGTTGTTTTAACAGATTAGAAAAGAAAGTTGAAGGAGCAGAGTCACAACAGAACCTAGGTCCCTGAGTGCCAGTTTCGGGCTCTCTGCAGCAGCTCTGCCATGGTTGATTAGCAGGAGTTGGAGTCCCCTGAGAGCCAATTAGAGGAGGAAGTCAGGGTGGGGGAGGGAGGAGTGATTCCATCAACTCCCCATTAAAAGTGAGTGGATCCCACAGCACAGAGAGACAGTGACTCAAACTGTTGCATCAGCCAAAGTTCCAATACTAACTCCCTAAACGTGAGGAAGGGCAAAGGGAAGGAGGGAGGGAGGAAAGTGAGGTGTCTCACACTCTGGCAAGCTTCCACTTCCTATCTCAAGCGAATAGATCTCCTCATTAGCCATGAAGAAAACCCCAACACACTATGAGAGGAATTAGCCAGGGGGCTGCTGACACACAGCCAGGCTGCCAATTCAGAATCACTCTTGTCAAGTCAGATCCCATGTGACTCATTGTCTTTTGTGTAGAAAAGTAAAACTTTCATGACTACCCTCCCTCCATCTCAAACTTATAAAATAACTGATGATTTTCCAAACATGTTCACAAACACTACTTGATTGATTTCTACAAAATCACTGAGTTTTTCCAGGTTTGTGTAAGTATTTTCATCTAGGAATTTAAAGAAGTTAATAATGAAGTTCAAGAGATTTTCCTAAAATCACACAGGCAGTGTTATTTGTGTATTTTTAAGCAATATACCACTATGCTTATATAGATAGAATATCTCCGGAAGAAAACAATAAAATGGAGTCGTTACTCCAGTAAGGGAAGTAGAGGTCAGGCGTGAAAATGAAGTTTTTTCTCTGTATAGTTTTTAATAACTTTTCAATTTTACACCATTGTATATATAACTTCCTGAAATAAATGAAAAAGAAAGTTACAATTAGGGAGCAGAAAACTATAATCCAATTCTCTTTCCCGCTGTACAGCACCATCTCCTATGGGGGGGGCGGGTAAGGAGTAAGAACAGTTTTCCTTTTCCTGTATCTTCCCACATATGCCCTATTCCATCACCTCCCTATCCACTTATAGATGCAAAATTTTCTGTGAGCACTTTCCCATTGTTGCCTGCTCTATGCAAACCTGCCAGGAGCTGAGAGTGTGCTGAGAAAACCAACCAAGTCCTAGGAAAATTTAAAATGTGACTCTGATTTATACAGAGACTAATTCTAACAACATAATTTTCATTTGAAATTAAAAATAGCATTTTTGTCCAAATGTCTTCTGAGAATAGATAAACTAACACTTCAGCATAAAAGATCAAGATTAGAAAGAATGAAGGCAGTAAACTTGCCAGTAACAGGCACTGTGCTTCCCCAGTACTCAACAGGCTGATGGGTCACTGACAGACGAGGAGGAACAACCTGTCCTAGATATCATTAAAGGAGATTCTTGGCTTGATGGAGAGACAGGCTCCCACAAAAAGAAAAATGAGAGGATGTTATGGTCATGTATTACTAATAGTTTAGAGGAGAAAATTTGAAAATGTAAATGAAATGGATAAATTACTATAAAAATACAAAATATTAAAACTGACTCAAGAGAAAAATTGAATGATTCAAACCAATAAACATCAAAGAATTTAAATCAGTAGTTAACCTTTCTATTAACAAAATGTGCAGTACTGATGACTTTACAGGTAAATTCTACCAAAAAAAAAGAGAAGACAATTTCATATAAACTCTTCAAATAATCACACAGAGGAAACACTCTTTACTCATTGTATGAGGCAAGCTTACATTTGATACCAAAACCAAACTAGAATACACTAAGCAATAAAAACTAAACTAAAATCACTTGTCACCCACACACACATAAACCTAGTTAAATGAATACAGCAGTGTATAAGAATATATATAACCTAGGCCGGGTGCAGTGGCTCACGCCTGTAATTCCAGCACTTTGGGCAGCTGAGGAAGGTGAATCACTTGAGGTCAAGAGTTCAAGACCAGCCTGGGGCAACATGGCGTGAAACCCCATCTCTAGAAGAAACAAATAGATGCCATAAAAAATGATAAAGGGGATATCACCACCGATCCCACAGAAATACAAACTACCATCAGAGATTACTACAAACACTTCTACGCAAATAAACTAGAAAATCTAGAAGAAATGGATAAATTCCTCGACACATACACTCTCCCAAGACTAAACCAGGAAGAAGTCGAATCTCTGAATAGACCAATAAAAGGAGCTGAAATTGTGGCAATAATTAATAGTTTAACAACCAAAAAGAGTCCAGGACCAGATGGATTCACAGCCAAATTCTACCAGAGGTACAAGGAGGAACTGGTACAATTCCTTCTGAAACTATTCCAATCAACAGAAAAAGAGTGAATCCTCCCTAACTCATTTTATGAGGCCAGCATCATCCTGATACCAAAGCCGGGCAGAGACACAATCAAAAAAGAGAATTTTAGACCAATATCCTTGATGAACATTGATGCAAAAATCCTCAATAAAATACTGGCAAACCGAATCCAGGAGCACATCAAAAAGCTTATCCACCATGATCAAGTGGGCTTCATCCCTGGGATGCAAGGCTGGTTCAATATACACAAATCAATAAATGTAATCCAGCATATAAACAGAGCCAAAGACAAAAACCACATGATTATCTCAATAGATGCAGAAAAGGCCTTTGACAAAATTCAACAACCCTTCATGCTAAAAACTCTCAATAAATTAGGTATTGATGGGACGTATCTCAAAATAATCAGAGCTATCTATGACAAACCCACAGCCAATATCATACTGAATGGGCAAAAACTGGAAGCATTCCCTTTGAAAACTGGCACAAGACAGGGATGCCCTCTCTCACCACTCCTATTCAACATAGTGTTGGAAGTTCTGGCCAGGGAATTCAGGCAGGAGAAGGAAATAAAGGGTATTCAATTAGGAAAAGAGGAAGTCAAATTGTCCCTGTTTGCAGATGACATGATTGTTTATCTAGAAAACCCCATTGTCTCAGCCCAAAATCTCCTTAAGCTGATAAGCAACTTCAGCAAAGTCTCAGGATACAAAATCAACGTACAAAAATCACAAGCATTCTTATACACCAATAACAGACAAACAGAGAGCCAAATCAGGAGTGAACTCCCATTCACAATTGCTTCAAAGAGAATAAAATACCTAGGAATCCAACTTACAAGGGATGTGAAGGACCTCTTCAAGGAGAACAACAAACCACTGCTCAATGAAACAAAAGAGGATAGAAACAAATGGAAGAACATTCCATGCTGATGGGTAGGAAGAATTAATATCGTGAAAATGGCCATACTACCCAAGGTAATTTATAGATTCAATGACATCCCCATCAAGCTACCAATGACTTTCTTCACAGAATTGGAAAAAACTACTTTAAAGTTCACGTGGAACCAAAAAAGAGCCTGCATTGCCAAGTCAATCCTAAGCCAAAAGAACAAAGCTTGGAGGCATCATGCTACCTGACTTCAAACTATACTACAAGGCTACAGTAACCAAAACAGCATGGTACTGGTACCAAAACAGAGATATAGATCAATGGAACAGAACAGAGCCCTCAGAAATAATGCTGTATATCTACAACTATCTGATCTTTGACAAACCTGTGAAAAACAAGCAATGGGGAAAGGATTCCCTATTTAATAAATGGTGCTGGGAAACATGGCTAGCCATATGTAGAAAGCTGAAACTGGATCCCTTCCTTACATCTTATACAAAAATCAATTCGAGATGGATTAAAGACTTAAACGTTAGACCTAAAACCATAAAAACCCTAGAAGAAAACCTAGGCATTACCATTCAGGACATAGGCATGGGCAAGGACTTCATGTCTAAAACACAAAAAGCAATGGCAACAAAAGACAAAATTGACAAATGGGATCTCATTAAACTAAAGAGCTTCTGCACAGCAAAAGAAACTACCATCAGAGTGAACAGGCAACCCACAAAATGGGAGAAAATCTTCGCAACCTACTAATCTGACAAAGGGCTAATATCCAGAATCTACAATGAACTCAAACAAATTTACAAGAAAAAAACAAACAACCCCATCAAAAAGTGGGTGAAGGACATGAACAGACACTTCTCAAAAGAAGACATTTATGCAGCCAAAAAACACATGAAAAAATGCTCATCATCACTGGCCATCAGAGAAATGCAAATCAAAACCACAATGAGATACCATCTCACACCAGTTAGAATGGCAATCATTAAAAAGTCAGGAAACAACAGGTGCTGGAGAGGATGTGGAGAAATAGGAACACTTTTACACTGTTGGTGGGACTGTAAACTAGTTCAACCATTGTGGAAGTCAGTGTGGCAATTCCTCAGGGATCTAGAACTAGAAATACCATTTGACCCAGCCATCCCATTACTGGGTATATACCCAAAGGACTATAAATCATGCTGCTATAAAGACACGTGCACACATACGTTTATTGCGGCACTATTCACAATAGCAAAGACTTGGAACCAACCCAAATGTCCAACAATGATAGACTGGATTAAGAAAATGTGGTACATATACACCATGGAATACTATGCAGCCATAAAAAATGATGAGTTCATGTCCTTTGTAGGGACATGGATGAAATTGGGAATCATCATTCTCAGTAAACTATCGCAATAACAAAAAACCAAACACCACATATTCTCACTCATAGGTGGGAATTGAACAATGGGAACACATGGACACAGGAAGGGAACATCACACTCTGGGGACTGTTGTGGGGTGTGGGGGGGAGGGACAGCATTGGGAGATATACCTAATGCTAGTTGACGGGTTGGTGGGTGCAGCACACCGGCATAGCACATGTATACATATGTAACTAACCTGCACATCGTGCACATGTACCCTAAAACTTAAAGTATAATAATAAATAAATAAATAAATTAGCCAGGCATGGTGGTGCATGCCTGTAATCCCAGCTACTTGGGAGGCCGAGGCAAGAAAATCACTTGAATCTACGAGGTGGAGGTTGCAGTGAGCCAAAATTGTGCCACTGCATTCCAGCCTGCAACAGAGATCCTGTCTCAGAAAGAAAAAGAATACGTATATCTTGACCAAGTAAGGTTTGTACCAATAACACAAATTTGATTCATTGATTGAAAGTTGAGTACTCTTATTCACTGCATTGACAGGTTAAGGAACAGAAAACAATCATTTGCCATGTCAATAAATACAGAAAAAGCATTAGATAGAAAAAGATAAATTAGGTAAAATTTAAAATTTTTGCTAAAAGCTCATAACAAACTTAGTGTCTAAGAGCAATTGTATATAAAGCCACATAACAAACATCTTAATTTGACAAGAAAATGTTGAAAGTATTTTCCTTAAGGACAGAAACAAGACAAAGACGCTTGCTATCACCATTTCTATTCAGCATACTAGAGGTCCTAACTAGTACAGGGGAAAAAAACTAAACAAAAGCTAAAAGGATTGCAGAAGACCCCAAGTGGTCATTATTTATATACAGAAAACCCAAAGGAATCATCAAATTATTAGAATGAAAGAGTTCTAAAAAGGCTATAGCTGCAAAAACTAAATAAAATACTAATTGTATTTCTATTCTGAAGCACAGTTAGAAAATTTAATTCTTAAAAATGATACTACTTACGATAGCAGCATAAACTATAAAGTGGCCAGGAATAAATCCAATAAAAGCCATAAACAAACTTTCTGGAGAAAGTATACTATTATATCAAAAGACTAAACCAGAAAGAAATAGAAATCCTGAACATAACAATTTGAAAAAGTAGTAAAATTGAATCAGTAATAAAAAGCTTCCCAAGAACAACTAAAAATCCCAGAACTAGATGAACTCACAGCTGAATTCTATCTAATGCAGAAAGAATGACTGGTACCACTCCTACTGAAACTGCTCCAAAATATCAAGAAGGAGAAAATCTTCCCTAATTCATTCTATGGAGTCAGTATCCTCTTGATACTAAAGCCAGGTAAGGACACAACTAAAAAAGAAAACTACAGATCAATATCTCTGATGAATATAGATGCAAAAATCCTCAGCAAAATACTAGCAAACCAAATCCAACAGTACATCAAAAAGATGATACATTATGATCAACTGGGTTCTATTGCAGAGATGCAAGGATGGCTCAACATATGTAAATCAATAAATGTGATTCATCACATAGACAGAATTAAAAAACAAAAACCCTACGATCATCTCAACAAATGTGGAAAAGAATTTGATAAAATTCAGCCTCCCTTCATGATAAAAACCCTCAACACACTAGACAGAAGAAACATACCTCAAAATAATAAAGGACATTTTTGCCAATGTGGGGAAAAGAAAGAGAGATCAGATTGTTACTGTGTCTGTGTAGAAAGAAGTAGACATAGGAGACTCCATTTTGTTCTGTACTAAGAAAAATTCTTCAGCCTTGGGATGCTGTTAATCTATAACCTTACCCCCAACCCCGTGCTCTCTGAAACATGTGCTGTGTCCACTCAGGGTTAAATGGATTAAGGGCGGTGCAAGATGTGCTTTGTTAAACAGATGCTTGAAGGCAGCATGCTGGTTAAGAGTCATCACCACTCCCTAATCTCAAGTACCCAGGGACACAAACACTGTGGAAGGCCGCAGGGACCGCTGCCTAGGAAAGCCAGGTATTGTCCAAGGTTTCTCCCCATGTGACAGTCTGAAATATGGCCTCGTGTGAAGGGAAAGACCTGACCGACCCCCAGCCCGACACCCGTAAATGGTCTGTGCTGAGGAGGATTAGTATAAGAGGAAGGAATGCCTCTTTGCAGTTGAGACAAGAGGAAGGCATCTGTCTCCTGCCCCTCCCTGGGCAATGGAATGTCTCGGTATAAAACCCGATTGTATGTTCCATCTACTGAGATAGGGGGAAACTGCCTTAGGGATGGAGGTGGGACATGCAGCAGCAATACTGCTCTGTAAGGCATTGAGATGTTTATGTGTATGCATATCTAAAGCACAGCACTTAATTCTTTACCTTGTCTATGATGCAGAGACCTTTGTTCACGTGTTTATCTGCTGACCTTCTCTCCACTATTATCCTATGACCCTTGACAAATCCCCCTCTCCGAGAAACACCCAAGAATTATCAATAAATACTAAGGGAACTCAGAGGCTGGCGGGATCCTCCGTATGCTGAACGCTGGTCCCCTGGGTCTCCTTATTTCTTTCTCTATACTTTGTCTCTGTGTCTTTTTCTTTTCCAAGTCTCCCGTTCCACCTAATGAGAAACACCCACAGGTGTGGAGGGGCAACCCACCCCTTCATGCCAAACCACAGCCAGCATCATACTGAATGTGGAAAAGTTGAAAGCAATTCACCTAAGAACTTAAGTAAGACAAGGATGCCAACTTCCACCACTTTTATTTAACATAGTATTAGATGTCACAGCCAGAGCAACCAGGCAAAAGAACGAAATAAAAGGCATCTGTGTTAGGCTGTTCTTACATTGCTATAAAGAAATACCTGAGACTAGGTAATTTATAAACAAAAGAGGTTCACTTGGCTCAGAGTTCTGCAGAGTGTCCCAGCATGGCTCCAGCATCTGCTTCTGGCGAAAGCCTCAGAACCTTTACAATCATGGCAGAATGTAAAGCAGAAGCAGACATATTATTGGTGAGAGTGAGAGCAAGAAAGAAGGAGAAGTGTCACACTCTTTAAACAACCAGATTTCATGAGAACTCACTGTCTCAAGGAAAGCACCAAGTTATTCATGAAAGATCTGCACTCATGACCCAAACACTTCCCACCAGGCCCCACCTACAACATTGGCAATTAAATTTCAATATGAGATGTGATTGGGACAAATATGAAAGCTGTATCTTTCCACTCCGGCCCCTCAAATCTAATATCCTTCTCACATTGCAAAATATAATCATCTGCTCCCAATAGTGCCCAAAACTCTTAACTCATTCCAGCATCAAACCCAAAGTTCGAAATCTCAACTGAGACTCATCTCCTTCCACCTATGACCCTGTAAAATCAAAGCGGGTTATCTAATCCCAAGATACAATGGTAGTACAGGCATTGGGTAAACATTACCATTCCAAAAGGGAGAAATTGGCCAAAAGAAAGGGGTAATAGTTCCCAAACAAGTCTGAAACTCAGCAGAGGAGTCATCAACTCTTAAAGCTCCAAAATAATCTCCTTTGACTCCATGTCCCATATCCAGCCCATACTGATGCAAAAGATTGGCTCCCAAGGTCTTGGGCAGCTCTGCCCCTGTGGCTTTGCAAGGTACAGCCCTCACAGCTGCTCCCACAGGTTGCAGTTGAGTGTCTGTGGCTTTTCCAGAAGCAGGGTGCAAGCTGCTGATGGATCTATCATTTTGGTATCTGGTGGGCAGTGCCCTGGTAGCGACTCTGTGTAGGGGTTCCAACCCTACATTTACCCTCCTCACTACCCTAGTAGAGGTTCTCCATGAGGGCTCCACCTCTGCAGCAGGCTTCTGCCTAGGCACCCAGACTTTCTCATATATCCCCTGAAATCTAGGGGGAAGCTGCCAAGTCTCCTTCACTCTTGCAATCCATATGCTCACAGACTTAACAAAACATGGAGGCCACCAAGGCTTATGGCAGCTTGCACTCTCCAGAGCAACAGCATGAGCAGTACTTGGGGTCCTTTGAGCCAAGGCTGGAGCTGGAGCACCCAGGAAGCAGGGAGCACTGTCACAAAGCTGCACAGGGCAGCAGTACTCTGGGACTGGCCCACGAAACCATTCTTTCTTCCTAGGCCTCTGAACCTGTGGTAGGAGAGGCTGTCTCAGAGATTCCTGAAATGCCTTCAAGGTCTTTTTTCCCCATTGTTTTGGATATTAGCACTTGACTCCCTTTTATCTATGCTGATCTCTCTAGCAAGTGCTTGCTCCACAATCTGCTTGGATTCTTTCTCTGCCATATGTCCAGGCTGCAAAATTTTCAAACTTTCACACTCTGTTTCCCTTTTAAATATAAGTTCCAACTTTAAGTAATTTTGCTCCCACATCTGATCATAGGCTGTTAAAAGCAGCCAGGCCATATCTTAAACAATTGCTGCTTAGAAATGTCATTCACTTCATACCCTAAGTTATCACTCTTAACTTCAAACTTCCACAGATCCCTATGACATGAACATAATACAGCCAAGTTCTTTGCTAGGGTGTAACATGGGTGACCTCTACTCCAGTTCCCAATAAATTCCTTATTTCCATCTGAGACTGATATGGTTTGGCTGTCTTCACCCAAATCTCATCTTGAAGTGTAGTTCCCATAATCCCTACATATTGTGGGAGGGACCAGGTGGAGATAATTAAATCATGGGGGTGGTTTTCCCCATTCTGTTCTCATGATAGTAAGTTTTACAAGATCTGATGGTTTTAATAGGGGCTTCCCCCTTTGCTGGATTCTCATTCTCCTTCCTGCTGCCATGTGAAGAAGGACATGTTTTCTTCCCCTTCTGCCATAATTGTAAGTTTCCTGAGGCTTCCCTAGCCATACAGAACTGTGAGTCAATTAAACCTCCTTCCTTTATAGATTATCCAGTCTCAGATATGTCTTTATTAGCAGCATGAAAACAGACTAATACAGTAAATTGGTACCTGAGAGTGGGGCACTACTGTAAAGATATCCAAAAATGTGGAAGCGAGTTTGGAACTGGGTAACAGGCAGAAGTTGGGACAGTGTGGAGGGTTCAGAAGAAGACAGGAAGATGTGGGAAAGTTTGGAATTGCCTGGAGGCTTGTTGAATGGCTTTGATCAAAATGCTATAGTGATATGGACAATGAAGTCCAGGCTGAAGTGGTCTCAGAAAGAGATGAGGAATTTGTTGGGAACTGGAGTAAAAGTGACTCTTGCTATGTTTTAGCAAAGAGACTGGCAGCATTTTGCCCCTGCCCTAGAGATCTGTGGAACTTTGAACTTGAGAGAGATGATTTAGGGCATCTGGTGGAAGGAATTTCCAAGAAGCAAAGCATTCAAAAGGTAACTCGGGTGCTGTTAAAAGCATTCAGTTTTATGTATTCATGAAGATATGGTTTGGAATTGGAACTTACGTTTAAAAGGGAAGCAGAGCATAAAAGTTCAGAAAATTTGCAGCCTGACAATGCAATAAAAAAGAAAAACCCACTTTCTGAGGAGAAATTCAAGCTGGCTACAGAAATATGCATAAGTAACGAGGAGCCAAATGTTAATCACCAAGGAAACGGGGAAAATGTCTCCAGGGCATGTAAGAGGTCTTCACTGCAGGCTCTCCCATCACAGGCTCAGAGGACTAGAAGAAAAAAACGGTTTTGTGGGCCAGGCCTAGGGCCTTGATGCTATGTGCAGTCTAGGGACTTGGTGCCGTGTGTCTTGGCCATGGCTACACGGGGCTAATGTGGAGCTCAGGCCATTGCTTCAGAGGGTGCAAGCCCCAAGTCTTGGTGGCATACATATGGTGTTGGGCCTGGGGGTGCACAGAAGTCAAGAATTGAGGTTTGGGAACCTCCACCTAGATTTCAGAAGATGTATGGAAATGCCTGGATGTCCAGGTAGAAGTTTGCTGCAGGGGTGGAGTTCTCAGGGAAAACCTTTGCTAGGGCAGTGCAGAAGGGAAATGTGGGGCCAGAGACCCCACACAGGGTCCCCCCAGGACACTCCCTAATGAAGCTGTGTGGAGAGGGCCACAGTCCTCCAGATCCCAGAATGGCAGATCCACCAGCAGCTTGCACACTCAATGCCAGCCCATGAAAGCAGCCAGGAGGGGGGCTTTACCCTGCAAAACCACAGGGGCAGACCTTCCCAAGGCTGTGGGAGCCCACCTCTTGCATCACCCTGACCTGAATATGAGACATGAAGTCAAAGGAGATTATTTTGGAACTTTAAGGTTTAATGACTGCCCTATTGGATTTCAGACTTGCATGGGGCCTGTAACCCCTTTGTTTTGGCCAACTTCTCCCACTTGGAATGGGTGTATTTACTCAATGCCTGTACCCACATTCTATCTAGGAAGTAACTAACTTCCTTTTGATTTTACAGGCTCATAGGCAAAAGGGACTTACTCGTGTTGTCTCAGATGACACTTTGGACTCGGACTTTTGAGTTAACTCTGAAATGGGTTAAGACTTTGGGGGACTATTGGAAGGGCATGATTCGGTTTTGAAATGTGAGGACATGAGATTTAGGAGGGGTGAGGGGTGGAATGATACAGTTTGGCTATGTCCTCACCTAACTCTCATCTTGAATTTTAGTTCCCACGTGTCATGGGAGGAACCTGGAGATAATTGAATCATGGGGGCAGTTTCCCCCATCCTGTTCTCATAATAGTGAGTTAGTGCTCACAAGGTCTCATGGTTGTATAAGGAGCTTCCCCCTTTGCTGAATTCTCATTCTCCTTCCTGCCACCATGTGATGAAGGACGTGTTTGCTTCCCCTTCCACCATGATTGTAAGTTTCGGAGGCCTCCCCAGCCATGCTGAATGGTGAGTCAATTAAACCTCTTTTTTTTACAAATTACCCAGTCTTGGGTACCAGTATTTTGGTCACAACCATTGAACCAGTCTCTGAGAAGTTCCAAACTTTCCCTTATCTTCCTGTCTTCTGAGCCCTCTAAACTCTTCCAACCTCCGCCCATTACCCAGTTGAAAGTTGCTTCCACATTTTCAGGTATCTTTATAGCGATGCCCCACTCCTGATACCAGTTTTCTGTTAGGCCATTCTTGCATTGCTATAAATACCTGAAACTGGGTAATTTATAAAGAAAAGAGGTATAATTGGTTCAGAGTTCTGAAGGCTGTATCAGCATGGCTCCAGCACCTGCTTCTGGTGAAGTCTTCAGAAACCTTACAATCATGGCAGAAAGTGAAGTGGGAGCAGTCACATCACATGGCAAGAGCAGGAACAGAGAGTGGTGGGGAGGTGCCACACACTTTCAAACAGTCAGATTTCACAAGAACTCACTATCTCAAGGACAGCACCAAGCCATCCAGAAGGGATCCACCCCCATGACACAAGCACCTCCCACCAGGCCCCACCTCTATCATTGAGGATTACATTTCAATATGAGACTTGGAAGGAACAAACATCCAAACTATATCAGCATCCAAATTGGAAAACAAGAAGTCAAACTATTGGGTTGGTGCAAAAGTAATTGCAATTTTTGCCATTTGCCACAATTACTTTTGCACCAACACAATATCTCTGTTCACTGATGATATAATCTTATACCTACAAAACCCTAAATACTTTTATTAAAAAACTCTTAGATTTGATGAACAAATACAGCAAAGTTTCAGGATACAAAATCAATATACAAAAATCAGTACCATTTTTATAACCAAGAGCAAGCTGAGAACCAAACTAAAAAAGCAATCCCATTTACAATAGCTACAAAGAAATAAAATATCTGGGAATATATTTAACCAAGGAGGAGAAAGATCTTTACTACAAAACACTGATGAAAGAAACTGTAGATGACACAAACAAATGGGAAAATATCCCACGCTCAGGGAGAAGAATGAATAACATCAGAATGACCACACTACCCAAAGCAATGTACAGATTCAATGCAATTCCTATCAAATTACCAATGTCATTTTCACAGAATTAGAAAAAGCAATCCTAAAATTCATATAGAACCAAAAAAAAGAGCTTGAATAGCCAAAGCAACCCTAAGCAAAAAGAACAAAGCAGGAGGCATTGCATTACCTGACCTCAAATTATATTATAAAGCTATAGTAACCAAAACAGCATGGTACTAGTATGAAAATAGACACATAGATCAATGAAATAGAAAAAGAGAACCTAGAAATAAACCCACATATCTACAGCCAGCTGATCTTTGACAAAGTTGACAAATATATACATGGGGAAAAAAATGACACCCTTTTTAATAAATAGTACTGGCAAAATTGGATTGCCATATGCAGAGAATGAAACTGGATCCCTATCTCTCACTATATACAAAAATCAACTCAGGATGAACTGAAGACTTAAATGTAAGATCTGAAACTCTAAAAATGCTAGAAGGAAATCCATGGAAAACTATTCTGGACATTGGTCTAAAGAATTCATAACCAAGACCTCAAAAGCACAAGCAACAAAAACAAAAATAGACAAATGGGACTTAATTAAACTCAAAAGCTCCTGCACAGCAAAAGAAACAATCAACAGAGTGAACAAACAACCTGCAGAATGGGGGAAATTATTTGTAAACTATGATCCAACAGGGGACCAATATCCAGAATTTACAAGAAACTCAAACAACTCAATAACAACAGAAATCAAAAATACAATTAAAAACGGGCAAAGGAAATGAGTGGACATTTTTCAGAAAAGACATACAAACGGCCAACAAGCATATGAAAAAATGGCCAACTTCACAAATTATCAGAGAAATGCAATTTAAAACCATAATGGGATATCATCTTATATCAGTCAGAATGGCTATTATTAAAAAATAAATAAATAACATGTTGGAGAAAGTACGGAGAAAAGACAACTCCTACATACTGTTGGTGGGAATGGAAATTACTACAACCTCTATGGAAAACAATATAGAGATTTCTCAAGGAAATAAAAATAGACCTACCATTCAACACAGCAATCCCACTACTGGGTATCTACCCAAAGGAAAAGAAATCATGATATCAAAAAGACACCTGCACTCATGTCTCTCATAGCACTATTTACAACAGCAAAGTCATGAAATCAACCTAAATATCTATCAATGGATGACTAGATAAAGAAAATATGGAGTGTGTGTTTGTGTACCTATGCATATATGTGTGTGTGTATATATATATATGCATATGCATATGCATATATGTGTATATATATATATACATATATATACATATATATATGTATGTGTGTATATATATATATATATATATATATATATATATATATATATACACACACACACACACACACACACACAATTTAATACCGTTTGGCCATAAAAAAAGAATGAAATCATATATTTTGCAGCAACATAGATGGAACTGGAGACCATTATCCTAAATGAAACAACTCAGAAAGTAAAATACAGCTTGTTCTCACTATATGAGTTAAATAATGTGTACACACATGGATACAGAGTGTGGAGTAATAGTCACTGGAGACTTGGAGGGGTGGGAAGGTAGGAGGTGGGTGAAGAATGAGAAATTACTTAATGGGTACAATGTACACTATTTGTGTGATGTTTACACTAAAAGTCCAGGCTTCACTGCTAAGCAATATATCCATGTAACAAAACTGCACTTGTACTCCTCACATTTATACAAATGTTAAAAATAGGAAACAAAAGCAAACTGGGTGGAGAAAAAAATGCAGATCATTCCATTGTATTTAGCAAAATCAAAGAATTCAAACACATTTAACAATATCCAACTTCATTTTGACAATCAAAAATATGCAATGTTTTCATAGCTTGTTAGTTCTGCTAAGAAAATACCTGATAGTGGATAATTTATAAAAAAACGAATTTATTTCTGACAGTTCTGCAGGCTGAGAAGTCCAAGATGAAGGTGCCAGATTCAGTGTCTGCTGTCTTGCTGCATTCTCACTTGGCAGAAGGCAGAAGGGCAAAAAAGGTATGAACCTGCTCTCTCACGCCATTTTAAAAGGACACTACTCTCGTCCCTGACAGCTGTCTTCATGACTTAATCACCTCCTGAAAGTCCCACCTCTTATCACATGGGTAATTAAGTTTTAACATATGAAATTCGGTGGATACATTTGGACCATAGCAAATGCGAATTAATCATTTTTAATTTTTAAAATAATTTGAAATAATTTCTAATGTATGGATATTTATCATTTGCCCAGATTCCTCAGCTGTTAAACTCTTTACCTCATTTGCTTTATAACTTTTTTTGCTTTATATATTATTGCATTTTATTCATTTCTTTCTGAAACATGAAAGGGGCAGGCATGGTGTCCACCCCTAAATTTGCCATTGTGGTTTTCCCCAAGGCAAAATTTTCTCTACATAATCATGCTACCACTTAAGGCAAAAACCAATGGCAAAACATGACTGCCCAAGCCACAGATGCCCTTCAGATGTTCACTCCCATGTGACAGTGTCTTGTTTTCCTTTCTGCTACAGGATCCGCACCCTGGAACATGTGTTGCATTCGGGAGTCATACCATTTTCTTCTTCTCCAGTCTCAAACTGTTCTTCATCATTCCTTGTACTTCTCACCCTCAATATCCTACATGAAATTGAATGATCCTCTACTGGGTCTTTCTGATGATTCTTCATGACCAGATTCAGTGATGTTCCCTTAGCGGGAAGAATACAGAAATTGTGCTGTGCCCTTAGTGCCTCCCACCAGGGATCACATTTGCTATCCCTCCCACCCTGGTGACGTAACCATTAATGACCTGGTCTGGTTGGCATCTGCCATCCCTATGCAGCTTTAATTTACACTTTTTACTTTATATTGAATAAGAGATATTCAAGGCAATGTCAGTAAACTGTTCCTCATCACATCTCCACTAACCAGCTTTTTTGTATAACTCCTATCTGAACCATCTAATACTATGATGATTGCCTAATGGCAGCTCTAGACATCCTGTAGTTGACGTCTACTCTAAGGAGTATTCCCTTCTCCTTCACTTTTCTATTTTTTTATTTATCTTCATATCAAAAATACTCTTCACTTATTATATTATCCAATGGGCTCCATTTTGTTACAATCACTTATTTTCATGCTTATGTGCCAGATTTGGCCAGTGGGAGACTTCTAAAGCTCATATTTTTACACAAGAGGTTCTAGGCTCAGACAATTCCAGATGTCATACTGATATTGTCAATTTCATCAAGAAATATGATTCCCTGTCATGGAGCATGTTATGCAGACACCAAGAGTGTTCATACTTATTTATACCTTATGTGTTTCAAAATCCAATCTCATAACCACATCTCTGATGTTCCCTGTCTCTATCTTACTTTCTCCTAATACCTCCATGTCCTCAGATGCTAGCTGGCTGGCTAGCTGCCAACGTGCCTCCATGTGACTACCTCCCCACTTCCTGTTTGAATCCTTGGGAGCTGGCTAATACACCACTAACACACATCTTCTCTGCTCACCTTTTCCCTCACTGCATTGCCTTCTAGGTTGTTCTAACCCTACTACTAAGGTAACCCAGCAACCAAGGCCAACCTCTGTGGCCAAAAGCAGAGGGAAGGAAATAACAGACAGGAAGAGAGAAAAGAAAGAGCAAGGGAAAGATACACATTTTCACTGGAAACAAAATTCTGAGCTGACCATTTTTTTCTTTCCTAATGGTACCCTAAGATTGTACAGCTCAAGGAGCAGAGCCAGGATTTTAAAAATGGGTGAGTCTGATTGCAGTTAGTAAATGTAGAAATTAGAATGAAATTAGAATATCACCATTTGGCAACTACTACAGAAATAGTAAAATTACGTAGTCACAAAAAAAAGAGACAATGAAGAAGACTGACTTACATAAAGAAAATGGTAAGACTCAACATTATGAAGGATGCCTATTCTTCCTAAACTTATCTGTAAATTCAATGCAGTCCCAACTAAAGTCCCTGGAATTTTTCATGAAAAGTTACAAGCTGATTTTAAAGTGTAAATGGAACACTTGTGAAGAACAACATAAAATAACTTGTCTGATTAGATAATTTTTTTTTTTTTTTTTTGAGCCGGAGTTTCACTCTTTGTTGCCTAGGCTGGAGTACAATGGCACAATCTCAGCTCACCACAACCTCCGCCTCCTGGGTCCAACGGATTCTCCTACCTCAGCCTCCTGAGTAGCTGGGATTACAGGCGTGCGCCACCACGCCTAATTTTGTATTTTTAGTAGAGACGGGGTTTCTCCATGTTGGTCAGGCTGGTCTCGAACTTCCGACCTCAGGTGATCCACCCACCTCGGCCTCCCAAAGATACTGACTTTTTATAAAACTATAAGGCAATATAGTACTGGCATAAAAATAAACAGAGCAGAACAGATCAGAATAGAGGACCAGGCGTGGTGGCTCATGCTTGTAATCCCAACACTGTGGGAGGCCAAGTCGGGAGGATCACTTGAGCTCAGGAGTTCCAGACCAGCCTGAGCAACATGGCGAGACCCTATCTCTACAAAAAATATATTTTAAAAAAATTAGCCAGGGATAGTGGCACACACCTGTAGTCCCAACAACTTGGGAGGCTGAGGTGAGAGGATTGCTTGATCCTGGGAGGTCGAGGCTGCAGTGAGCTATGATTGCGCTACTGCACTCCAGCCTGGGTGACAGAGTGAGACTCTGTCTCAAAAAAAAAAAAAAAAAAAGAATAGAGAACTCAAGAACAGAGATACATATGAAAAGTTGATTAAGACAGTCTGGGCTTTAAAGATCAGTGTGGGTGGATGGATGGATGGATGGATGGATGGATGGACAGAAAGATAGGGAAGAGAGAGAGAGAGATGGAAAGTCAGTGTAAGACAGACTGGGCGGGGTGGAGCAAAGATGGCCGAATAGGAACAGCTCCAGTCTATAGCTCCCAGCGTGAGCGACGCAGAAGATGGGTGATTTCTGCATTTCCAATTGAGGTACTGGGTTCATCTCACTGGGAGTGCTGGACAGTGGGTGCAGGACAGTGGGTGCAGCACACCGTGCATGAGCCGAAGCAGGGCGAGGCATCGCCTCACCCAGGAAGTGCAAAGGGTCAGGGAATTCCCTTTTCTAGTCAAAGAAAGGGGTGACAGATGGCACCAGGAAAATCGGGTTGCTCCCACTCTAATACTGCACTTTTCCAATGGGCTTATCAAACGGCACACCAGGAGATTATATCTCGCACCGGGCTTGGAGAGTCCTATGCCCACGGAGCCTCACTCATTGCTAGCACAGAAGTCTGAGATCAAACTGCAAGGCGGCAGCCAGGCTGGGGGAGGGGCGCCTGCCATTTGCTCAGGCTTGACTAGGTAAACAAAGTGGCCAGGAAGCTCAAACTGGGTGGAGCCCACCACAGCTCAAGGAGGCCTGCCTGCCTCTGTAGGCTCCACCTCTGGGGGCAGGGCACAGACAAACAAAAGACAGCAATAACCTCTGCAGACTTAAATGTCCCTGTCTGACAGCTTTGAAGAGAGTAGTGGTTCTCCCAGCACGCAGCTTGAGATCTGAGAACGGGCAGACTGCCTCCTCAAGTCTGTCCCTGACCCCCGAGTAGCCTAACTGGGAGGCACCCCCCAGTAGGGGCGGACTGACACGTCACACGGCCGGGTACTCCTCTGAGACAAAACTTCCAGAATAACGATCAGGCAGTAGCATTTGCGGTTCAACAATATCCGCTGTTCTGCAGCCACTGCTGCTGATACCCAGGCAAACAGGGTCTGGAGTGGACCTCCAGTAAACTCCAACAGACCTGCAGCTGAGGGTCCTGACTGTTAGAAGGAAAACTAACAAACAGAAAGGACATCCACACCAAAAACCCATCTGTATGTCACCATTATCAAAGACCAAAGGTAGATAAAACCACAAAGATGAGGAAAAAAACAGAGCAGAAAAACCGGAAACTCTAAAAATCAGAGCACCTCTCCTCCTCCAAAGGAACGCAGCTCCTTAACAGCAACGGAACAAAGCTGGATGGAGAATGACTTTGACGAGTTGAGAGAAGAAGGCTTCAGAAGATCAAACTACTCCAAGCTAAAGGAGGAAGTTCGAACCAATGACAAAGAAGTTAAAAACTTTGAAAAAAAAATTAGATGAATGGATAACTAGAATAACCAATGCAGAGAAGTCCTTAAAGGAGCTGATGGAGCTGAAAACCACAGCACAAGAACTACCTGACGAATGCGCAAGCCTCAGTAACCGATGCGATCAACTGGAAGAAAGGGTATCAGTGATGGAAGACGAAATGAATGAAATGAAGCATGAAAAGAAGTTTAGAGAAAAAATAATAAAAAGAAATAAACAAAGCCTCCAAGAAATATGGGACTATGTGAAAAGACCAAATCTACATCTGATTGGTGTACCTGAAAGTGATGGGGAGAACGGAACCAAGTTGGAAAACACTCTGCAGGATATTATCCAGGAGAACTTCCCCAATCTAGCAAGGAAGGCCAACATTCAAATTCAGGAAATACAGAGAACACCACAAAGATACTCCTCAAGAAGAGCAACTCCAAGACACATAATTCTCAGATTCACCAAAGTTGAAATGGAGGAAAAAATGTTAAGGGCAGCCAGAGAGAAAGACCGGGTTGCCCACAAAGGGAAGCCCATCAGACTAACCGCTGATCTCTCGGCAGAAATTCTACAAGCCAGAAGAGAGTGGGGGCCGATATTCAACATTCTTAAAGAAAAGAATTTTCAACCCACAATTTCATATCCAGCCAAACTAAGCTTCATAAGTGAAGGAGAAATAAAATACTTTACAGACAAGCAAATGCTAAGAGATTTTGTCACCACCAGGCCTGCCCTAAAAGAGCTCCTGAAGGAAGCACTAAACATGGAAAGGAACAACCAATACCAGCCACTGCAAAAACATGCCAAATTATAAAGACCATCAAGGCTAGGAAGAAACTACATCAACTAACGAGCAAAATAACCAGCTAACATCATAATGACAGGATCAAATTCACACATAACAATACTAACCTTAAATGTAAATGGGCTAAATGCTCCAATTAAAAGGCACAGACTGGCAAATTGGATAAAGGGTCAAGACCCATCAGTGTGCTGTATTCAGGAGACCCATCTCACATGCAGAGACACACATAGGCTCAAAATAAAGGGATGGAGGAAGATCTACCAAGCAAATGGAAAACAAAAAAAGGCAGGGGTTGCAATCCTAGTCTCTGATAAAACAGACTTTAAACTAACAAAGATCAAAAGAGACAAAGAAGGCCATTACATAATGGTAAAGGGATCAATTCAACAAGAAGAGCTAACTATCCTAAATATATATGCACCCAATTCAGGAGCACCAAGATTCATAAAGCAAGTCCTTAGTGACCTACAAAGAGACTTAGACTCCCACACATTAATAATGGGAGACTTTAACACCACACTGTCAACATTAGACAGATCAATGAGACAGTTAACAAGGATATTCAGGAATTGAACTCAGCTCTGCACCAAGCGGACCTAATAGACATCTACAGAACTCTCCACCCCAAATCAACAGAATATACATTCTTTTCAGCACCACACCACACCTGTTCCAAAATTGGCCACATAGTTGGAAGTAAAGCTCTCCTCAGCAAATGTAAAAGAACAGAAATTATAACAAACTCTCTCTCAGACCACAGTGCAATCAAACTAGACCTCAGGATTCAGAAACTCACTCAAAACGGCTCAACTACATGGAAACTGAACAACCTGCTCCTGAATGACTACTGGGTACATAATGAAATGAAGGCAGAAATAAAGATGTTCTTTGAAACCAACAAGAACAAAGACACAACATACCAGAATCTCTGGGACACATTCAAAGCAGTGTGTAGAGGGAAATTTATAGCACTAAATGCCCATGAGAGAAAGCAGGAAAGATCTAAAATTGACACCCTAACATCACAATTAAAAGAACTAGAGAAGCAAGAGCAAACACATTCAACAGCTAGCAGAAGGCAAGAAATAACTAAGATCAGAGCAGAACTGAAGGAAATAGAGACACAAAAAACCCTTCCAAAAACCAATGAATCCAGGAGCTGGTTTTTTGAAAAGATCAACAAAATTGATAGACCGCTAGCAAGACTAATAAAGCAGAAAAGAGAGAAGAATCAAATAGATGCAATAAAAAATGACAAAGGGGATATCACCACTGATCCCACAGAAATACAAACTACCATCAGAGAATACTATAAACATCTCTACACAAATAAACTAGAACATCTAGAAGAAACGGATAAATTCCTCAACACATACACTCTCCCAAGACTAAACCCAGAAGAAGTTGAATCTCTGAATAGACCAACAACAGGCTCTGAAATTGTGGCAATAATCAATAGCTTAACAACCAAAAAAAGTCCAGGACCAGATGGATTCACAGCTGAATTCTACCAGAGGTACAAGGAGGAGTTGGTACCATTCCTTCTGAAACTATTCCAATCAATAGAAAAAGAGGGAATCCTCCCTAACTCATTTTATGAGGCCAGCATCACCCTGATACCAAAGTCTGGCAGAGACACAACAAAAAAAAGAGAATTTTAGACCAATATCCTTGATGAACATTGATGCAAAAATCCTCAATAAAATACTGGCAAACTGAATCCAGCAACACAACAAAAAGTTTATCCACCATGATCAAGTGGGCTTCATCCCTGGGATGCAAGGCTGGTTCAACACACACAAATCAAAAAATGTAATCCAGCATATAAACAGAACCAAAGACAAAAACCACATGATTATCTCAATAGATGCAGAAAAGGCCTTTGACAAAATTCAACAACCCTTCATGCTAAAAACTCTCAATAAATTAGGTGTTGATGGGACGTATCTCAAAATAATAAGAGCTATCTATGACAAACCCACAGCCAATATCATACTGAATGGACAAAAACTGGAAGCATTCCCTTTGAAAACTGGCACAAGACAGGGATGCCCTCTCTCACCACTCCTATTCAACATAGTGTTGGAAGTTCTGGCCAGGGCAATTAGGCAGGAGAAGGAAATAAAGGGCATTCAATTAGGAAAAGAGGAAGTCAAATTGTCCCTGTTTGCAGATGACATGATTGTGTATCTAGAAAACCCCACTGTCTCAGCCCAAAATCTCCTTAAGCTGATAAGCAACTTCAGCAAAGTCTCAGGATACAAAATCAATGTGCAAAAATCACAAGCATTCTTATACACCAATAACAAACAGAGAGCCAAATCATGAGTGAACTCCCATTCACAATTGCTTCAAAGAGAATAAAATACCTAGGAATCCAACTTACCAGGGATATGAAGGACCTCTTCAAGGAGAACTACAAACCACTGCTCAATGAAATAAAAGAGGATACAAACAAATAGAAGAACATTCCATGCTCATGGGTAGGAAGAATCAATATCGTGAAAATGGCCATACTGCTCAAGGTAATTTATAGATTCAATGACATCCCCATCAAGATACCAATGACTTTCTTCACGGAATTGGAAAAAACTACTTTAAAGTTCATATGGAACCAAAAAAGAGCCCGCATAGCCAAGTCAATCCTAAGCCAAAAGAACAAAGCTGGAGGCATCAAGCTACCTGACTTCAAACTATACTACAAGGCTACAGTAATCAAAACAGCATGGTACTGGTACCAAAACAGAGATATAGACCAATGGAACAGAACAGAGCCCTCAGAAATAATGCTGCATATCTGCAACTATCTGATCTTCGACAAACCTGACAAAAACAAGAAATGGGGAAACAATTCCCTATTTAATAAATGGTGCTGGGAAAACTGGCTAGCCATATGGAGAAAGCTGAAACTGGATCCCTTCCTTACACCTTATACAAAAATTAACTCAAGATGGATTAAAGACTTACATGTTAGAACTAAAACCATAAAAACCCTAGAAGAAAATCTAGGCAATACCATTCAGGACATAGGCATGGGCAAGGACTTCATGTCTAAAACACAAAAAGCAATGGCAACAAAAGACAAAATTGACAAATGGGATCTAATTAAACTCAAGAGCTTCTGCACAGCAAAAGAAACTACCATCAGAGTGATCAGGCAACCTACAGAATGGGAGAAAATTTTTGCAACCTACTAATCTGACAAAGGGCTAATATCCAGAATCTACAATGAACTCAAACAAATTTACAAGAAAAAAAAAAACAACCCCATCAAAAAGTGGGCAAAGGATATGAACAGACACTTCTCAAAGGAAGACATTTATGCAGCCAAAAAACACATGAAAAAATGCCCATCATCACTGGCCATCAGAGAATGCAAATCAAAACCACAATGAGATGCCATCTCACACCAGTTAGAATGGCGATCATTAAAAAGTCAGGAAACAACAGGTGCTGGAGAGGATGTGGAGAAATAGGAACATGTTTACACTGTTGGTGGGACTGTAAACTAGTTCAACCACTGTGGAAGTCAGTGTGGCGATTCCTCAGGGATCTAGAACTAGAAATACCATTTGACCCAGCCATCCCATTACTGGGTATATACCCAAAGGATTATAAATCATGCTGCTATAAAGACACATGCACACGTATGTTTATTGCAGCACTGTTCGCAATAGCAAAGACTTGGAACCAACCCAAATGTCCAACAATGATAGACTGGATTAAGAAAATGTGGCACATATACACCATGGAATACTATGCAGCCATAAAAATGATGAGTTCATGTCCTTTGTAGGGACATGGATGAAGCTGGAAACCATCATTCTCAGCAAACTATCGCAAGGACAAAAAAACCAAACACCACATTTTCTCACTCATAGGTGGGAATTGAACAATGAGAACGCATGGACACAGGAAGGGGAATACCACACTCGGGGAACTGTTGTGGGGTGGGGGGAGGGGGGAGGGATAGCATTAGGAGATATACCTAATGCTAAATGATGAGTTAATGGGTGCAGCACACCAACATGGCACATGTATACATATGTAACAAACCTGCACGTTGTGCACATGTACCCTAAAACTTAAAGTATAATAATAATAAAAAAAAGAGAGAGCATTAAGAAAATGAAAAAGCAAGCTGCGATTTGGATAAATATATTTGAAAAACATAATTTATAATGGATTAGTATCCAGAACATGTAAGGAATCAATAAGAAGACAACCCAATAAAAATTGGACAAAAGAAAACAGAGATTTCATAGAAAAAGAAACAGGAATGGACAAAGAAATGTAATTTATGCCTACTATGTGATATTTTATAATCATCTGGTTGGTAAAAATTAAAAAGCTAGACAATTTCAAAAAAAGAAAAAGACAGACTGGGCTTTAAAGATCAGTAGGGAAAGGATTGATTCTTTAATAAAAGGTGCTGGGCTATTTACTCATTATGAAAAAAATTATATCCGTACATAACATAAAATAAAGTCATACTGTAAGAAAAGGACAAAATAACTTCATAAAGCAGTAGAGGGAAAATGTCCTTATGACTTTAGGAGAGCTAAGAACCTCTTAAAACACAAAAAGCATTATCATAAAAGATGGATAAATTCAATGACATTGAAATTAAGAACTTCTGTTCAGCAAAAGACCCAATAGAATAAAAAAAAAAACAGGATAAAACTGTATGTAGACAAACGATTAGTACAGGGAATATATAAATCAATTTGACATCCAATACAGCAGTGTGCAAAGACTCGAATAGGCATTTTACCGAGAGAAAATATTAGTGGCTTCTAAATATATGAAAAGATGCTCAAGCTCATTAATAATCAGAAATGCAAATTAAGGCCACAAGGAAATAATACTCAAATCTCCTGTATTTGCAATACCTAAAAGATAATACCAAGCACAGAAGAGGATGGGGAGCATTGGGGTGACTCATCTATTGATAGTAGAGACATAAACTAATATAAGCACTTTGGAAATGTTTAGTGCTTCTCAAAAAAGTTGAACATGTATATACTCTATGATCCAGCAATTCCATTCTATGTCAATACTCTTAAACAGTGGTTCTCAAATTTTACTGTGCATCAGAGTCACCTGGAGGGTTTGCGAAACACAGATTGCTGGGCTCCTCCCACATAGTTTTGAATTCAGTAAGTCTGGGTAGGGGGCTTGAGAATTTGCATTTCAAAGAAGTTCCAAGGGATGCTGATGCTGCTGGTCTGGGAACCACTCTTCAAGAGCCATTGCTGTAAAAGAAACTTTTGCACTTACATATCAGGACATATACAAGAATATTAATAATGTAGTGCTTTGGTAGTAAAAAAAGAAAAACTGGAAACCCAAATATCCTTTAACAACAGGATGAATAAATTATGGTATAATCATACAATGAGATTTATATAGCTGTGAAGACAAATGAGATCATGGAGAGGTATGCAAGGGCTTCCAAGTTATCAATGATGTTCTAGTTTTTAAGGCAGGTGGATATTTTATGGGTATTCTAGTTATTCCTGAAACCGTATGTACAAATTTTGCATACTTACTTGTTTGTACGCACTGCTTCTCTGTGGCTACCACCTACTGGCCATTTTTCTACTCTCTAGCCCTACACAGAACATGTCAACTCATCTCAGAATTTGAGTAAAAGGGGAACAGTATTTGGGTCCCACATCTCTACTGCCTCAAATGTTTACACATACTACTACCCCCATCTTCCCTAGTTGCTTTCAGCCAATTCTCAAGTTATTTTTATACCCCACAAGCTCCTAATCACTCTTCTATGACTCTAGGCCTCAAAATGACACCCAAAACTAATTTAAGACTCCATATGTGGTATAACAGACAGTACTTCTAATAAAAACTGTCTCTTGCTACCATAGGTTTTTTTGGTGCAGTCCATGAAGAGTGTTCTTGCAAACTATATCAGACTGGTTACTCATACTGACTTTAGCTTATCTACTAAGATTCTTAGTAATATTCATATATGATGTTGAAGCTATACCTGAGAATGTAAGCCTTTTTGGACCAAAAGAATGGACTGAAAATTTTATCTTATTAGACTCAGCCTTTATGACTTCTTAGATAGAGACAGATAGATAGATAGATAGATAGACAGATAGATAGATAAAACTTCTCTCATCAATGCATTTCTACCATCCATTCTCTGAGGAGGCCTCTGCACTCTTTATAAATTTAATGAGTCATCAATGATATTCAAGGCACTGATCAAAAACTGAACAGGACTGGACCAAGAACAAAGATCTGAGCCATTTCACTAGAAGACTTCTCAATTCATCTGTATACATTAATGTATTACAGCCATTCAGTTGTTGTTGCTGTTTGAGACGGAGTCTCGCTCTGTCGCCCATGCTGGAGTGCAGTGGCATGATATCGGCTCACTGCAACCTCCACTTCCCAGGTTCAAGCAATTCTCTGCCTCAGCCTCCCCAGTAGCTGTGATTACAGGTGCCTGCCACCACGCCCAGCTAATTTTTGTATTTTTAGTAGAGACGGAGTTTCACCATCTTGGCCAGGCTGATCTTGAACTCCTGACCTCGTGATCCACCCGCCTTGGACTCCCAAAGTGGTGGGATTACAGGCTGAGCCACCGTGCCAGGCCAATTCAATTGGTTATTAATCCTCACTCACATTTCTCCATTTTACCACAAGGATATTAAGATAAACTGTTATAAAACATGTCACTAGACTCTAAAGAAACTGAGGATTTATCTAACTCTCTCTGGTCCTTCAGCCTAGTAACACTATTAGAACAGTATTGCTCTGTCATCTTGGACCATAGTGAAGACCACCCCTAGGGAATGACAGAATGGGAAAATGGAAGAAAGCTGGTCTCTAGCAACTTTGTGGAGTTGCCATTCCTGCCTGGGGCTGTCTATTGTCGGAATTCTTTTAACTGGGAGAGAAATAAACTGCTTTGTATAAAGAAAAAAATGGGGGTATTACTCCAATAAATTGAAGTGATCCTAAAACAAAGAATACAGGCCTAGGGAGAATAAAGCAGGCCAAACTACGTGGTGTTTTTTTTTTTTTCCAAACAAATTTAATTCTGTTCCAGCCCCAAAGAAGAGGAAGGACCTAAAGTTCAAAAATAAAAATAAAAATTGCTAAAAATAAAAGCCATTACAAAATTAAGCCCCCTCCTTTAGCAATAAATACTGAACTGATATATACATATGAGGCTTAGGAAGGAGGCAACAACAGGAACCTTGGGGACTCTGTCCCATGGCAAGATCCCAAGACTTCTACCAATTCCATGCTCTTTGCTTAAAACATAGAGAGCAGTGGAAGAGACAGGAGAGATATGCCAGAAGAGTATGTGGCCCTGTAGAGAGCTGGAACATGATGAGGACAGAGGAGAGAGAAGAGATACGAAGTGTAATACAGGCAGGGAAAGAGAAAGTCTTCATTTAAAACATTCCTCCCATCCCTGCTGAATCACTGGATGTGGCTGGACCGGCTGTCCAGAGCCTTGTCTCCTCTCCTCCACTCCCTGTTGAGCATGCAAGTCAAAGGTCATTCACACTGTGGTCGCGATGCCACTGTGGCAACAGCCTGGCTGCTGGATCCCTGAGGCTTCCCATTCACCACTAGCAGGAGGGGCGTCTCCACTCGAACACTGGAAAAGGAATAGTCCTAGAAAAGACAGACAGACAAAGGTTCACTACAGATTCCAAGATGGAAAAAGCTCCAGCATGGGGATACACCACTTGCAACTTTCTGCACCACCTCCCCTGTTGTATACCCCCTCTACTTCCATCTCACATCAGACAAAACTGAGCTAACACAGGGGACGAAAATTTCCCAAAGTTTTCAATCTTCAGAAGGAAAACATGGAGCATGTAAGGTCATGTAGTGCCACTACAAGAATGAGACAGCTCTTTGATCCAAAAAAGGCAGGTTCCTGGCATTGCCTAACAAAAGAATGCAACCAACTCTCATAGAATCTGCCTTTTCCCACGGTGTTTCCTGATAATTAACTAGATACACATAGCAGCCGGCCAGAGCCAGTGGGAATCCTGAGAAAATCTCAGTCCAAATGTTTATAAGGTCCTAATTTAATCCACCAAATACAAATTAAAGTTACTTCTCTTTTATATCAAGAGGAGGAAATAGAACATGAAACAGAATGTAGCCGTTTTCCTAATAACAAAAAAGGTATCAGCTCACTGTATCAGTTTAAGTGTATTTTAAGTTGTAAAACATATTAAATAGTCTTCATCCAAAAAATATGGCAATGAGAGGCAGGCTCTTTTAAGTCCAAGTAAAGTAAATTTAAAAGTTCTCATAAACCAATTTTTTTTAAGTCTTCACAGAAATATCAACAAGTGACACAAAAAATGGCAATTTATACAAGAAATATAAATTAATATTCATGCTATATTTTCCATGTAAAATTAGAAAATAACTTTTCAAAGGTTTCCAACCAGAGTTGAGAAAAAAACTACAGAGAAACACTTATTTACATCCACTGTTGGTAGTGACAACTAACTAGTACAATTTTCCAAAGAATTATTTGGCAATATGTATCAAAAGCCTCAGAATTCTGCATACCCTTTGGACCCAGGAGTCTACATTAGAAATTCATTTAAGGAACTAATCATAGATACAAGCAAAGATACAAAAATCCTCACTGTGTTTCTAATTTTTTTTCTATTATAAAAGTACTAATTTAGATCGGAGGTCATCAAAGTATTTCTGCAAAGGGACAGATAGTAAATATTTTAGGCTTTGTAGGTCATATGGTCTCTGTTACAGAACAAGTCACCTCTGACACTATAGTGCAAAAACAGCCACAGACAATAGTAAGCAAATGAGTGTGGCTGTGTTCCAATAAAGCTTTATTTGTGGACACTGAAATCTGAATTTCCTGTAATTTTCACATATCACAAAATATTACGCTTCTGTCCATTTTTTTCACTTAACAACACAGAAACCACACTCTTGTTTTTCTTTTTTTTTTGAGGCAGACTTTCTCTATCACCCGGGCTGGCGTGCAATGGGACAATAATGGCTTACTGCAGCCTCAAACTCCTGAGATAAAGTGGTTCTCTCACTTCAGCCTCCTTAGTAGCTGGGACTACAGGCATGTGCTACCATACCTGGCTAAGTTTTTTAACATTTTTTTGTAGAGACGGGGTCTCACTATATAGCCCAGGCTGGTCTTAAACTCCTGGGCTCAAGTGATCCTCCCACCTTGGCCTTCCAAAGTGCTGGGATTTTACGCATGAGCCACCATGCCCAGCCTAGAAACCATTATTAATAAACACAAGCAGTGAGCCAGATTTGGTCAATGGGCTTTGCCAACCTCTGATCTAAATGGTTAAACAGTAGTTAAATATCTACATTCATAAGGTTTTTTTAAGAATTGAATGGGGCAAGGCAGGTAATAAAAACTCTTAGCACAGTGTCTAGCACTCAATTAAGTGTTAAATAAATGTTAACTATCATTACCATCTTCATCACCCCGTGTCTACTCAATGTGGTGAAATATGTAAAAACATAGGAAACATTCACAAACATTTGCATATAATATCCCACTCATGATTTAAAATATAGATATATGTGTATATATTTGTGAAAAGAAAAGACTTCAGGTATATACACCAAACTGTTAACAGTAACAGTTAAAAGGCAGTAATACCTGAGTGATAATATTTCACTGCATTTTTTTATTTTTCTGCTTACCAGTTTACCTTTTTAGTAAAAAAATACATATATATATATAAATAAAACATATACACACAAATATATATACACATAGCCTACACACATACTTACATATAATTATTTCTATATCTTTTATAAAAAGATAAGCTTGGTTCTACTTTTAGAGCCTACGAGTTGTAAGAGAATCCTAGCCATTGCTCACCTTTCCTTTGTGCTGAATTCGGTGAAGCCGCAGGTTGGGCTCAGGAATGGCTACAGAGTCTCCAATGAGCACTCCCCAGCTCTGCACTATATTGTACACCATCACTGCATAGCAAGGTCCATCTGAATCTACCAGGCCAAATGTACTACCAAGTAAAGACAGATTAGGAGAGAGGAAAACAAAAAGGTATGTGGGTAGGAAAGAAGAGCAGAAACAGTGGTTTAAAAATACTAGCAAAATACTGGACTTAAAGTCAGTGACAGGTAATTAAAATAAAATATAAAATTTAACTTAATTAAACTTTAAAAATAAAATACTAACAAAATAAACAAATGCTTTTTCTCAGTTACTCAGAAAACCTATGAGAGGTACCATCTTCCACTTTATATATCTGAGTCTTCATTTTTCTGAAACTCATCAGTCACTTTGCTAAGAACTTAGGACAAAGCACACTGAAGCCATTCAACAAATATTAATGATGAACTAGACCAACATGTTACAGTTGTAACATTATTCCTGGTCTATCAATTTAACTATCATACTCTTAACCAAAGCCTCTAACCATCACTGTCTGTGTAGTTTAACTCCACAAACTTTCACTGAATATTACATATGTGCCAAGCATTGTGTTTAGCAATAAGATACCAATCCAGCTATGAATGACCTATAGTCTAGCAGGAGTCAGACAATGAAGTCATCACTTACAGCACAGTGTGATGGGTGCTAGAATAGCTTTTCCCTTGTGCTGAATTCAATGAAGCCACAGATTGGGCTGTGGGAGCCCAGAGGACAAATATCTAAATCAAAATTGGAAAGCAGGGAAGATTTCCTGGAAGAGGTGACGCTCAAAGTGAATCTTAAAGGGTAAAAAACCAGCTGGGTTAAAAGAGAAAAATTAATCCTCGGTAAAAATGTTAAAAACCTCTGAGGGGATAGGAACAGAGATTTTGACTTGGAGGCAACATCAGGGAACTTCCCAGAATGGTGGTAATGATCTCTATTTGGGTTATACAGATATTTTCCATTTGTTAAAAGCTATGAAATGTACGCTTAAAATTGTACATTTCATTGTATGTAAATTTTACATAAAAAGAAAAAATTGAAACAAATACTGAACTCAGTTAATGACTGCATGCTAAAGTATGTAAAGTATATTGATCTCTGCAATTTACTCTGATAGCAGGATAAACAGACTGATATGTAATAAGCTAAGTAAAATAAAATATTAATGGTAGAATATAAGTGGATGAGAACACAAATGTTCAATGTAAAACTCTTTCAACTTAGCTATATGTTTGAAAATTTTTATACAAAATGTTGGGGGCAGAAGAGGATGTTAGCTATGTCAAGAAGAAGCTAGAGATTATCCAGGCAGAGTAACTGTATGTAAGACACAGAGGCATGAAAACAGCTGTTCTAAAACCAACAAAATTGTTCCATGGTTGAAACAAAAGGCACTGGTGGGAAAGAGACAAAAGATAATAGAAAGAGAAGCAGGGAGCAAATCATGAAGGACTTTGTATGCTAACCTAAGTAGTTCACACTTTATCCCAAAAGCTACATATAGTACCAGTAAGGGATCTTAAATAAGAAGTAGCAATGGTCAGATTTCCATCTAAGAAACATTTCTCTGGCAGCACTGTGGAACACTGGAGGAAACCAGAGAATCAGGGAGACCTATCTGGAGAAGTGATAAGGGGGTGAATTAAGGTGGTAAACACAGAGAAGTCAAGTCTATAGGACAAAAAAGGCAAATCTTTTTGGAGAATGGAGAAGCCTATTCTTCCAAAAGTCTTAATCAAGTGACTGAGAGGTGATACCATTCATTCACAAGGAATCCAGGGAGGAGAAGCAGGTTTACAGAGAAAGATTTAGGTGAGTAATACTGAAATACTGAGTTAGAGATTTCTTATTGGAACCCAGAAGCAGATGGTTATAGGAATCCAACACTTGGAAATGAAGCTTGGGCTGGAGATATATCTGTAAGCATATAGGAGGCTGCCAAAGCCTTGGGTTTATATGACATCACAGGGCAAGATGATCTATAGACAGGATGGAGAAGAATCACACTCATGCCATCACGTGACATGCCTGAATTCACAGGAAATATTGCAATCAAGCAAAGCACTCTCCTGATGAATCCAGTCAAAGCCTCAGAATCCTTCTACACAGTATGTCAGGCAACCACTGACAAGTGATCAAAGTTGGCAACTATAGGCCATCCTGATATAAAGAGAAAAAAGGAAAAAAACAAAAATAGAGTCCTGGGAACCTAAGATTTAAAAGTTAGGCAGAAAAAGAGAAACCAAGGAGTGGCAAAATATCTATTTGTTCTCAAGGTCCTCCAAAACCTACCTTTGTCTATATCCCTTTCTAATTCTTCTCAGCTCTAGGATTTGCTCTAGTAAACTAAACTGTTCTCAACTATCTTTTTGCCCTTCAACTCGTCAAATATACAAACCCCTAGAAAATGCCATGGAGAAAGCTTGGGCATATAATGGGAATTGTGAATATTTCTGTTTAGATGAACAGAAAGGATGTGAAAAGCAATAGTGAGAGATAAGTCAGAATGTTTTGGAACCATGCAATAGAAGTTGCTGGATCCAGTGCCTAGAAAGACAATGGTGATCCTAGGAAAATAACAATTTCAGTAGAAAAGAGAAAGGGGAAACCGGTCAACCAGGGATTAGGAAGTGAGTGAAGGACCAAGGAGTGGTGGCATTCACTAAACCGTAACTTTTCAAGATCCAAAAATTTTCTAAACAAATATTCTTAATTCATTTCCTCTGCTGCTAGAAGCACCTGCACCTGGGTCCTTTACATTTCTTTTTTCTCACTCCCTATGACACATATATTACACACTCAATAAATATTTGTTGAATGACATCTAAGACAATCTCCCAACCAGACTTTAAATTATAACTCAAAGCTCACTTTTCAGAACTAAGTATACCTAAGTACAAACAGGACTAAGAAATTTGTCCTCCTTCAACTTCTATGATCATGAAAATGCAAAGGGACAGAAGAATTTTGAGGTTTCTGTCTTATAAAAAAATATGTCCTGCCAAATTTCAACTATGGATATAGGAATCCACATAGCACCAAACTCAGGGATACAAAATGGGCAGTGACAGAATCTACAAAAGCCTCTGATCAAAAGATGGTTAAACATCACCCAGACAATATCTGCCCACGGGATAGTCACAGAAGGAAATCAGAAGTCACAAATCTGTGACCACTGACAATCTCCTCAACTGCCAGGGAAAGAACAGGAAGTGAGAGCAATTAGTTCAAAAGGGTAAAATGGGGGAAATCCAAGAGAAACTCACAAGGGGACTTTCTCCTCTGTGGTGAGGCTAAATACCACCTTTCCCAGGATGACGGCACCGCTGTTCACCCCAGGCTGAAGCGTACTCAGTGGCTTGAGCTCCAGGGTCACTTTCTGCCCAGAGGCTGACTGATAGTGCCCATCACTGCAAGGGCCTAGATGGGCTGGGCGCAAGCTTCCCAGCATGCTCTGCAGCTTTTTGGTCTTCACCTTTCCCTGCAAAGAAGGGGAAATAGGTAAGAAGCTGGAAACTAGTCGCCTTCCTTGAGATTCTAATCCTTCCCTCCCACCCACTTCTATAGGGTCTCTACCTCGTAAACCTATTTATTCTTATTTTATTGACCCACGACAAAATAAAAAAAAAAAAAGTGGAATTCAGCCCTTCAGACATTTTTACCTTACTCTCAAGGAGGCTGGTTAATCTATCCAGGAATTCCAGAAGTTGTTGCTCTCGTTGCCGGGGCTCTGGCCAGGCAGGGTCCAGGGCTGCAGCCCGAGAGAAGCCCTCCAGGGCCTCCCCATAACTCTCTTCATATTTATGCAACTGTACAAGAAGTGTATCCCAATTATAAGTATATCCAGACAAACTATCCCGAGGGAATGGCACCATGGGCTAGGAATCTAGAGAAATAAACTGTTTTCCTTCCTGGTTATTTTCCTGTGCTGCAACAAACAGCCTGAAGAGCTGGTAACACCTTACATCCTTCTTCCTAGCCAAGATGATCACAACCCCAAAGATGGAATCATTTCAAAGAAGCTAATTTCCAAACTCTAAAATAGTTAAGTTGTATATATTGGCTCACTTGACCTTTATATTTACTTAACATTTCAGAAGTCTTCTAAAAGATCCCCCCATTCTCTACCTATTCTTCCACCTCCACAGCCCCTTCTCCTTTCCCTCCAGTGACTACACCAGATACTGAAGCCAAACCGAGCTAGCTATTTATAGAAATAGCATGGCTTTCCTCTCGCAGTCTGTACCCAATCTTGTCCCTATGCAAACTCAGTTATCCTCACAAGCTAAGACATAGGTGTCTTATTTATTTGACCCTCAGATGACTACACCCCAAAGGTCTTACCGTCGCCCTGTTCAGATGAAGGTCAGGATTGCTAGAAGCTTTTCTGTCAACTTTCTCCTATAATGGGATGAAAAGATTATCAGTGGATCCTGTCTCAATGTTAAGGACTGACATGCCCAACATGTCCTACGCCTCCTCTTTCTAGAGAAATGGAAGTTTCTTCCTTGCCAAAATGGTATTTATACCACAGAAGCAGTTACCGTATAACAGTGTGGATATCTTAGTCCCAAAACCTTAGGGATATAAGTGTTTTTGTATGTGTGAGACTTCAAAATATTATTATAATTTATCCATGTAGTAGTATTAAGATAGAATAAATCTTTATATAAATGAAATATGTGGGCCGGGCACAGTGGCTCACACCTGTAATCCCAGCACTTTGGAAAGCCAAGGCTGGCAGATCACCTGAGGTCAGGAGCTCAAGACCAGACTGGCCAACCTGGTGAAACACTGTCTCTACTAAAAATACAAAACTTAGCTAGGCATGGTGGCATGCACCTGTAATTCCAGCTACTCAGGAGGCTGAGGTAGAATTGTTTTAACATGGGAGGTGGAGGTTGCAGTGAGCCGAGATTGCACCACTGCACTCGAGCCTGGGTGACAGAGTGAGACTTCATCTCAAAAAAAATAAATAAATGAATGAAATAGGTGAAATCATTTTGATTTTTAAAAATTTAAATAGTGAAGTGCTGGTAATAAATGAAGAAAGGCTAGGATAGAAATGGTGTTCATTTAATGCATTTCCTCTGCCCATAAACCTAGCTCCAGACACATGCGGAATCATGTTTCTACATCCAAGTTCCCTTAAAACACAGATAGAAAACCAAATTCAGACTCTAACTAAAATAGATGGCCAGGAAAAGAATTTTTTTTAAACAGATAAAATAGATGGCCAGACACCACAAGACAGTGCAGACCATGTGCTGTGAAGCAACTGCTGGCTATGTTCATGACTATGCTTATTATATTTTTTTAATTCTCTTCATTACCTGGCGCATTGTAAAAGCACAAACAACATGAATTAAAATTGTTTAAATGGTTGGTTCAGATATGTTTACAAATGCAGGTCTGGGCGAAAAACTTCAGATTAAAAAGAGATGACCAGGCACGGTGGCTCACACTTGTAATCCCAACACTTTGGGAGACCGAGGCGGATGGATCACCTGAGGTCAAGAGTTCAAGACCAGCCTGGCCAACATGGTGAAACCCCGCCTCTACTAAAAATACAAAAATTAGGCGGGCATGGTGTGGCACGTGCCTGTAATACCAGCTACTTGAGAGACTGAGGCAGGAGACTCACTTGAACCTGGGACACGGAGGTTGCAGTGAGCCGAGATCGTGCCACTGCACTCCAGCCTGGGTGGCAGAATGAGACTCCGTCTCAAAAAAAAAAAAAGATTAAAAAGTGACTATTTAGCAGAAGCCAAATATAAAATGTTGAAGGAATATACCACACTATTCTTTAAAATGTAAACATTCACCAAATTAAGAAATTAGAGTAAAATATAATTGCTCTAAAAGTTCCGTGATTGAAAAAGGGCAGTTTAAAGTCAAAGGTAGAGTTGTGGGGAGAGTGGCAGGAGGGGGAGAAAAACCAATTTAAAAGGGCAGTCCCTGAATTGCAAACATGAACATACAGTAACTGTGTTCTTTATTCTACCACAGGGAGCAGAATAAGTAATGATAAGTTAAAAAGCAATTCTCTATATCAAGAGAAGCAAAAGAAGAAAGGTAAATATGAGAGCTAAATAAAAAGTGCTCAGAGGACCAATGTGAAGTCAGAAGCCAATTCTAATAATGAGAAAAAAGGCACTCAAAGTCTGAGGGAAAGCCCTATGCAAATGCCTATCAACATAAAAATGCTTGAAAACCTAAATAAATTTCTTGAAAACCTAAATAACCTAATTCACTTAATTCCTAGGAAATGACACAGAACAAGCTACACATTGTTTTCTCTTTTAGCCCATGGGAAATCCAGAGCCATAATATTACCTAACGGTTAATTTGGGGATAGCACTTAATTTACACTGAAGTATAAGTTTTCATTATTCTTTAAAATGAATGTACAAAAATATTAATAAGTATTATTTTAATAGACTTTTTTCCCATTAAAAAAGATGAACATGTTGAGGCAGCTCTGTGATTTGGTTATATATGTGTGTAAGAAACCCAGACAGGTCAAGGAGCTATCCAGCACCAATGCGACACGATGCAAGTGGTTCCTAACACTCAAGTTATAAGAAGTCAGTCATCTCTGCAGACACATCTTTGCAAAATCACAAAAATGAGATGCCAGCAAACACTGCCACTGCCCATGATGCTTGCTAAAGGGCCACAAAGAAGACTGAACAATGCTCTTGCTTCTGTTGTTGCCTATTCATCTGGCCTGGTGACCATAAGTACTTACTGCTTGGGCATAGGCACTGAGGGCTTGCTGGGAGATCTTAGGGTTCTGGCCAGTAGAGAAGTAAAGGGAAAGATATGAATTCCCAAGAATATCTGAAAGAGAAACACAGTGACAAATCATCTCAGAGTCCAAGTTCAAGATATGACTTATTTTGATCATTCTTGAAAGTATATTTGAAAGGTCCCACAAGAAATCCAAACCAGGAATGACACGATACTTAGTATACCCAAAACTCCACTAGGATAGAGCACCAAGGACACCAAACTGAAGTTTGAACAGACTGTACAAAAGCCCTTCCTTGCTTACGTGAAAACTAGGATCAAAAGATCGAAGAGTTCCTAGAAAAGTAGTTCCCCAAAATGTCTTTCGTGTGTCTTCAAAACAAAGATGCCCTCTCTGGCTTAAACCTCAGAATCACACTCAAAAGAGGGACTGCAAATGTTGCTCTGATTGAAAACATCTGCTCTAGAAACCTGTTGGAGATCTTTTGAGAGCACTCACACCAGGAGCGGCCATCATGGACATCCATCTGAACAGCCAACTTAGCCTGTCGGACACTGTCCATGACATGGTGAGAATGTTCATCTTCAGTGTCAGTCCGCAGCTGACGAAGCACCATTGACAGGTTTTGCAAGGAGACTTTGTTCCTGCACTGCAAATAGGAAGGGCACATACTCAATCTTCCTGATTCTACCTCCCCTTTCCAGATCTATTCTGAACTCAGTCTTCTAAATCTAATTTTTTACCTTTCTAAGTTTTTTGTTTTGTTTTGTTTGAGGTGGAGTCTTGCTCTGTCACCCAGGCTGAAGTGCAATGGCGTGATCTCGGCTCACTGCAACCTTTGCCTCCCGAGTTAAGTCTTTCTCCTGCCTCAGCTTCCCAAGTAGCTGGGACTACAGGTATGCACCACCATGCCCGGCTAATTTTTATATTTTTAGTAGAGACTGAGTTTCACCATGTTGGCCAGGCTGGTCTTGAACTCCTGACCTCAAGTGATCTGCCTGCCTCAGCCTCCCAAAGCGCGGGATTACAGGTGTGAGCCACCACGCCTGGCCGTATTTTTCTTTTTGTGACAGGGTCTCACTCTGATGGAGTGCAGAGGCACGATCTCAGCTCACAGCAACCTCCACCTCCTGGGTTCAAGTGATTCTTGTGCCTTGGCCTCCTGAGTAACTGGGATTACAGGCACATACAACCATGCCCATCTAATTTTTGTATTTTTTGGTAGAGGCAGGGTTTCACCATGTTGGCCAGGCTGGTCTCGAACTCCTGACCTCAAATGATCTCCCCACTTTGGCCTCCCAAAGTGCTGGGATTACAGGCATGAGTCACCACGTCTGGTCCATGTATATATATATATTTTTTTTTTTTTTTTTTTTTTTTGTAGAGACAAGGTCTCACCATGTTGCCTAGGCTGGTCTCAAACTCCTGAGCTCAAGTGATCCTCCTGCCTCGGCCTCTCAAAGTGCTAGGATTACAGGTGTAAGCTACCACACCCAGCCCTAATTTTTTCATCTAAATTCTTGCTGCCATCTGTATCTTCAACCCCCATCCACAGGGATCAGCTTAGCTGCTAGCTTTTCTTCACTTCCTTTCTCCCCCTGAACCTGATCCCATCATCATCTTCCTTTCCCAGGCCCCTGCCTCTATTTTCCTCATTCAGGTCTGCTCTCTGACCTTTCCTCCCTCCTGATTCTGTCCTAGTTCAATTTCAGTTCTACTCTGGTATTCATGTCCTAGGGAAACTCATAGAACCAAAGAAATTCATCCTTCCCATCTCTGCTTTCCAAAGGGATAGGGGGCAGCTCACATGGGTGAGGGCTCCTGAGAAGCAGGTGTGGGCAGCTGCAACATCCCCTTTTTTCCAGTACACCTCACCCAGCTGGTTCCAGGCTTCCACCAGCTCGGGCTCCAGCTTCACAGCCTTTGACAGAAGCTCCTCAGCCTTAGGGCTATAGTCAGGAGTCACATTTAGTGCTTTCCCAGTTAGCATTAGAACTTGTGCCTTGCCCTGGACAGAACCTAAGAGGAAGAAAAAAAGATAAAGTGGGAAAAAAACAAGTTAAAGACCAGGGCACTTTCTCTCAAAAAATAACTACACGTCAGTTTTAGGAATAAAAAGAGTTGGGGAAAATATTTATCAATAAACCATTTATTGAAAGCTCACCATAGGCAGAGTGTATGTTAGCTAATTAGGCAACAAAGAAAGCACTATTTCTAGAGCTTCTGCCATCTGTTTCTTGGGCCCCTATCTACAAGGATCAGCTCGGTTGCTAACTTTCCTAGAGGGGTTTACAATCTAGTGGAGAAGACAAAGCGTAAACATGGAAAATTAAAACCATGAAAAAGAGCATATGGCATTAGCCCAATGAATGGGCTTTAACAAGTGAAGAGAAGATGAGTCAGGACAAATAGTTATCGTTAAAACAAAACAGAGAGAGAGAAGAAAAGACCCTCCAGGTTAGAAAATGATATAAACAAAGACACAGAATCAGAAGTACATGTGGCCATGTTCATGGGAGAATAGACAGTTCAACCTGGATGAAACAGAAAGTTCCTCTACAAGTAATTAGTCAGAGATAAGGTTAGAAAACAGAGTAAAACAATGGACACTTAAATACCAGGTTAAGGGGGTTAGACTTCAGCTAGTCAATAGCAGGAATCTTTAAAGATACCTGAGCAAAAAGGCAGATGAGAGGATAAGGTTAAATGCATGAAGTAATGATTTAGAAAGATAGCCATGGCCATGGTATTATATAAGTGGATTTGAAAGTAAAAGAAATTAGAGGCAGAAAGTCAGATTACTGCAATAGTTCAAGTAAGTATGCTCTTTCATTTCATGCCATTTGCTATAATCAAATTTTAGGAAAAGTGGCTTAGGGAATGAAAGGTTGCACAGGGGCCCTGAGAAGTAGTATTACGTTGTACTACCCTATAGCAGTAACAGATAGGATACCAAAGAGTCAATGAGGAGGGAGCAAAGGTCAATCACATTTCACTGAAGGATGGGGGTTGTACAATCTCTAGGGCTCATACCCACTACTTCTTCCATCTGCTGTAGGGTTTTCTCCATCTCCTTCTGCACATCCTGTTGCTTCCTCCCAGCATCCTCAACACTATGTGTCTCGAAATAGCAGTCTCGAAATGAGTAGAGCTGATCCACGAGTTCCTAAAAAGTATGACAATGGAACCATTAAGTGGAAAGATCACTGGATAGGGAAACTTGAAATTGGCTAGCCATACCAGCTCTTGGTCTAGAAATACCAATTCTCTTTCTCACCTATGAATGGCACAATAGGCAGGTGGACAGGTTTACTAAAATGCCACAAATCATGAGGAAAAGCAGCCAGTACCCCAGGCCAGCTCTCATGGTCCCATGTTGTCCCATGCCAGTGTCTCTATTGTGATGACCATTTTCTCTCCCTGCCTCAGCAGGGCTTCTAATATGACTAAGCACTTCACATACCACAGTCATGAGGAGGGAAACACTGCAACTTAAGATAAACCAAAAGTTAGTAAGATCATTCTATATGGTCCTGGTCCTCAAAGAATAACACTTTGAAATTTACCCTTAAAGTTGGACTTCTCAACTAAAACCATTTTATCCCTGATTTTTCATATGCTGAGATCTGAAAATACAACACAACCTTTGTGAATATAATAAACATGTTAGAGAGTCATTGTTTTCCACCACAAACATACCAATTTGAACTTGGTAACTTTGGTATCTTTGCAGCATTTTGTTCTTTTAAATGCTTATTGTGGTTTTGTTTAGTTTGATTTTTTTGTCAAGTCATCTTCTGGCTGCCTTGGATTTTTTACAAATAAATATTCTCTTTCCTCTTAAATGCCTCTGAGTCTTCCTGTCACACCAGGCAAAGCTTTTCTACTACAGGTCAAGCATCCCTAATGCAAAAATCTGAAATCCTCCAAAATCTGAAACTTTTGAAACGCTGACACCACAAGTAGAAAATTCCACACCTGACACACAGTCAAAATGCGGTCAAAACGTTGTTTCAGGCACAAAATTATTAAAAATATTGTATCAAATTACTTTCAGCCTATGTGTATAAAGTGTAAATGAAACAATTTTTTTTTTTTCTTTTTTAAAAGACAGGGTCACCAGGCGTGGTGGCTCATGCCTGTAATCCTAGCACTTTGGTAGTCCAAGGCAGACGGATCATGAAGAGATCGAAACCATCCTGGCCATCATGGTGAAACCCGGTCTCTACTAAAAATACAAAAATTAGCCAGGCATGGTGGCGCACACCTGTAGTCCCACCTACTCGGGAGGCTGAGGCAGGAGAATCGCTTGAACCTGGGAGGCAGAGGTTGCAGTGAGCCAAGATCATGCCACTGCCCTCCAGCCTGGCAACAGAGCAAGACTCCGTCTCAAAAAAAAAAAAAAAAGAGTCTCGTAGGTTGCCCAGGCTGGTCTCAAACTCCTGATTTCAAGCAATGCTCCCACCTCAGCCTCCCAAAGTGCTGGGACTACAGGCATAAGCCACCAAGTTTCATATTTAGATTTGGGTCCCATCCCCAAGTTATCTCATTATGTATATGCAGATATTCCAAAATTCAAAAAAATCCAAAATCCAAAAAACTTCGAGTCCTAAGCATTTCAGATAACAGATATCCTATTCTTTCCTGAAACTAAATAGATAGCAGCAGAAAGATATAATCACTTCCCTTCGAGTGTAATCAACAATCTTCACAACACATCCTGAATTCATCCACCTGTCTCCATCCCACTATGACCATTCCTGGATTACATCAGCTTCATTACTTGCCTGGACTGCAAGAGCTTCTTAACCAGTCATCTTGTTTCTGTTCTCTCCCATTCTCCTCACTGTAGTGGGAGTGATCTTATAAAAAACGTACATCATATCACAAACCTTCAAATAGTTTCCCATTGCAGACAGAATAAAATCCAAGTCCTTATCATGACCTAGAAGACTGTATGAGCTGACCTACCACCACCCATCCTGACACAAACTTCACCTCTCACCATTCTCTCTCCTACAATACTCAAGCCAGAGTTGCCTTCATGCAGTTTCTCAAACCCATCAAGCTCAGCCCACCTGGAAGACCTTATGCCTGGACACTTTCTCCAGATCTCTGCATAACTTATTCCTCATCATCATTTAGATCTTAGGTCAAATATCAATTCCAGAAAGGTTTTCCCTAATTACTCAACCCAAATGAATCCATTCCTTCTCTCCTCTACTGTTATATCATACTCTTATTTTTCTTCATACTTATTTAAAATCATGTGGCCTATCATTAATTGTCTATTGTCTGCCTCCACCACTGAAATGTAAGCTCCAGGATGGAAAGGCCTTTAATCTGTTTTGTTTCGAGCTACACCTGAGCACCAGAACGGGACTTGGGACATGATAGGCTCTAATTCACTACACTTGATTGAATTAACTAACTAACTATCCCTGTTCTAACAAATACATATGTGCTATACTTAATTTAAAATCCTATCCAGAATGAAGGGAACAGACTAGCACCCTCTGCAAATTTTATTGTATTATATCCAAGACCCAGCCTGCAGAGACTCTGATTTTAACAGTTTAGCAGAACTCAAAATTCTACATTTTTAACAGGCACCCCAGATGACTGTAATGAAACTGTCTGTAAAACACACTTTGAGAAATATCCATTTATACACTCTTTTTACACTAAAATGTCTTTAACAATGAAATCAAAGTTTACCACCATCTCCATGAACAGCAACACCATTATCTAATCCTTTTCCTCTTCTCTACTTCACTCCTTTATTCCATTCCTGCACCGACCCCACCCCAAGATAACGGAAGTATCCTCTCCCAAGCTGCTTAGGACATTTACCACAAATGAACCTAGGAAAAGACAATTCTCATAAAAAATTACAACCAATTTCCTTTTGTCCTGCAATCAACATGGCTGCAAATTAAGAGTTTTAGAGAAGGGCTTATTGATTGGTTTTAGTTGTTAAACCAAACATTCAAGAAGTTGTTTGGTTTTATTGTTTGGTTTTGTTTTCCTCTGGACTGAATGTTTTTAGAAACTTATTTTTTCATGGCAAAATCAATACATGTAAGTTGTTAAAATTCAAATAGATACATGTAAAAAAAAGAAAGTACAAAATTACCCCAAAGAACCTCAGTGATAACCACTGATTTGTATACCTTTTCAGATTTTTTTCTGTGCATATACAAACATATATACACAAATAATGTTTCTAATATAGAACCAGAATTGAGAATCTCTGATTTCAGCCAGTCACAGTTAGGGAATAAAATGAAGTTAATCCAAATCAGCTGGAACACTCTAAAAAGTGTTACTATTTTAATGTACCCAAGAACAAAGAAATTTCACCAGTATTTAAATTTGTGCGTTAAACACCTTTAGGCAAGTTACAAGCCTGTCATAGTTCTAATATTTAAGTTACAGGCTGCCTTAGAACGAAGAACTGAGTTCCTGAGGTGTAAGGAAAATCATGGGTTCTTAAAGGCAAAGAGCCAAGCAACTAGTTAACGCCTCCCTACCAAGTCCAAAAGACTAGTCTTACCTGTGGACTATGTGGAGTCTGGACCCCTCTGCATCAGACCCCAAAGTGGAATTACACAGGTTGAAAGAAATCAAAACTGAAATCCTAAGGGGAGTAACCAGGACACTTGCAGTGCAGGTCATTAGCGTGATTGTTGCCAAATTCAAAGCAGAAAGGTGTTAAATGGCTTTTGTAGGGATCAAAACAACATGTGACAGTAGTTCATGCAGATCTGCCACACACATGTATATGCTATTCGCTATGGATGAATCGAGAAAACAACGTCCTCTCTAAAAATGTACATGAACAGTTAGGAGCAACAAATCTTCTTCCATACAGGACTGAAATTAACCGCAGTCAGGTCGGCAGCAGGAGGTTCCAACGAGGCTCCCTGGCTGGCTGCGGCTGCACCCTCGAGGGTTGTTATAGTAACCACACAGACGCACGCAGCTTCGCGTGTGTGCCGAGGAATTCACGGGCAGTACATAAACTGGACTCCCTGCTTCATTCGGAGTAACAAAAACACATACAGAATTTAATCTACGGCCCCACCTGCAATTTCTGCAAGATCGGCTTGACTTCTTCCTCTTCATCAGCCATCATCTCCCGGCCACTCCACCCCCAACTTTATAACCACAGAGACGCACGCCCTCTCTCACCGCGGAACCACAGCGACATCTGGCGTTCTGGAGGCTTTTCTGCCCCAGAAGGGCTTTGCTTCAAACCGACTTAACCATTTATTTCCACAGAGATGCTCTACAATCACTTGTGAGTTCATAAACTTCTTTCTTTCCCAGATCCTGGAAACAAAATGTCCTCAGCTTAATTTCTATATTCTTGTTTCATGTCTTCCTACTTATTTATACTAAGATTATAATACTCCATAAAGAAGAGAGTTTAAGAAGTGCACACCTGTGTTGTTTGAAATTTCGAAAGCCATGTAGTACAATAGCTACTTTACTCAATCTTTTCCAAACTTTGCAGTAATTTTCTATGTATGATTAATTTTATCATTTTAATGCACTATCTTAATAAATACTACACTTGGGATGGCTCATAAAAACCACCATGCTCTACACTAACAATGCCTCCATATTTATAGACAACATCCAGAAGGATATATAAGAAAGGATGACTGTCTCTGCAGAGGGAAACACAGAAACTGGGGAACTGTGGGTGAGCGAAGAAAATTTTCACTGCCTGCCCTTTTGAATTTTCTTGCCATCTATATGTATCACCTATTCAAATATAAACATTTTTAAATAAAAAATTATTTGCTTCTACATAGTCTCTGGAAAGAGACACAAGACACTGGCAAGACTATCGCTTACAAAGAGCAGAAGTGAGTGGCTGGAGCAAAAATGAGTGACCAGGGAACTGGGGTAGACTTTTCACTCTATGCCTTTTTTGTAACTTTAAAGTTTGTACCTTGTGAATATATTAAACTTCTGAATAAATCTTTTAAAGTGTCATGTAATATTCCTGGCAGTTTTGCTTTACTTTTTTAGTTTTAATTACAGCTTCAAGCTGATTCTGTGAAACTAACAAAGAAGTAAAACGTTCAAGGCAGAAATCATGAATATACATAAAATCATTTCCTCAAATCATTTTCCAACATAAAGGAAATAGTTTGTATTGTAACCTATAAAATCTATGTCGTTAGCTGTAAAATAGGGAGGGATGTTTTAAAAATTTTTTTTTGAGATGGAGTCTCACTGTGTAGCCCAGGCTGGAGTGCAATGGCGCCATCTCGGCTCACTGCAACCTCGGCCTCCCAGGTTCAAGCGATTCTCCCGCCTCAGCCTCCCGAGTAGCTGGGGCTACAGGTGCATACCACCACGCCCGGCTAATTTTTTGTATTTTTAGTAGAGACGGGATTTCACCGTGTTAGCCAGGATGGTCTCGATCTCCTGACCTCATGATTCACCCGCCTCAGCTTCCCAAAGTGCTAGGATTACAGGCGTGAGCCACCACACCCGGCCCTAAAACTTTAAAATTTTTCATCCTCTTTCTCAGACATTTTAACTTTGGTGCACACGAGGCTGGGCACGGTGGCTCACACCTGTAATCCCAGCACTTTGGGAGGCCAAGGCGGGCAGATCACTTGAGGTCAGTTCAAGACAAGCCTGGCCAATGTGGTAAAACCCCATCTCTACTAAAGATACAAAAATTAGCCAGGTGTGGTGGCATGCACCTGTAATCCCAGCTACTTGGGAGGCCAAGACAGGAGAACCACTTGAACCCAGGAGGCAGAGGTTGCAGTGAGCCAAGATGCTGCCACTGCACTCCAGCCTGGGCAACACAGCAAGACTCCATCTCAAAAAAACAGTAATAAATAATTTTGGTGCACATTAAGAATAATTTTTAAGAGATTTTATACTCTATATTCCTAGTGAAGGAAACACTACTTGCTTTTCAATTATGTAAAGCAGGGGTATTTAATTGCCTTTCTACAATGACTAAATATATCTTCAAATGATTTCAGTATAATTTTTATTACCTAAAAAACAATGGGATTTGACATTTAGGGTAATTCCATTGTTAACACATCTTAAACCATTAAGAATCAATCCTAAAATTTAAGAGTTAGAAAAGGCTGTAAGGATAACTTAATTCAGTCCTTCATTTTACAGATACAGAGACTAAGTCCAAGAAAGTTCAAACTAAGTAGAAACCAGAACCCAGATCTTCTGCCTCTCCAGCCAGTATGCTTTCAAATCTTTCCTCTAACAGGACATAAAGTTACTGAGAATGTCCTTCAAATTTCTATCATGGCTCTACATTTTAAATAAATAAATGCATAAACAATTTAATTCCCATAATAATAGTCAGAAATACTCACTAAATAAAGGAAAACAATAAATAAATCTTTTATTTTAATACAATCTCGAGATCAATAACACATTGGTAAACTTTCTGCAGAAGTGCATTCCTAAATAAGTAAACCCAAGGCAATAGTTGACAAAAAGGTAAAGAAGTAGCTTTATTTTAAAATACAGTCTTCCTTTGGTATCTTTGGGGGATTGGTTCCAGGAACCCTCATGGATACCAAAATCCTTGGATGTTCATGTCACTTTTATAAAATGGCATGGTATTTGCATATAACCTACAGATTCTCCCAAATACTTTAAATCACCTCTAAATTATTTATAATACCTACAATGTAAATGCTATCCAAATAGTTGTTATATAGTATTGGTTTTTAATTTGTATTTTTTTATATTATTTTTTCTCAAATATTTTTGATATATGGTTGGCTGAATCTGCAGAAGCAGAACCTATGGATACAGAGCACCGACTGTAAATGCCAAAAAAATTAACTTTAAAAAATAACTTCATCAACGTGAGTTATTTTTAAATACAAATAGGGACTGAACATACATGCATCAAATTGTACTCTCGTTCACTGACATAAGCACACCTCCAAACAATACGAAGGTAAATACATAAATATATACAAATAAATACACACACCCAAATAACAAGCTACACATCACCCACCATTTTCCAAGACCAAAATTTTCACATAAACATACTGGCAAATACAGCAAAATATCAGTGTACATTAACATACTTACATATACAGATATGCATAAATACCAGAATTCAAAGCAACATGTAGCATATAACACAGGTACTTAAGGCATAAACACCACAGCTCAGTGAGAAACAGCACAGGGAGAAAGAGTTATCTATTGAAACAAATACTATTGTGACCTTCTCACACTAGGGATGAAAATTCAGCAGTTCACAATGGAATTGAGACTAATAAAATGCTTATGCTTTAAATAATAGAAACAAAGAAACCAGACTCTAAACCACTCCCCACTGCCAATGAGTTTGTTATGTTGATAATGTGAAAACAACTTCAGAGACTTAAAAGCACAGAGAAGCTGGGGAGTCCTATCTAGAAAAAAGATTTGCTACCCTGCCCCTGCCCCTGCCTCTGCCTCTGCCTCTCCCTCTCCCTCTCCCCTCTCCCCTCTCCCCTCTCCCCTCTCCCCTCTCCCTCTCGGTCTCCCTCTCCCTCTCTTTCCACTGTCTCCCTCTGATGCCGAGCCGAAACTGGACTGTACTGCTGCCATCTCGGTTCACTGCAACCTCCCTGCCTGATTCTCCTGCCTCAGCCTGCCGAGGGCCTGCGATTGCAGGCGCGCGCCACCACGCCTGACTGGTTTTCGTACTTTTTTGGTGGAGACGGGGTTTCACTGTGTTGGCCGGGCTGGTCTCCAGCTCCTAACCGCGAGTGATCCGCCAGCCTTGGCCTCCCGAGGTGCCGGGATTGCAGACGGAGTCTGGTTCACTCAGTGCTCAATGGTGCCCAGGCTGGAGTGCAGTGGCATGATCTCAGCTCGCTACAACCTCCATCTCCCAGCCGCCTGCCTTGGCCTCCCAAAGTGCCGAGATTGCAGCCTCTGCCCGGCCGCCACCCCGTCTGGGAAGTGAGGAGCGTCTCTGCCTGGCCGCCCATCGTCTGGGACGTGAGGAGCCCCTCTGCCTGGCTGCCCAGTCTGGAAAGTGAGGAGCGTCTCTGACCGGCCGCCATCCCATCTAGGAAGTGAGGAGCGCCTCTTCCTGGCAGCCATCCCGTCTGGGAAGTGAGGAGCGTCTCTGCCCGGCCGCCCATCGTCTGAGATGTGGGGAGCGCCTCTGCCCCGCCGCCCCGTCTGGGAGGTGAGGAGCGTCTCTGCCCAGCCGCCCCGTCTGAGAAGTGAGGAGACCCTCCGCCCAGCATCCGCCCCATCTGAGAAGTGAGGAGCCCCTCCGCCCGGCAGCCACCCCGTCTGGGAAGTGAGGAGCGTCTCCGCCCGGCAGCCGCCCCGTCCGGGAGGGAGGTGGGGGAGTCAGCCCCCCACCCGGCCAGACGCCCCGTCCGGGAGGTGAGGGGCGCCTCTGCCCAGCCGCCCCTACTGGGAAGTGAGGAGCCCCTCTGCCTGGCCAGCCACCCCGTCCAGGAGGGAGGTGGGGGAGTCAGCCCCCCGCCCGGCCAGCCGCCCCGTCCGGGAGGGAGGTGGGGGGGTCAGCCCCCCACCCGGCCAGCCGCCCCGTCCGGGAGGTGAGGGGCGCCTCTGCCCGGCCGCCCCTACTGGGAAGTGAGGAGCCCCTCTGCCCAGCCAGCCGCCCCGTCCGGGAGGGAGGTGGGGGGGTCAGCCCCCCGCCCGGCCAGCTGCCCCGTCCAGGAGGTGAGGGGCGCCTCTGCCCAGCCGCCCCTACTGGGAAGTGAGGAGCCCCTCTGCCCAGCCAGCCGCCCCGTCCGGGAGGGAGGTGGGGGGGCCAGCCCCCCGCCCGGCCAGCCGCCCCGTCCGGGAGGGAGGTGGGGGGGTCAGCCCCCCGCCCGGCCAGCCGCCCCGTCCGGGAGGTGAGGGGCGACTCTGCCCGGCCACCCCTACTAGGAAGTGAGGAGCCCCTCTGCCCAGCCACCACCTCGTCTGGGAGGTGTACCCAACAGCTCTTTGAGAACGGGCCGGGATGACAATGGCGGTTTTGTGGAATAGAAAGGGGGGAAATGTGGGGAAAAGATAGAGAAATCGGATGGTTGCCGTGTCTGTGTAGAAAGAAGTAGACATGGGAGACTTTTCATTTTGTTCTGTACTAAGATAAATTCTTCTGCCTTGGGATCCTGTTGATCGGTGACCTTACCCCCAACCCTGTGCCCTCTGAAACATGTGCTGTGTCCACTCAGGGTTAAATGGATTAAGGGCGGTGCAAGATGTGCTTTGTTAAACAGATGCTTGAAGGCAGCATGCTCGTTAAGAATCATCACCACTCCCTAATCTCAAGTACCCAGGGACACAAACACTGCGGAAGGCTGCAGGGTCCTCTGCCTAGGAAAACCAGAGACCTTTGTTCACTTGTTTATCTGCCAACCTTCCCTCCACTATTGTCCTATGACCCTGCCAAATCCCCCTCTGCGAGAAACACCCAAGAATGATCAATAAAAAAAATAAAAATTAAAAAAAAAAGTTAAAAAAAAAAAAAAAAAGAAAAAAGATTTGCTAAATGAAATCACTAAAGATGAACATAGAAACAGTCTGTAAAGTTAGCTAAATTATCTTTATTTTTTTTTAGAAACAGGGTCTCACTCTGTTGCCCAGGCTGGAGTGCAGTGGCATGATCTTAGATCACTAAAGCCTCAGACTCCTGGGCTCAAGTGATCCTCCCAGCCTCAACCTCCTAAGTAGCTGGGATCACAGGTGCGTGACACTATGCGTGGCTCAAATTCTTTTTACTTTGAAGGCCCTGCTAGAAACTTGCTGCTGCTCTAATTCACGACTTGGAGAGACAAAACTAAAAAAGCTGTTGCTGGGTTCAGGTGCTGTGGGAGAACCCGCAAAAAATGGTCTGAACTGAAAATCTCCATCTCCATCGCCCCGATTTCGAACAGGTGTATTATCCAAAGGAAACTTGGAGTTGTTACCTAGGGCAGAAAAAAAGGAAAAACATAATTTTATTCATTTGTTATCTATATAATCTACTTCAGAGGAATCATCAAATATATATATATGAATATATATTTTTTCTCCAATATTTGTCTTAGAAAAAAACAGACATATAAAATCTTTTACCCCAGGTTAAGAATTTTTTTAAAAAAACATTGCAATAAACATTCTAGAAAAAATATAACTGAAATATTGGCATATACCATGACCCAATATCAATTAGCATAGGCTTAAGACAAGCAGATAATAGATCTGATTAAATTAACATTTAACTACTTCCACTGAACCCTTCCTTGGCTTTTACAGGTTTTAAAGGACCAAATAACTAAAGGAAAATGCTGACTATATATCCTTCAAGCTAACAGTGGCAGCAGGACATAAAAAGGTTAACTGTGTACAAAAAGAGGAATGGGAAAGAACTGGTGAATATGAAAAAAATAAGACAAATGTGGACAGTGACAAAAAAATAAGTATATCTATAATGCCCATTTACAGTAACTCTGATTGACTAAATTACATTATATAAGTAAAACTGAAAGTTAAGCAGAAATTTAGGTTTTTATTCTTATATCTGATATTCCTCATCTCATCACCTCAAACCTGCCCCCCACCTTTTTTTTTTGTAGAGACAGGGTCTCACTATATTGCCCAGGCTGGTCTCAAACTCCTGGGCTCAAGTGATTCTCCCACCTCAATCTCCCAAAGTGCTGGGCCGCACCTGACCACCTCATACTTTTTATAAGACATCAGCTCCTCCCCTATTAAATCTTTTTCCTCAGCCTATAGTAAATATCCAAAAATGAGTATTAGGAAAGTCCAGCACAAGAGGCTTCACTTTTTTGTATGCCAAAAACAATTTCCATTAATAGCATAGCAAAAATCTATTAGATTTTGTTGCATAAAGAGTAGTATAAAGGAGAGAGCTCAGGAAGATATGAGATTCATTCCGTCTGCAAGGCACCTAACAAGCAGAAAAGAGATGGCATCATACTAGATTGTGATTTAAAGAAAGAACCCTATTTGGATAACCTTTATATCCTCATTAGTTAGGATCATACCTAACAAGCTGGTACATAAAACATATTTGCTAAATATTTGATAAATGGAAAAATGATTAGACAAAAGAACAAAACAACCAAACTGACAACTTAAGAACTGTACAATCAGTATTGGCAGGTGAAAAAAATTGAAACATGGCCTTCTTGGAGGATAGCAAATGGTTAAGAGTATAGGCTCTGAAAACAGGTTAGTGATATTGACCAAATTACTTAACTTTCTGTGCCTCAGCTTTCTCATCTGTATAAAAGAAGGATAATAATACTTACTTCATAAGGTTTTGTAAATTATATGAATTTATATAAAACACAACAGTGCCTAGCACTTAGGAATCAATAAATGACAGCTAATATTATTATTACTACAACTACATAGCTTTTAACTTAATGTAGCAATGTGCAAACTTTCATTTTGCAGAGATTAACTGCTCAAATTAAAGCTTTAATTTAAATGTAAGCAAATACAATAGATAAAAGCAATGATGTACAGGTTGAAACATGGGTGAAGAATTCAGAGCCTACCACAACTCAATGCTTGTCTTATCCTTATCGTCTCGACTGAATGCTTGGAAGTGGGCAGAGCAGTATAAAAAATCATTGATTTAAAGAACAGACACTTGATACATGTCCTTTCTTACCTAATGGGAAGCCAAGAACACCAGACTGTGCAATCATGGATGGTTCAAGGGTGCCTTCATGGTTAGCAATAGTGATGTTTCGTAGCCTAAGGCTATCATAGAGGCCTTGGAGCTTTTGATACTGACGATTGCGCTCCATAAGTTTCTCAGAGATGTCACTGAACTTTTTCTTGTATTCTTCTAGTACTTTCTTCATGGAGGTAACCTCCCCTTTCATAGAGGTCAATTCTACATCCTTGCTTTGTATTTGCTGAGTATATATCTTCTCCATCTGTTTCAGATGGCCCTCAGCCTTGCTGAAATTGTATTCTTGATAGAGACGTTCCTGATGTACCTGGTTCCAAAAGAAAAAAGATTTTTAAGGTATTGGGTACAAAGTTATATATTGTAAAATGTTATACAAACACAAAAGGAAAAGAAAGATGCTTATATAGGGATGTTATTTTATCATTTAGAACCCAGTTTAAGAAGCAATCAGGATACACAATGAGGCACAGAAAACAATAAGTTATGTTACTAAATGCATAGAAAAAAAGTCTGGAAGAATACTCTCAAACCACTAACTTTATACCACCAAAAGAACTGAGTATTTGTCTTAACAAGTGACATGTTTTCCAAAGGTTTTTAAGAAATATAATCCCATTTTTCAAGTAATCCAGAGCATGAAGAATAGACTCTAAGACAACCACAAATTATCGTCTCCTGGTACATACACCCTTGTGTAACTCCCTATCCCCTTGCACGTGGGCAGGACCTGTGACTAGAATACTACAGAAAATGTGACAGGTTGTCACTTCATAAGTATATTACCTAAGACTATAAGGTCTGTCTTACTAGGAGACACACTCCCTTGCTGGCTTTGAGGAAGCAAGCAGTCATGTCAGGAAGGCCCAAGAGACAAGTAACTAAGAACAGCCTCTGGCCAATAGCCAGCAAAAAATTGAGGACCCAATGAATCTAGACAGATCTTATACTTTTCACAAAAATAAACTCAAAATGGTTCACAGACTTAAACATAAAATGCAAAACTATGAAACTCCCAGAAGATAACATAGGGTAAAATCCAGGTGGATCTTGGATTTGGCAGTGACTTTTAAAATACACCAAAGGTATAATCCGTGAAAGAGAAAATTGATAAGCAGGACTTCATTAAACTTAAAAATCTCTGCTCTGTGAAAGACCCTGTAAGAGAATAAAAAGACAAGCCACAGATCAGGAGAGTATATTTGCAAAAGATAGCTCTGATAAAGGATCAAAGAATACTTCAAACTCAACAGTAAGGATAAAAAGAACACTTAAAACTCAACAATAAGAAAACAATTTAAAAATAGACCAAGAACTCGGCCGGGCGCGGTGGCTCATGCCTGTAATCCCAGCACTTTGGGAGGCAGAGGTGGGCGGATCATGAGGTCAGGAGATCGAGACCATCCTGGCTAACACGGTGAAACCCCGCCTCTACTAAAAATACAAAAAATTAGCCGGGCGTGGTGGCGGGCGCCTGTAGTCCCAGCTACTCGGGAGGCTGAGGCAGGAGAATGGCGTGAACCCGGGAGGCAGAGCTTGCAGTGAGCTGAGATCGCGCCACTGCACTCCAGCCTGGACAACAAAGCGAGACTCCGTCTCAAAAAAAAAAAAAAAAAAAGACCAAGAACTTCATATACACCTCACCAAAAAAAAAAAAAAAAAAAAAAAAAAAAGGCAAAAAAGCATATGAAAAGATGCTCCACATCATATGTCATCAGAGACATGCAAATTAAAATGAGACACCACTATACACCTATTAAAATGGCCAAGACCCAGAACATGGACAATACCAACTTCTGGCAAAGATGTGGAGCAACAGGAATTCTCATTCATTGCTGCTGGCAATATAAAATGGTATAGCCACTTTGGAAGACAATTTGGCAGTTGCTTACAAAAATAAACATACTCTCACCACATAAGCCAGCAAAAACACTATTTGGTATTTAACCAAAGGAGTTGAAAAATAGAGGAGCATGTAAGAGAAACAACTTACCCAGAAAAATATAATAAAAAGTTACTTGACAGATGACAAACATCCTTAAGAAGTATAAGTGTATATGTAAGATATAACAATACATTCAAGGACATGCTTAAAGTCATCCACAGGGAGGTCTTTCAAAGGAAATACTAAAAGTAGAAATCATAAAGGGAAAAAGTTAAGGATGCGTATTTGATAAGAATGCTTATCATAGCATTTTAATAACTTGGAAATAAATTATGATACAATATAACCATTAAAATATGATTATAGAATAGTTAACTAAAAAATATTTAACAAGATATTCATACCAAGTGAAGCACAGGCTACTCAGGAGGCTGAGGCGGGAGAATGGCTTGAACCCAGGAGTTAGAGACTAGCCTGGGCAACACAAGAAAACCCCGTCTCAAAAGGAAGAAAAATTCATACCAGATATAATATACTGTCAACTCTTAACAATAAAAGTGTGTGTGTTATCTTACTTTTATACAGAAGAGAGAGAGAGTGTGTGAGTGTGTGTGTGTGTATACCCAAAATATAAACAATGGTTATCTCTGAGTGATGGAATTATGAGTGCTTTAATTTTCTTCCTTTTGATTTTCAACAATAAACAGTATTGCTTTTGAAAACAATTTAATAAAAAGAGTTTCTCATATACTCATAAAAAATTAATAATAATACAATGAAGGAAAGACACTAGAAGTTCCCACAAATGCCATAAATCACATGCTCAAGAGAAACTAGACTAAGCACTAACCTGATATGTCCAGAAGGCCAGCGCTCGGGAGCTAATGTCCAACACGATCTCTGGTCGCAGTCCTGCCAATACCATAGCTTTATATTCCTCTGATGGACTGAGTTCTGTGCGGACAATATCTAGCTTTCCAGAAAGGGTACTGTTGCAGGCAGGACAGATAGCTGGTGAGCGACTAAACTCACCACTGCCATGCTGATCACAGAAGATGTGAGAGCAGGCAGTGACCCATGCATAGCCAGAGAGTTTGATGCGACACTTTCGATAATTACAAAGCAGCATGTCTTCACACAAAGACATAATAGGATAGTGAGGTCTCCAGAAGCTGAAGAGAGGCCTAAGAAGGGGTAAATAAAAAGGCCAAGTAAGTTAAATTGCAATGAAAATAAAAGTAAAAAAGAAATATAACATGCACGTTTTTATCATAAAATACTGCACATTTTATTATATTCCTTGTATTTATTATAATTGATATATTGATTTCAGTTACTCAATAATATTAATTGTGCTCGTTTGTCCGGTTTTCTAAAAACGCTTTAAGGACAAAGGTAAAGACAAAGGTGGTTACAGATCTTGCTAACGTCAAAAATAATATATACGTGGGCCAGGCTCAGTGGCTCAAGCGTACAATCCCAGCACTTTGGGAAGCCAAGGCAGGCGGGGTCCCTTCAGGTCAGGAGTTCCAGACCAGCCTGGCCAACATGGTGAAACCCAGTCTCTATTAAAAATACAAAAATTAGCCAGGCGTGGTGATTCAAGCCTCTAATCCCAGCTACTCGGGAGGCTGAGGCAGGAGAATCACTTGAATCCGGGAGGCAGAGGTTGCAGTGAAGTGAGATCGCATCACTGCACTCCAGCCTGGGGGACAGAGCAAGAATCTCTCTCATAACATGTATATATATAGGCTGGGCGCGGTGGCTCACCCCTGTATAATTCCAGCACCTTAGGAGGCCAAGGCGGGCGGATCACGAGGTCAGGAGTTCGAGACCAGCCTAACATGGTGAAATCCCATCTCTACTAAAAATACAAAAAATTAGCTGGGTGTGGTGGCGGGCGCCTGTAGTCCCAGCTACTCAGGAGGCTGAGGCAGGAGACTCGTTTGAACCCGGGAGGCGGAGCTTGCAGTGAGCCGGGATCGCGCCATTGCACTCCAGCCGGCGACGGACTCCGTCCCAGAAGGAAAAAAAAAAAAGTTGCCTTGGCCCTCCAGGTCGATAGAAAAGAACACTCGCACACCTTTATCCCAATAGCCCCGCTGAGTGAGTTTCCTCAGGTATGTCACCTGGCAGCCACAGTTAAGATTAAGAGGCCTATTTTACATCCGGCAGAGTAGGGGGCAGCGGGAAAGCAGAGGAGCTGGGAAGCTTTAAAGCTGAGCCCTCTCTCACGCAGCAGAGGCGCAGCTAATTCCGAATCTTCCACCAGCTGGGAGTAAGCGCCAATCTAACTTCTGTACAAGCTGCGTGAGGGGCAAGTTTTAGAGAAACAGACCCACAGAAATTACACTCTGGAATTTTCAGCCAGCTTTCCACGCTCAGTAGAGAAAATAATAGTAACAAATGATACTTAATCTGAGGCTGAAAGAAAAAGCGCGGAAAAACTCCGTTGCCTCCACAGCTCCACAAGCGAAGATTCCAGGATTCTCTGCGAGCGAGTGCTTCAGGGAACTACGCCAGAGCGCGCATGCGTGGGGTTGCCCCGAAGCATCCTGGGACCTGCCAGGCTGAGGGAGTTGCGGGCCGCAGCTCCGGCTAAGAATCGGGAGAAATTCCCAGAAACAGAGTGACAGCTGTAATTGGACAGCTGGCACCTCCATGTTGAGGTAGTCCACCATTTTATTTTTTATCCACCTTGGAATAGACATCTTTCCACTCTCACACATCCTCTATACACATTTAAGGAAATTATAATTTTCCTTGAGTCTGCATTACAAACATGCATTACAGCTCTTTAAATTAAGCGATAGTGGGCCGGGCGCGGTGGCTCACGCCTGTAATCCCAACACTTTGGGAGGCTGAGGCGGGCAAATCACCTGAGGTCAGGAGTTCCCGACCAGCGTGGCCAACACGGTGAAACCCTCTCTCTACTAAAATACAAAAATTAGCTGGGCGTGGTGGTGGACGCCTGCAATCCCAGCTACTCGGGAGGCTGAGGCAGGAGAATCACTTGAACCCACGAGGCAAAGGTTGCAGTGAGCCGAGATCGCACCATTGCACTCCAGCCACGGCAACAAGAGCGACCCTCCGTCTTTAAAAAAAAAAAAAAATTATTTAATTAATTGATAGTATTGAGGGTCAGAACTTTGAGGTGACCTACCTGCGTGCTCTCCTGGAACTGCTAGCAGTGTTTAAATGATTGCACTGTGCCAGTTTTACTCTAATGCTGTTGCCTGTCATTTTCTTTGCCCTTCTGTGCTTACCCATAGCAGCTGCTTTAGGTAATTATTTTCTGCTTAATCTATATGGATCTGTTAGAATTCAGATTAAAAATTAACCTGAAGAGGAAAGCTAGACGGGTCCTCAGGATATAAACCTTAATGAAGCTTTTTTTTCTTTTCCAGATAGGGTCTCACTCTGTCGCCCAGGCTGGAGTGCTGTGACGCGATCTCGGCTCACTGCAACCTCCGCTTTCCGGGTTCAAACGATTCTCCTGCCTCAGCCTCCCGAGTGGCTGGGATTACAGGCACATGCCACCACACCCCGCTAATTTTTGTATTTTTAGTAGACAAAGGGTCTCGCCATGTTGGCCAAGCTGGTTTCAAACTATTGACCTCCAGTGATCCACCCACCTCGGCCTCCCAACGTGCCGGGATTACAGGCGTGCGCCACCATGCCCAGCCTTATACCGTCTTTTGTAGCCATCTTTCCAGATGTTGTGAACCTATTATGAATTAGTAACAGATGCAATTAGCCACGCAGTGGACATCAAACCCTGCAAACCCCTGAGTAGTGCCAAACCATAATATCAAATCTTTTTCCTTCAAACAAAAAACTGTCAAAAACTGTGCAACTTCCTACAAGGTTTGTCATCTGTTTCGGAGTAATTAGGCCTTTGTACATTTCCTAAAATATCTTCTGATAACTTTAAAGTGGTAATTTAATTTTGGTATAAACCAGTTCCAAAAAAAGGAGATCTTCATGTGTGAACCATATACTCCCTAACATCTGTTTTTGGCTGTTTGAGCCTTCTGTGTGAATTCTGGTTTTAACTATGCCAAATGTAGAAATATTAATACAAAAAATAGTACAACTCATTTAAAGTTGAAAAATGCAAAATATTCTAATTTGACTAGTACCTAACTTTGTGATCCTAGCCAATTCCCTTTGCACTGCAATATGATCACTTCCTGGAGATGTATCTAAGTTAATAAATACTTAACATTAATTCATTTTAACAACATGTACTGCAAATATGCTACAATTTATCCATTCTTCTAATAGACATTGATTGCGGGTTTTTACAATTAAAAACAATACTGCAATGAACATTCTGTACATGTCTCCTTGAGTCCACGTGCCAAAAATTCCTCTAGAATATAACACCCAGAGCCTGGGTTAGTATATCAGCAACTTCAAATCAACTAAATGTTGCCAAACCACTCTCCAAAGTAAAAGCATAAATTTCACTGCCACCAGCAAAGTATAGAAGAGCCCAATGCTATAAATTCAGCAACATGCACACATGTCAAGTTGTTTTACTTTATTTCATTGTTGTCTATCTGATGACAGCGAAATGGTATCTCAGTGTTGTTTTAATGTACAACTCTTTCATTACTCGTAAGAGTGAGCATTTTTTCATCTGAATGACTACTCAGGGATCCTCATCTGTGATTTGCCTGTTCATGTCCTTTGATGACTTTCTTGATTTATATGGAGTCATTTAACAGTAATATGACATGCAAACATAAGTTTGAATTTTAGTGTACACAAATTTATCAACTTTTCCTTTTTGTACTTATGTCTACTCCAATATCATACTCTTGTTTTCAATAATTCTAAAGTTTTGCTTTTCATATATACAACTTTAATTCATTCTTCCCAACATAAAGAGTCTGAATAACTTACAATAAGAGTTGTGAAGGCCAGGCCAGAGTGACCACGACATTCAAGAAAGCAAACATTCCAACAACTTCAGTATTTGATGGAGTGGTAGTCTAGTCTGTAACATTCCTAGGTTATATTTACCATGCAAGGGATACAATATGCATCAAAATATTAGAAATGTATTTCATTTGCTTTTAGAATGATATTTCATCATATTTATTGGCTATAAAAAAACAAGGCAACCAACCACAAAGACAAAACTACTCAGAATAACAAAATTATATTCCAGCTCTTTGGGAGGCCAAGGCAGGTGGATCACCTGAGGTCAGGAGTTTGAGTCCAGCCTGGCCAACATGATCAAACCCCATCTCTACAAAAAAACACAAAAATTAGCTGGATGTGGTGGCAGGCACCTGTAATCCCAGCTACTTGGGAGGCTGAGGCAGGAGAATAGCCTGAACCCGGGAGGCGGAGGTTGCAGTGAGCCAAGATCACACCACCGCACTCCAGTCTGGGCAACAAAGCCAGACTCCGTCTCAAAAAAAAAAAAAAAAAAATTATAGATATGAAATACTTTCCATGAGAATCAGGCCAGGCGCAATGGCTCACGCCTATAATCCCAGCACTTTGGGGGGTCAAGGTGGGTGGATCACCTGAGGTCGGGAGTTCGAGACCAGCCTGACCAACATGGAGAAACCCCATCTCTACTAAAAATACAAAAATTAGCTGGGTATGGTGGTGCATGCCTGTAATCCCAGCTACTCAGGAGGCTGAGGCAGGAGAATAGCTTGAACCTGGAAGGCGGGTTTGCAGTGAGCCGAGATCACACCATTGCACTCCAGCCTGGGCAGCAAGAGCAAACTCCGTCTCAAAAAAAAAAAAAGAAATACTTTCCATGAGAATCTATATAGAGAAAAGCAGTCTGAAGATATTATAATTAAGGAGAAAAGGCTTTGAGTTTCAAGTAGTAGTTGTGCTATATTTGAACACATAGAAGTAACTTCCTGTTTATTTTGATACCTTGTTTTTATAGCCAAAAGTTGAGATTTGCAACAGAAAAGTCTGACTGCCTGAAGACCTAACATATTTCTTGTAATTTGTAAAATGGTTTAACTCAGTTGTTTACTGTTTTTAGACAAACTACTGAATATTCATGAAATGTATATTATCGATGAAGCAATTTCAAGAATCTTTTTTTTTTTTTGAGACGGAGTCTTGCTCTGTCACCCATGCTGGAGTGCAGTGGCACGATCTCAGCTCACCGCAACCTCCGCCTCCCGGGTTCAAGCAATTCCTTGCCTCAGCCTCCCGCATAGCTGGGACTACAGGCACGCTGCCCCACCCAGCTAATTTTTTTTGTATTTTTAGTAGAGACGGGGTTTCACCATCTTGGCCAGGCTGGTCTTGAACTCCTAGACCTCGTGATCTACCCTGCTCGGCCTTCTGAAGTGCTGGGATCATCGGCGTGATCAAGAATCTTAATTTAAAGAATACGTTTCATATTCTGGCCAACACAAGTTATTACAGTTGCATACCATTTGTGAGATTCTGGTATAAGCACGAGTATTAAATCTCATTACAAAAACAGTGAAGTATACCAGACTTTCAATATTTGGATTTTTATTTTGTACCCCTTGCATGTTAAATATACCATCATGGATGTAAACACAGCATATAGGACAGTATACTTTAGTCAAAACAATTGAGAATATTTCAACATGAAGCAGAAATGAGTTTTTAACCATACCTGAATGGTATGTGCAATTTAACTCAATGATAAATATCAAGTAAGATTGTAAATAAAATATTAACAATAAAAGATTTCCTACTAAATACCAGTAAGGTTTTATGTATCTATTCCTCACATAAATAGATTGGTTTTGGCAGTCATTCTTATAATAGGCACTGATTCCAGGTTTTACAATTAAAAACAATACCACAGTGAATGTTCTATACATGTCTCCTTGAGTACATATGCCAAGAATTCCTTTTGGAAACCGCCCTGGTTTGTCAATCAGGGCTTCCCCCACCTTCCCCACCACCCCACCCTGAACCCTCTATGGCTCCCACACCCAGAGACTAGGTTAGTATATAAGCAAGTATTTTTTTGGTATCTCTTTTGGGCCAAGCCTTAGGGCAAAAGAAGGTATCCTGCTTTCATGGAGTTTACAATCTACCAAAGGATCTAAGAATAACAGAAGAAAATGAAAATATTATTTTATTCTTTCCTTTGCCACCTCTTACATTTTTGCAAATTGATTCCATAAAGCCATTTCTGGTGAAAAAAGTCCATCTTTAACTTGAAGAATTATCTACCTTCATACTGCAAAGAAAAGTTTTATATATATATATATAATTTTTTTTTTTTTTTTGAGACGGAGTATCTCACTCTGTCACCCAGGCTGGAGTGCAGTGGCACAATCGCGGCTTACTACAATCTCCACCTCCCGGGTTCAAGCGATTCTGTTGCCTCAGCTTCCCAAGTAGCTGGGACTGCAGGTGTACACCACCATGCCCAACTAATTTTTATATTTTTAGTAGAGACAGGGTTTCACCATGTTGGCCAGGCTGGTCTCGAACTCCTGACCTCAGGTGATCCGCCCACCTCAGCCTCCTAAAGTGCTGGGATTATAGGTGTGAGCCACCGCACCCAGCCAAAAAGTGTATTTTTAAAACTGCCCTGACGTGTGTGAGCAACCACTCTAAAAAACTGAGTAAACCATTTAAAATTTGAACATGAATGACTTTAGAGTATAATGTTTCAGTAACTCTCAGAATCAACTGGCTTTATTTCACAGCACCAGATGACAGCTATCTAATTACTATATGCTCGTGTTTTGAAACTAGGCTGCTTCTTTTATTTTTTTAATCACAGGTACATTTTCTTAATCTGGAATCACCACCCGTTTAGTAATTGTTTGACTCCGCAAAAATCAGAAGGCACTAACGGACAGCCAGCCCATCCTCATGGTGCCCTGAGTGAAGATAAGCCATTTTTGATATATGATGGATCAAAATCCCACTGCCTAAGGCTTCAAGCAGTGAGAGGAACAGCCATCAAAGTTTAACTCCAACCACATTAATTTAAGAAACGTTTATAAAAAATAAAGACATCCCAACCTGGGCAACATGGCAAAACCCCATCTCTACAAAAAAATACAAAAAATTAGCCAGGCATGGTGGCCTGTGGTCCCAGCTACTTGGGAGCCTGAGGTGAGAGAATCACCCGAGGCTGGGAAGCCAGGGCTGCAGTGAGCCCTGATTATGCCACTGCACTCCAGCCTGGGCAATGGAATGAGTCCCTGTCTCAAAAAAAAAAAAATGAAGACATCAAGAGACTCTTATAAGATAGGAATCATTACATCTAAGTAAGAACTAGAGGCCGGGCGTGGTGGCTCACGCCTATAATCCCAGCACTTTGGGAGGCCGAGGCGGGTGGATCATGAGGTCAGAAGATCGAGACCACGGTGAAACCCCGTCTCTACTAAAAATACAAAAAAAATTAGCCAGGCGTGGTGGCGGGCGCCTGTATTCCCAGCTACTCAGGAGGCTGAGGCAGGAGAATGGCGTGAACCTGGGAGGCGGAGCTTGCAGTGAGCCCAGATCGTGCCACTGCACTCCAGCCTGGGCGACAGAGCGAGACTCCGTCTCAAAAAAAAAAAAAAAAAAAAAAAGTAAGAACTAGAAGAGATCATTAAGGATCAACTGATCCAGCAAGGGAAAATGAGGAACTAGATAACAAGTTAGTACCAAAATCAAGATTAACCAACTAAAGAAAATGTTATTCCAACAATTATATAAAGATACACATTATAGTGCCTATGACTAATTCTAGAACTTAATTAAGTTTTGAGGGGCGGGGTGAAGGTAATGAGGGGTAGTCTAATTAACAGAAAGATATATGAGCAATAAAAACAAAGAATTTCCTCTTTTTTTCTGAGACGAAGTCTAGCTCTGTCACCCAAGCTGGAGTGCAGTGGTGCGATCTCAGCTCACCACAACCTCTGCCTCCCAGATTCAAGCGATTCTCCTGCCTCAGCCTCCCAAGTAGCTGGGATTACAGGTGCACGCCACCACACCCAGCTAATTTTTGTATTTTTGGTAGAAACGAGGTTTCACCATGTTAGCCAGGCTGGTCTTGAACTCCTGACCTTAGGTGATCTGCCCACCTCGCCTCCCAAAGTGCTGGGTTTACAGGCATGAGCCACCACGTCAGGCCAAAACAAAGAATTTTCGTCAATCTATTATGCAGATGTCAAAAATTGCCAGGTAGTACAGAATCTAAGAGAAATATACGCATGGATTCTGATGACAAATAGTTAACATCAAACTGAGCATTTACCGTATGCTTTACCCACACCCTTACTAATTTAATCTTCAAAATAACCACCCTGAGTCAAATACTATTGCCATCCTCTAAAATATAAAACTAAGACATAGATATTAGGAAACTTGCCAATGCTGCATAACTGGTGAAGTGATAGAGCATGCGTTTGAACTCAGTCTGACTCCAGAACCCATATATATACTATACAATGCTACTTCTCAACATCTTTAATTGACTCTTTTTTTTGGAGACGGAATCTCCCTATCACCCAGGCTGGAGTATAGTTGCGCTCTCTCTGCTTACTAAAACTTCCACCTCCTGGGTTCAAGCCTCAGCCTCCTGAGTAGCTGGGACTACAGGCGCACACCACCAGGCCCAGATAATTTTTTGTATTTTTTTAGTAGAGATGGGGTTTTGCCATGTTGGCCAGTCTGGTCTCAAACTCCTGAGCTCAGACAATCCACCCACCTCGGCCTCCCAAAGTGCTAGGATTACAGGTGTGAGCCACCACGCCTGGCCTCAACTGACTTTTAAAAAGTGAAATTTAGCCGGGCGCGGTGGCTCACGCCTGTAATCCCAGCACTTTGGGAGGCCGAGGCGGGCGGATCACGAGGTCAGGAGATCGAGACCATCCCGGCTAAAACGGTGAAACCCCGTCTCTACTAAAAATACAAAAAATTAGCCGGGCGTAGTGGCGGGCAACTGTAGTCCCAGCTACTTGGGAGGCTGAGGCAGGAGAATGGCGTGAACCCGGGAGGCGGAGCTTGCAGTGAGCCGAGATCCCGCCACTGCACTCCAGCCTGGGCGACAGAGCAAGACTCCGTCTCAAAAAAAAAAAAAAAGTGAAATTTATAGCACCTTAGCAGCTGGCCATGAAGTCACAAACCTGAATTTTCAAAGACTCATATATATGGCAAAGCTTCTCAATCTCAACGTAAGCCTTACCATAAAAGAAAAACGCAGTACTCATCTACAGTATATCCAGGATTTACAGCACCAAAGAGGTCCAGACTGGAACAGCGAAACTCAGATCTGGTTTCAGTCTCTTGAAATTTTACTCCTGCAAAAGACAACAAAAGCTAAAAAATTATTTCAAGTCCTGATGTTACTTTGAGTTGTTTGTATTTCCTGTATTTCACCCTTCTTTCTACCTAATTCTCTGCTGAAAATGCAGGCACGGGTAAAGAATATAAGCTTGTCCTAAGTTACCTAAAATAACTTTTAAAATATTACAATACATGAATACAATAAAATTAGAAAATAGGTTTATAATAATAAAAGATTACTTGTAGAACCCAATTCTAGAGAAAATAACCCCCTAGTATTTTAGTATATATGTCCTTTCAGTTTTCTTAAGCAAACATATGCATATAAAAATATTTAAGCAGAAACATATTGCTCTATATAATCTGTTTTTCATGTGTCATGAATACCGTTCTATTTCAATAAACATAAAACTGTATCATAACTTTTAAGTGATTCTATAGTGTTGTACCGTATAGTCTTCACAAAATTGATTTAACCAACTCTGTGTTTCCTTTAATCTACATGTATAGATTGATAAAATAATGATTAGTTTAAAACTGCCAGGCTAAATTGCCTATAGAATTATACCAGTTGCCAGTGCTTTTTCTGTAGTGTTTGAACTTTTAGATTAATGATTCCTGACCCTAGTTCTAACTCACAAAAGTGATTTTTTGGGGATATAGAGATATCACAAAAGATCAAAGCACAACAAAACATTAGTCTCAAATTCATAATTTATTAAGATTTAAGAATTACCTGGGATTACAGACTAAATCCCAGTATGAATTCCAACAAGCAGAATTCAATTGCAGGTGTTTGCCCCTAGCTTTAGTCTGCTCAGAGCATGTGTTTAATCAGGCTGATCAGCTGAAACACGGACTTAACATGCATTTCATCATGGCAAACTGTAAATGACTGAGGAAGGGCAAACCAGCACTGGCTCCTCATCCCTAAACAGGAAAATTCTCCTAAGGTTAGAACTGGGGATTTTTTTTAATTACCAAATTCCATCCACTAATAACACCGAGTCCCAAGTCTTGCTAAGTGATTAGAAATCCAAATGAGGTAAAAACGAAGATTTTGCTCTTACTCTTACCTCTGGCATCACATGAATCCAGCTTCTATCTAGAAATCCAGTTGAACCACAGGATCTATCAATTATCTAGGATCATTTCTGGAAAATTTAAAAAACATAAATAAATTCACAAAGGTTATGATTACATGACAACTCACACCAGCATGTTCTATACCAAGTCACAAGAAAATTTAGAGTAACCGTTCATCCTTTATTTAACTCTCCATTCATTAATATAAATTATTGACTCATCTATTTGGAGAATGTCACCAAATGCCCAAGCTCAATATCAAATAGGGCAGGATCAGGAGTTCAAGGTTACAGTGAGCTGTGATCGTGCCACTGTACTCCAGCCTAGGCAACAGAGTAAGACCCCGTCTCGAACAAAACAAAAAAAATTTAACAACAACAACAAAAAAAAACCGAGCAGGACCCCTACACAAGCTTAATTTTGTATAAATTTACAAGCTTGGATAAAACTGCACAATAGTCTAACCAACTTCTGAAAGGCTATAAAGGTCAACAACCTCACAGTAAGAAAACAGTTATGCAAGAGGAAGGAGTCAAGAACTTTTAAGATTCAGATAACTGAGAAAATAATCCAAAATAGTCAGTTTTTTCAAAGCATGTTTCAATTTCATTTGAGCCAATGCCGGATTGTATTTAACCTTTACTCTTCGTAATCCTTTGTCAAAATAATCTGAAGAAAATCTTCCCTTTATATAGGAAAATTGAATTAGTAACATTTGTAACCCAAGTCTGCCACAAGATGGCAGTGTAAGAAAGAGTCTTGCTTTAATTTCCTCTTCCAGCATTTGCGTGTCATCTGAACTTTCAGGTCAAATACATACTAGATACGCAGTTCATCTTTGCAGGCAACCTTCACACTATTCCCTACTCTTCACCTAATTACTAGCTAGAAAATTTTTTGTATTTACTTGTAATGATCATCTAAAACTTGTTAGCTAAAAATACTGCAGTTATACTTTCATCATTATGTTCTTTTTCATGCAGCAGTGTGGAGATTTAAAAATCCATAACCTCAGATACAATCTAGCCAGAAAGACAAGACTCACAGAAATTAACATACCACCAAATAAGTAGTAGAAAGCAAGTAAGGTTAAGAAAAGAAGTAGGATTGGTCAAGGAAGGCTTCATGAAGCAAAAAGAGTGGGTCACAAGTGGACCTTAAAGTTGCATGTCCAATAAGTAACCACTTAATTAGAGTTAAAAATTAAATTTCTCCCATTACCCTAGTCACATTTTCATTACTCAATAGCTAAATTGGCAGTACAAACATAGAGCATTTCCATCATAACAGAAGGCTCCATTGGACATCAGTGCCTTTAAGAATGGGTCTAAAATAAGCTGACAGAAAAGAAAGCAGTGGCTATCATTCTTTAGAAATCCTATCTGTCAAGCTGTATAGAATTTGTATCATTTAAATTTTACAACCCCCTATTTACAGGAAAATTGAGGCTCAGAAAAATTACATAAATTTCCTAAGGTCACCTAACTAGTAAGAGCTAGGATTTAAATTCAATTCCATCAAAACTCCATACTCTTCAATTCACCATGGTACTTCCTACAGGAAATACACAGAGCTAAAGGTTTGCTTTAAAATGTAATGCAGTGACATGCTAGCTCAGTAGGTTGGAAAGAAACTGAAGCATTTTAAATATCTCAGACAGATATGATCAAAATGTTATTTTACTCCTTCCTTGCCCTATACTTAGCTTTAACTATGTAAAATGTTTTCAGATCAGCAGGATGCAAGGTTAACTAAGAGAATGTAGACAAGAAGCAAGACATGGTGTGAAAGGTTTCTCCAGTTTTAACAATGTCTACCTTAAAACTCCTTGATCTCTCCAAACCTAAAATAAATTTTTTTAAAAAGGAAATTAAAAAAAAAACTACTTGATCTAAGTATTCTTACAGGATAATAATTATAGGTTGAAAGGAACAACTTCTCTATTAATCTCAACTCACAAACAAAACCCAGATTGCAAGAGGCCTGGTCTTTTTGTTTTGACACATAGCACAAAGCCTGGCACATAAATCCTGATGTTAAATATGTGATACCTTTCCCAATGTGTGATGCTTCCCTGCAGGATTCTAGTCATGCATGCTTCAACAAGTGTCATTCCACCATACAAAGGACATTTCGTATTTACTAAGTATTGTGCAAATGCTCCATAAACAATCAATGATCCCAGCATTTTGTTGACTGTGGGCAGTAATCACTTCAAAGTACTAGTGTTCATAGCCAAAAGGTACATTTTATATGTGTGAACAGATGCTTCATGAAGGCCTAATACAAACTACAAATTGATACTAAATCAGCAGATACTCGTGTTAAGATTTCATCACCATTCCTTTTGACTCTATTCCAATTTACTCAGTGCCACCTAGCATTATAGGATACAATGGTAACTCGAATCTCTAAGCTAGGCTTTTTAGATAGGAAAGACACACATACGTGTAATGAAGAGAACTTAAGGCAGCTTATCTTGATCAAAATTCAAGTACCAGGCTTTAGGTACCATCAGCCTTTAACCCTTTCTGTTGAGAATATCCAAATCCAAGCCCATATGATTTTCAGGGGGTCTACAGATGGGCCAGTTCTGGACTGGCACACAGGGTGCTGGACTTCCCTCCTCAGTGGATTTCATCTTCAACCTGAAACAAAATGAACACACAAAATTTTGTTCATAGGAAGTAAATACTAGACTAATAGCTTGGTATAGTTTTCCTTTAGAGATAGTTATATAAGGTACTGCTATCAGAACAGACTCCAAGTTTTATTTCCCACTCACTATCAGTTTCCTTCCTTTTTAAGGCAGAATAGTATTCCACTGTACATATGTATAATATTTGCTTTATCCATTCATCCGTTGATGGACCCTTAGGTCAATTCCGTATCTTGGCTTTTGTGAATAATGATGCAATGAACATGGGAGTATAGGTATCTCTGACATACTAGTTTTATTTCCTTTGAATATACCCAGAAATGGGATTTCTGGATTATATGGTAGTTCTATTTTTAATTTTTTGAGAAATTTCCATACTGTTTTCCATCATAGCTGCACTAATTAATATTCCCTAAAATAATAGATTTTGAAATCATACTAAACTAGATTTTAATCCTGGCTCTCTCATGTATTTGCTGTGCCCATGGGTAAGTTATGCAACTTCTCTAAACTTCAGCTGTCCCCTCTGTAAAATGAGGACAAATACTACATACCTCTTAAAACTTCCGTGAAGACTGAGGTAATAAATACATTTTGCACTGTAGCTGGCATGGAGTTAAATGTTTAATATGTTATTTCTATGTCTTGCCCAAGCTCAACCAGCTAGTGAGTAGAAAGGCAAATATTCTGCCTAAAAATTTCACACTTTTCCACAGCCATAAAAAAAAAAAAAACAAAAAACATGTCCTTTGCAGCAACTGGAGCTGCTGGATGCTGCTGGGGGCCATTATCCTAAACGAATTTATGCAAAAACAGAAAACCAAGTATTGCATGTTCTCACTTATAAGTGGGAGCTAAATCTTGCGTTGGGAGCTAAATCTTGCGTAGGGAGCTAAATACTGGGTTCACAGGAACAAAAAGTTGGGAACAATAGACACTAGGTACTCCAAAAGGAGGAAAAGAGAGAGAGGGGCAAGAGCTGAAAAACTTCCTATTGGGTACAATGTTTACTACCTAGATGGCAGGATCAATAGAAGCCCAAACCTCAGCATCATGCAATATACCCTGAAACAAACCTGCACATGTACCCCGTGAATCTACAATAAAAACAAATTTAACAACAAAAAGTCACACTTCTCACAATAACCCAGAAGCCAGAAAGGTCACTCATATAGTACTCATAAGGGCCCTTCCAACTCCAAGATATTGTGTCCTTTTTTTTTTTCACTCTTGTTGCCCAGACTGGAGTGCAATGGCGCGATCTCGGCTCACCACAACCTCCACCTCCCGGGTTCAAGCGATTCTCCTGCCTCAGCCTCCCGAGTAGCTGGGATTACAGGCATGCACCAACACGCCCGGCTAATTTTGTATTTTTAGTAGAGACGGGGTTTCTCCATGTTGATCAGGTTGGTCTCGAACTCCCGACCTCAGGTGATCCACCCTCCTCGGCCTCCCAAAGTGTTGGGGTTACAGGCGTGAGCCACCGCGCCCGGCCATATTGTCCTTCAAGCAAAAAAGACACAGGTTTGCTTCCCCCTTCCCCTCATTTCCTACTTAACAATGAAGACTCCAATGTATTATGAAGTCTTATTAACAAAAGCATGCTTCCATTGGAAAGAATGTAATGTTTTCCCAACTCACAAAACTTCCACCTAAAAAACCGGAACTAAGCCTCTTAAGACTAAAACAGCTTTGGAGAAATTCCCAAAGGCTTCCTTTTTTATTTTGCATGTTTACATCCTAAAATACATTTCAGCTTTTCCTAACTTAATACTAAAATATGCCCTCAACACCATGAGTTCAGGGGCATATCCAGCACACATTTTCTAAGTAAACACTGAAAGCATGCCCTTTCTGCCCCTGTGAATACAAAGATGACTTGGTTGTTCTGGGCCACTGCTGTCACTCCTTCCCAGCATTAAACACATGCTCATAACAAGATAAACCATCCCCACTCAAACCAAAGTGGGCAAAGATATATTCACATAAAAGCCATCAAGATGATTTTCCTTTCGGTAGAAAATCCTTTATTGCTCAATCAAGTTTAGAGTATTGATTGGTTTCTAATCACCACCGTGTACAAAATAAATATAAATAGGAAGCACTGCAAAATATCTAGAGTCCTTTTAAACAAGAATATACCAAAACCCAATTGAAATGCCTTTATGCCAACTGACTGATTTACAAGGTTATTCATTTGAGGGGGAAATATCAAGATCATAAACTATCTGAATACCTACTGATAAAAGCTAAATAAATTATAGTAGGTACATAAATTAGAATACTGAGTTACCATTATACCCTGAAAACCTACTGAAAAAATATATTTTTTAAAAAAAATAATTTTTAAAGAATACTATGTTACCATTATGAAGAATGTGAACACTCTACTCATGGAACTTAAGTGGAAAAAGTAAGACACATAGTAGAGTAGGTATAGTAAAAGGGAAGGATACCTACACATATTTGCTTATATGCATAAAATATCTTAGTAACACTGTTATGAGGGAGAGGAATTGGATGGCTTAGGGAAGGGGATAAGAAACTTTGATATCTTTTGAATTTTGAACCATGTGAATGTATTACCTATTCAAAAATATATATATATATGATGTGTATACATATATATATATATATATATATTTTTTTTTTTTTTTTTTTTTTTTTGAGACAGAGTTTCGCTCTTGTTGCCCAGGCTGGAGTGCAATGGCGCGATCTCGGCTCACCGCAACCTCCACCTCCCGGGTTCAAGCGATTCTCCTGCCTCAGCCTCCCGAGTAGCTGGGATTACAGGCATGCGCCGCCATGCCCCAAAAAATAAATTTTAACAATGCTTGAGAATTATAAAAATTATGGGAGGCCTACAAATACCTATTACTACATTCGATTAACTGGTTTATTATTTGTCTTTCTCACACTTTCTGCCTATAAGAATATCCAACACAAACATCACATTAAAATTAACATGTACCAAAAGAAAGGAATTCAGTGAAATGACATTGAAGGTCACTAAGCAAACTTTTTATGAGAAAACAGATATCCAAAATACTTGCTGTAAATAAATAAGTACTGCTTACTTCTAAAGGTACCTAACATTTATTACACACCAACTAGAGCCTAGTTTTTATATATTTTATCTGATCTTGGAAAGCTAAGCCTCGGAATGGCTCACTGCTTCTCCCAAGGTCACCAGAGCTGTAAACTGTGGCGCTGGAATTTAAATCTAGAGGCTTGCCCTGAACTAAGGTCCCTAATCTTTTTCCATAGCTTTTAAGGACACAATCACCACAGTGGCAACATTAAAAATTAGGAGCTCCTTTTAAGGCTTATCTGTCTTCAGAGTTTGCTGCCCAGGTTCACCAAGAAAGCCGAAATGATCTGAGCGAAGGCCAGGAGAAAGACAAGGTACGCTGCAGCTTCCACAAACCCAGTAAGGACCTGGGCCCTCTAGACACTCACCGGAGAATTAAACTCTACTGAGCTGAACGCCTTCTCCCGAAATCTGACCTCACCCAGGGAGATATAAATCAAAACAGCATTAGGATGATAATATCTTTCCCGCCAAGCAAAATGAAGCCGGCGTTTTCCAAGAACACACGCACTGTGCACATGAAGCACAGTCTATTGTTCCTGGGTCACCAGGACTCGGAGACGGAAGGCAAACCCAGTACTGCAGAGGCCCACGTGGAAACAAGCCAGGAAGAGCATTTCACTGCCTTCTCCCAACCTCCACACAGCCGAAATTAATCTCCTTGCGACTCACACACACTCCTATGCCGACTTGAAATAAAGGCCTGCCACCTGGGTATATAACTCAAATGGAAGAGAAATTCAAAACAATTAGAGAGCAAAATTAAGCGCACACTCACCAGCCCACCAAAACGGAGAGGGAAAGAAAGTGGAGAGACAGGAAGTCGCCTTGGGAAGTGTCTTCAGAACCTGATTGGCTAATGAGTTCAAGAGGATTCCCTCCTCCTTTACCTTAAAAGGTGCTGAAATGACGTAACCCACTCCACCCCTCTTTATGGACCAGTGATGCTTCTTGCACTATTTTTGGAGTGAACTTCTTAAACCGAGTTTCCTTTTGAGTTAATGTACTTAGGCAAAAACAGGCTAATTTAAGCTATTTATACACGTTGTTGTTTGCGTGGGCCTACTGCATTCTATTCTAAAGAATTTTCATCCCTTAAGGGTAATTTCTTATCCTTTGTGACCTCAACATGCTTAACTTATGCTAGGCAACAGATTCCATTATAAACAGTCTAGATCGATTCAAGTTAAAATTTACCTTCATTTTTTCCCCCCAGATCCAAAGCTGGCCTGATAAAATTTACCTTCAGGTAATCTTTGAACTAACAGGCTTAGTAGATAAAAGGTAGGTGGGTTAAGTGTTTTAGGCTTCAAATAAAATTTAGCTGATTTTGAATCTGAACCTTGCCACTTATTTGCACACATCTAAGCCTCAGTTCCAACTATAAAAAGAGGGAAAAAAGATGAAATCTTCCTACTCTGATGGTTATGAGGATTAAGTAAAATAATTTATATAATGTACTCAGTACAATGCCCGGTACACAGTACTCAACAATGTTAGCTGTTATTATTGTTATTACATATTTCTTGTTAGATTTATATTCCCAAGTAGACTATAAACAACTGGAGATCAAAGTGTACGTTTTACACATCTCCAGACAAAAACAATGACTTTCAATGCTGAGGACATAATTGATTAATCAATTATTTTGACTCCTCACATCGCCCTCCAGTTAAAGTATAGGTTCTTACTCTGTTAAATTTTTTTTTTTTTTGAAACAGGGTCTCACTTCGTGTCCCAGGCTGGAGTGCAGTGGTGAAATCTCGACTCACTGTAGCCTTGACCTCCCAGGTTCAAGCGATCTCCTGCCTCAGTAAGTAGCTGGGACTACAGGCGTGCACCATCACACCCAGCTAATTTTTGTATTTTTTTGTAGAGATGGGGTTTCGCCATGTTGCCCAAGCTGAAAGATTTCTTTTTAAGCCATAATTAGAGGACTCCCCGGCACAATATTCATCATTATTCTTAATAAATACTATTATAGTAATAGGGAATATATATACAAGTATGTGTTATATGTACAAATATACATGTAATGTGCAAATGTTTGAAGTATAAAGATTCAAGTTATATGGAGAAATGATACAACTCTAACTCATAGTAGTTCTCATTTTTTAATCATTTCATCCTATCCACCCTGCTTCCACCTTACTAGAAATTACCTATTCCAATCCACTTTAGAGTTTACCTGCCCCAAATTTCCCAACATTTAGCATCAAATGCTAATTTGTTATTTCATAATTGATTTATTGTAACTTCTAGAGTCAAAACATTTCTTGAATGTTTACTATAAATATTCAAGAAATGTAATATTCATTACCTTGTTTAATCTTCACATTAACCCAAGAATGTAAGCACTTTCATTATAACTATTTCACCAAAAAAAAAAAAAAAAAAAAGGAAACAGAGTTATAGAGATTAAGGAATTTGTCTATTTAGCAAGTGGTAAAGTCAGGATTCAGATCCCAGTTGCTATGGTTTGACTGTCCCCTTCAAAATTCATGTTGTCACTCTAGTTTCTCTTCATATCGCATAAATCTTTCACCTTTTACAAAATTCATGTTGAAACTTAATCCCTAAAGTGGCTGAAACTTAATCCTCATTAGAAGTGGGGCCTTCAAGAGGTGACTGGATCATGAGGGTTCTGCCCTCATAAATAAATTAATCTATTCATGGATTAATAGGTTATCATGGGAGGGGAACTAGTGGCTTTAAAGAAAAGGCAAAGAGACTTAAGGATAGCATGTTAGCAGTCTCAGCATCCTGGCCATGTGATTTCCTGCCACGCCTTGGAACATCACAGCGAGTCCCCTCCAGCAAGAAGGAGTTCAGATGCAACCCAGAGGCAGTCCTTAACCTTGGACTTCACAGCATCCATAACTGCAAAAAATAAATTTCTTTTTTAAAATAAATTACCCCACAGCCTAGCCAACATGGCAAAACCTCGTCTCTACTAAAAATACAAAAATTAGCTGAGCATGGTGGTATGGGCTTGTAGTCCCAGCTACTCAGGAAGCTGAGGTGGGAGGATCGATCACTTGAACCCGGGAGGCGGAGGTTGCAGTGAACCAAGATTGTGCCACTGCAGTCCAGCCTGAGTGACAGAGTGAGGCCCTGTCTCAAAAACTAACTAAATAAATAAATAAACCAGGCTTGGTGTGATGGCTTAGACCTGTAATCCTAGCACTTTGGGAGGCCGAAGCAGGTGGATCTCTTGAAGCCAGGAGTTCGAGACCAGCCTGGCCAACATGTCGAAACCCCATCTCTACTAAAAATACAAAAAATTAGCCAGGCATGGTGGTGCACACCTGTAATCCCAGCTACTTGGGAGGCCGAGGCAGGAGAATCGCTTGAACTAATGAGGTGTAGGTTTGGAGTACCGCTATACTCCAGCCTGGGAGACAGAGCAAGACTTTGTATCCAAAAAATAAATTAATTAAAAAACAAACTAATAAATAAGTGACCCAGTTTCAGGTATTCTGTTATAAGCAACAGAAAACAAACTGAGACAGCAGCCATCCAACTTGACAGCCCAAACTCAACCACCACATTGCACTGCTTCCTATATTGTGTGATTTCAGAAAACCTTAGAAAGTACAATATTCTTTTCAAATTCCCATTAAATATCTAACATTTCTTTATGATATTCTGTATTCCAGGCTTTAATACTTATAATAATCCATGATGAAATTCTCTTCAGCTGGTAACATCAAAATTTTGTGCTCTGTAAAATAACTTTGAAATTGTTTAAAAGTCGATAGATTCCTGGGGCCAGGTGTGGTAGGTCACATCTGTAGTCCCAATACTTGGTAGGTGGAGGCAGAAGGAGCGCTTGAGCCCAAGAGTTTGAGGGCAGCCTGGGCAGCATGGTAAAACAACTGTCTCTACAAACAATAAAAATAAAAAATTGCCAAGAGTGGTGATGCCTCTATAGTCCCAGCTACTAAGGTAGGCTGAGTCGGGAAGAGAGCATGAGCCCAGAAGGTAGAGGTTGTAGTGAGCTGTGTTTACACCACTGCACTCTAGCCTGGGCAACAGAGTGAGACCCTGTTTCAAAAAAAAGTAGATTCCTGGGACACACGTTCAGAGATTCTAATTCAGTGGGTGGGACTCAGGAATATGTATTTTAATAAGCACCCTCAGGTACTTCCGGTAGATTTGAGGCTCACCCTTTGGAGAACACCAACTGAATGACTATCGTTTAAGGATGTTATCACTGAAAGGGTGGTGGGGTTGAGGGATAAGGACTACATGCTGAGTACAGTGTACACTGCTCTGGTGATGGGCGCACTAAAATCTCAGAAATCACCAGTAACCAAACACCACCTGCTCCCCAAAAACCTATTGAAATAAAAAATAAATTTAAAAAAAGGAAAAAAGGGATGTTATCACTGCTGAAGTGAGTAAACTCTTGGAAAAGGCAGCACTCTAAAAATTTCATTTATAATTTATTCAAAATGAAGAATTGAGAATGGCCATTTGTCTGTAATTAAAAATTAAGCATCTCCTTTGCAAGTTTACATTTGGTTATCCACCCTGGAGAACTATTGTGCTCAAATGGGCATGTTCAAGGAAGGATGTTCCTTGTAGCACTGGTTATGACAGCAAAACAATTAGAAACACCCATGTCTATTCAAAGATCATTAAATCATGATACAACTATTCCTTGGCGGCAGGGGTGGTTAATGGGTACAAAAAAATCGTTAGAAAGAATGAATAAAACCTACTATTTGATAGCACAATAGGGTGACTATAGTCAATAATGACTTAATTGTACATTTTAAAATAACTGAAAGACTGTCCATGGATAAAGGTTTCAGGGGATGGATACCCCATTCTCCAGGATGTGTTTATTTCACATTGCACATAAAACATCTCATGTGCTGGGTGCGGCGGCTCACGCCTGTAATCCCAGCACTTTGGGAGGCCAAGGCGGGTGGATCACGAGGTCAAGAGTTCAAGACCAGCATGACCAACATGGTGAAACCCTATCTCTACTAAAATATACAAAAATTAGCCGGGCATGGTGGTGTGCGCCTGTAATCCCAGCTACTCAGGAGGCTGAGGCAGGAGAATCGCTTGAACCACGGAGGCGGAGGTTGCAGTGAGATGAGATCGCACCATTGCACTCCAGCCTGGGTGACAGAGCGAGACTCAGTCTCAAATAAATAAGTAAATAAATAAATATCTCATATACCCCATAAATTTATACACCTATTATGTACCCACAACATTTTTTAAATGATACAACCATTCTATGAGATACTACCCAGTAGTTAAACAGAATGAAGTAAATCTGCATGTACTGACATGAAAACATCTCCAATGCATATGAAGTGAAAATAGCCAAGAATAACACCATGTAATATGCTCACATTTATGTAACACTTCTCCCCCCCCCCACAAAAAATGCAAAATAGAATAATTCTGTATGTGCACATTTTTGCAAGTAAATGAAAAGAAAATAGTCTGGAAAGAGACACACCAAACTGCTAACAAGTTACTCCAAGGAGAAGGATTGAGGGAATTAAGGGAGGAGCTTTTTGGTTTTGAATATCTGCAATGTTTTACGAGAAGAATGTGTTCGTGTTTAAAAAATAAAACAGTACCTCTCCACAAAATAAGGGTAGAGATCCAAGAGTAGGTTTCAATTTAGAGGGGAGAAGAGAAAAGTAGGAGACCCCAACCCCCTAAGGCAGCAAAGGACAGGCTTCAAAGGCTAAATGGACACCACATTGAATGCCTATCCCCCAAGTTGAACCTAGGACTCCAGAGATTGGGCCTTCTACATGTTCAACACCTCCTACCCCAACTCTGAGCTACTACTTTCCCCCTTTTAATACGTCTCAGAACTCTCTCCATTTTAAATTAATATCTCTTGAGGATCCTTTCCTTCCAAAGTTGTAGCAAAGTAGAAGGTTCTCATCAACATCCCTTTCCTAGCTATTCCTGAAGACATGTATGCAAATTCCTTTAAATGGTGGTCCTGATCCGCAGCTTTGCTGATCACTTTTGGAAAATTGGCAAATAATAAATTTGGAAATTTGTTTATAACATCAGGCAATATAATATATAAATAAATATAAATAAGTTTGGAAACATATTTATAACATCAGGCAATATAATAAACCATACTTGTGGAATTTCAAAGCTTTTAAAATCTTACTAGTTTCCTTCAATTACTGATCTTTTTGATTCTGAATTTCTTTTTTAAACAACTCTCAAGATCCACCTCTTTGAATAAGGTAGGAAAGAGAAATCCTCAAGACAGTGAAGTTCAATAAAGTCTCACCTTTCCTTCAGAACCCACCCTCTTTTTCAAGTCATACCCCTTGCTCCTTGACACCCTGTCTTATTTAGTATCTCATTCAACAAATATCATTGAAAGCTAGATACTGTTCCAGGCATTGGTTACAGAGCAGGAAACAAAATACACAAAGCCCTGGCTCACTTGGAGCTTACAGTCTATTGGAGAGAGTCAGATCTCCTAAAAATTAAACAAATATATGTTAAGTTGTAATTAGTACTCTGGAAAAAAATAAAGCAGAGTAAGAGGCTACAAGTGATAATGGGAGTGATGTTATTTATATCAAGGAAGGCACCACTGCTACTAAGAACAAAGACCTGAAGAAAGTCAGGGATCAATCTTGTTAGCTGGAAGAAGAGTAGACCAGGTAGAGAGAACAGAAGCCTGTAGGGAGAAGAGTGACTGGTATGTTTGAGACAAAGTGGAAAGAGGCCAGAGTGCCTAACAGGAGTAAGCAAAGGGAAAAATAGTAGCAGATGAAATCAAAGCACTGGGGTAAGAAGCAGATCATATAGAGCCTGGTCAAGCCACAGCATTTGAGATGGGGAGCCACTGGAACAAAAATCTAACATGATCTAACTTTCATTTTATTTATTTATTTTTAAATTTATCTTATTTTTTAGACAGGGTCTTACCCTATTGCCCACACTGGAGTGAAGCAGGGGAATTGCTTGAAACCCGGAGGCAGAGGTTGCAGTGAGCTGAGATCACACCACTGCACTCCATCTGTAAAAATAAAGTAATTCTAGATAACGTGATGTCTTATCAGAAAATACTATAGCATGCTTTTTTTAAAGAACTTTTTTTTTCCTTTTGAGAAAGGGTCTTACTCTATCACCCAGGCTGGAGTACAGTGGCATGATCACAGCTCACAGCAGCCTTGACCTCTCAGGCTCAAGTGATAAATTATACAGCTAATTTTTGCACTTTTTGTAGAGTCGGGTTTCGCCATGTTGACCAGGCTGGTCTTGAACTCCTGGGCTCAAGCAATCCTCCTGCCTGAAGTTCTGACTGCTGAGATTACAGGCATGAGCCCCCACACCTACCCTAAAGGACATTTTAAAATCATAACTAGAATATCATTATTTTAAACCTAACTAGAATACCATTATAATATCTAATAAATAATTCCCTAAAATCATCCAATTTCCAGTCCATATCCACATATCCCCATTTATTGCTGGCTTGTTCAAACCAGCATCCAAACATTGCATTTGGCTGTTAGGCTTCAAATGTCTCTTTTACTCTAAAACAGTCCTAACAATTTTTTTTTTACATAATAGTATGAAGAGAGTAGGCCAGTTGTCCTGTCGAATATTAATTTGTATTTTTCATACTATGTGAGCCTGAATATCTTTTCCATGCACTTATTTATCAAATGCAAACTGTTTATTAATATCTTTCATCCACTTATCTATAGAGGTTTTGGTTTTAATTATGAAAATAAATTTGTTGGTTTCTTCCAGGCTTTTTTTGTTTTTGTTTTTCAGACAGAGTCTCGCTCTCGTCACCTAGGCTGGAGTGCAGTGGTGCGATCTTGGCTCACTGCAACCTCCGCCTCCCCAGTTCAAGCTTCTCCTGCCTCAGCCTCCTGAGTAGCTAGGATTACAGGCACCCACCACCATGCCCAGCTAATTTTGTGCTAGAGAGGGGGTTTCACCATGTTGGCCAGGCTGGTCTCGAACTCCTCACCTCAGGTGATCCGCCTGCCTTGGCCTCCCAAAGAGGTGGGATTACAGGCATGAGCCACCGCACCCAGCCGGTTTCTTCCAGTTATTGGTGACATGCTTCAGTACTATTTTAGTTACACTTGTTCTGTATTTGACTATAAAGAAGTTATATCTTCACAATATATTTTCAGTAATTCTCACTCTGACCACCATAATAACTAAAAAAGAAAAAGAATCAATAAAAACTTTAAAAATACATTTTTAAAAATGTGTGTGGGATGGTAACTACTGTCATGAAACAGAATACATTAGCCTAGTAGATAACAACATAATTTGGAGTCACCCAGATCTGGCCCTGCCTTTTAGGAACTGTATATTATGAGCTGAATTGTGTCACCTCAAAATGTATGTATTTGAAGAACTCTCATTATCTCAGAATCTGCCTGTATTTGGAGATAGGACATGTAAAGGGGTAATTAAGATAAAATAAGGTCATACGGGTTGGGAATAATCCAATATCACTGATGTCCTTATAAGAAAAGGAGATTAAGGGCCAGGCACCGTGGCTCACGCCTATAATCCCAGCATTTTGGGAGGCTGAGGCGGGTGGATCACTTGAGGTCAGGAGTTTGAGACCAGCCTGGCCAACATGGTGAAACCCTGTCTCTAATAAAAATACAAAAATTAGCCAGGTGTGGTAGCCCACGCCTATAGTCCCAGCTACTCAGGGGACTGAGGCAGGAGAATCGCTCAAGAACCTGGGAGGTGGAGGTTGCAGTGAGCCGAGATCTTGCCACTGCACTCCAGCCTGGGCAACAGAGCAAGACTCTGTCTCAAAAAATAAATAAATAAATAAAATAAAGGAGATTAGGACATAGATGCACAGAGAGGAAAGACAGCATCCATCTACAAGCCAAGGAGAGAGGGAGGCAGGCCTTAGAAGAAATCAGCCATGTCAAGACCTTTACCTTGGGCCTCTAGCCGCCAGAATTACGACAATGTATGTAGTTATAGCAGCCCTAGCAATACACTGTGTGATCTTGAATAAATTAAATTTTTCTAAAGCTCAGTTTCCTCAACTATAAATGGAGATAATAACATATGCCTCATGAGGTTGTTGTGAGAATTAAATAATGTATGTAAAGCTCATAGCATAGTAAGAACTAAATAAATTCTGGCTATTATTCTTATGAAGATTAAATGAGGTTATGCATGTAAAGCATTAGCTCAGCCTCTAGTACACAAGAAAGTTCTACTAAGTATTAGCTATTTTTAATAAATTTTCATTTCATAAAGGCTTATATTTTTCCTATCTCCAAAGTATTTCCTTTTAGACCTAGTCTAATTTATTTGTGTCATAATTAAGTCAGATGTAACAGGCTTTGTACCGCTGAAACAGGTTAAGCAATCCTATCCAACAACATTTATTGAGCACTTACATTTTGTTAGATTTATTTCCAACTACTTGATATGCTTTGGTGTTATTGTAAATGCTACCTTATCCAAAAATTTTATTTATAGTTGTTTGAAGCTCTTTTATAAGCATGGAATTTATTTTCACACGCTATTTTCTATCAGTCTTGCTAGGCTTTGTATTAAGGTAAAATTTTTATCCTGTAGTTTCTTCTAGCTTTTAAAATATTCATAATCAAATTACATGCAAATAATGAGATTTTGGGTTTTTTCTTTCTAAACTTTACATCTTTTGATGAACAAAAATTAAAATGTATCAATTTTTTTTTCTTTGTTTTTTTCAGACGGAGTCTCACTCTGTCACCCAGGCTGGAGTTCAGTGGCGGGATCTCGGCTCACTGCAACCTCCGCCTCCCGGGTTCAAGCGACTCTCGTGCCTCAGCCTCCCAAGTAGCTGGGATTACAGGCGCCCGCGACCACGCCTGGCTAATTTTTCACTTTTTTTTTTTTTTTTTTTGTAATAGAGACGAGGTTTCGCTATTTTGCTCAGGTTGCTCTATAACAGATACTATGCTATCCTAACAATATGTTTCTAAATGATATTAGTGCCAAAACCAGGATTACCCAGTGATTTTGTTAATACAGGCTTATTGAATCGGAGGGTCTGGGGTGGGGAATTTGCTTAAGTATGCAGTCCCCATACTCGGTGATTCTCATGAAGCCAAACATTTGGGCGCCCCTCACCTGATGTCACCAAGAACCAGAAGACCAATTAGAATTTTCGTGGGCTTCCTGCCCCATGGTTCCCTCTGTTCCCAAAGGGTTTCTGCAGTTTCACGGAGCTTTTCACATTCCACTCGGTTTTTTTTTTTTTGAGACTCGCTCTGTCGCCCAGGCTGGAATGCAGTGGCGCGATCTCGGCTCACTGCAAGCTCCGCCTCCCGGGTTCACGCCATTCTGCTTCAGCCTCCCAAGTAGCTGGGATTATAGGCGCCCGCCACCACGCCCGGCTAATGGCTAATTTTTTGTATTTTTTTTTTTTAGTAGAGATGGGGGGGGGTTTCACCGTGTTAGCCTGGATGGTCTCGACCTCCTGACCTTGTGATCCGCCCGCCTCGGCCTCCCAAAGTGCTGGGATTATAGGCGTGAACCACCGCGCCCGGCCCGGTTTCGTTTTGTTTTTTTTTTTTTTTTTTTTTTCCAAAAATGGGCGGAGGAGAGTAGTCTGAATTGGGTTATGAGGTCCCCTGCGGGGTACCTCACCTCAGCCATTGAACTCACTTCGCTGGCCGTGAGTCTGTTCCAAGCTCCGGCAAAGGAGGCATCCGCCGGGCCCCTCCCCGAAGGGCGGGGTCCACGGCATCTCCTGCCCAGTCTGACCTCGCGCGGAGCCCCGTTCTCTGGGAACTCACCTCCCCGAAGCTCAGGGAGAGCCCTGTTAGGGCCGCCTCTGGCCCTAGTCTCAGACCTTCCCAAGGGACATGGGAGTGGAGTGACAGGACGCACTCAGCTCGTGGCCCCACTGATGAGCTTCCCTCCGCCCTATGGGAAAAAGTGGTCTCATACAGAACTTATAAGATTCCCAAATCCAAAGACATTTCACGTTTATGGTGATTTCCCAGAACACATAGCGACATGCAAATATTGCAGGGCGCCACTCCCCTGTCCCTCACAGCCATCTTCCTGCCAGGGCGCACGCGCGCTGGGTGTTCCCGCCTAGTGACACTGGGCCCGCGATTCCTTGGAGCGGGTTGATGACGTCAGCGTTCGAATTCCATGGCGGCGCGGCGGCGACGGAGCACCGGCGGCGGCAGGGCGAGAGGTTCGGAGCTCAATATCGCGGGACGGCATGCGGGGGGCGGGCAGTCAGAAAGGAACGATGCCACCTACTGTGACCCCCTTCCCCTTCCAGCTCCCTATAACCTGCACTTGGCTACCAAACCAGTTGGGGTGCTAAATTTTGTAAATTTCGGTTTTCAGAGCTTTGGGGATTACATAATTGTGCATAAAGCCTTGCGGAGCTGTAACAACTAATGTGCCAGTACTGTTGTTAATACCTAATGTCATCCAATTTACAAAAAGTAATTGTAAGGCACACCATTATTTTATACACAACAAAGGATAAGCACTGAAAATGGTGAACTGTGATTCACTGCTTATGTCATCCATTGTAAGATGCATCCCAGTTCCAGAGAGTAAAATGCGAGTCTTAGACCTATTGAGATACGGTATTATGTGTATAATGTTCTTAAATGCATAGGTGCACCCTATAAATTAGGTTCTATTGTACTTCTCTAGAAGTACAGTATTGTACAATATTCTAATATTGGAGTAAGTGAAGTAGGAAGAGATCAAATACTTCTCCAAGTTTCCACAGAGAAAAGCAGCAGAGCTAGGCTCTAAATTAGGCACAGACCCTTGAGCACTTAACTAACCTTTATCCCATACGGCCTCATGTATGAGGTGGGTATTTGGGGGACATTGGGACACAAGTAAAACAGATAAGCAGGCCTCAATCTATGAGCTTACAAGACTCCTGGGACTCCCTTTTATTTTGTTTTATTTCATTTGGCTAGAATAGCAATTTAGGAAGAATTACACAGACTGTTACACAAAAGTAGTGTGGGACAGTTGTTATTGCCTCTGTAAACTTAGAAAATTATCTTAAACCGGCGGGGTGAGGTGGCTCACGCCTGTAATCCCTTGGGAGGCCGAGGAGGGCAGATCACTTGAGGTCACGAGTTCGAGACCAGCCTGGCCAACATGGTGAAACCCTGTCTCTACTAAAAATACAAAAATTAACTGGGCATGGTGGTGCACGCCTGTAATCCCAGCTACTCAGGAGGCTGAGGCACGAGAATCACTTGAACCCAGGAGGCGGAGGTTGCAGTGAGCCAAGATCGCACCACTGCAGTCCAGCCTGGGCGAGAGAGTGAGACTCCACCTCAAAACAAAAAAAGAGAGAAAATTATCTTAAACCATTTCTTTAAAAGATTTTTTTCAATCTTTAAAATCTACACGTATTCGGGTGTGTACTCATTCTTTGCTAATTTCCAAATTCTGTAGCATTAAATGAAAGCAAAAGAGTTAATAATGGCAACACGGCTCCAGAAGACTCTTCCCCTGCCAAGAAAACTCGTAGATGCCAGAGACAGGAGTCGAAAAAGATGCCTGTGGCTGGAGGAAAAGCTAATAAGGACAGGACAGAAGACAAGCAAGATGGTATGCCAGGAAGGTCATGGGCCAGCAAAAGGGTCTCTGGTAGGAGTGGATCTGGGGATGATATCTTGTTATTTCAACTCCTATTTCGTCCTTCTTTCAGGGAATAATTAATTTCTCTATCCTTTGGGCATACCACAGCACTAATCTACTGCCTTGAATCTTCATTTTCATGTATTTGAGATGGATTGGGGTCTAAGGAAAGACCAGGATTGGTTGGGCGGGCAAAGTTAATCCTGACAAGTTTCTGTTTTACCACAACAGCTGTTTTTGATTCCCATAAAGTAGTACCTATCTGTCTTTCCTCAGAATCTGTGAAGGCCTTGCTGTTAAAGGGCAAAGCTCCTGTGGACCCAGAGTGTACAGCCAAGGTGGGGAAGGTAAGAGACTCTGGAACCGATCTTCAGTCCATGGATATCTCAGAGAGCATCCTTTGTTATAAGGACTCCTGTCTGGGATGCTGTTAGTACTCATTTTAGGAATCCTCTCCAAAATATGATGAGTGAGTAGTTTTCTCTAATGGCAAGAGATAGGAGTGGTAGGGCTTGGGGTTAATAATCAGGGTGTTTTTTAACATGGTGTGTTAGACCATTCTTGCATTGCTGTAAAGAAATACCTGAGACTAGGTATTTTATAAGAAAAGAGGTTCCTAGAGGCTGTACAGGAAGCATAGCAGTATCTGCTCCTCAGGAGACCTTAGGAAACTTTTACTCATGGCAGAAGGTGAAGCGGGAATAGGCACGTCACATGGCAAAAGCAGGGGAGAGAGAGAGAGACAGAGAGAAAGGGAGAGAGAGAGATTGGAGAAGGTGTCACAGAGAGAGAAAGAGAGAATGGGGAGGTGTCACACGCTTTTAAACTACCAAATCTTGTGTGAATTCACTCACTATCAAGAGGACAGCAGCAAGACAGTGGTGCTAAACCATTCATGAGAAATCCACTTCCATGATTGAATCACTTCCCACCAGGCCCCACCTCCAGTACTGAGGATTACAATTCAGCATGAGATTTGGAAGGAGACAAATATACAAACTATATCACATGCGTACCTTTTGTGGTTGCCATCAGCCTTCTACACCTCATTCTCTTTTTAAACCAGAAAATGGTATCATTGTTAAGGGAAAACTGTTTTCTTGTTCTAATGAGAAACTGTACCCTGGAATGGCATGAGTTACTGATGAATGGGGAAAAAAGAAGGCTACCTCTGGAATAAGTTTTCTTTAACTCAGTTAGAATCTTTTTTTTTTTTTTTTTTTTTTTTGAGATAGAGTCTCACTCGGTCACCCAGGCTGGAGTGCAGTGGTGTGATCTCAGCTCACTGCATCCTCCACTTCCTAGGTTCAAGTAATTCTCTTGCCTCAGCCTCCCAAGTAGCTGTGATTACAGGTGCCCACCACCACGCCCAGCCTGGGCTAATTTTTATATTTTTAGTAGAGACGGGGCTTCACCATGTTGGCCAAGCTGGTCTCGAATGCCTGACCTCAAGTGATCTGCCCACCTTAGCCTCCCGAAATGCTGGGATTGCAGGCATGAGCCACCATGCGCAGCCTAACTCAGAATCTTTTGTATAGTTAAAAAAAAGGAAGCATGTTTTCATTTATAGTAAGGTTACACCCAGGTTACTGGTAGAACATAGGTTTGCAATTCTTTCCTTGGGAGATGAATGTTGATGTTGCTGTAGAATGATGACTTGAGCCATAAGAAAATTTAGAGCCTCATTTAGGATGTCAGGGCTGAACCTATACTAATGTTGATTTTTTCTCTCTCTCCCTTTCTAGGCTCATGTGTATTGTGAAGGAAATGATGTCTATGATGTCATGCTAAATCAGGTAAGAGGCAAGAAGAGGTGGCACCATTATATTTATGAGACCATCTTCTTGATAATTATTGATGATAGCATCACAGTGTTCAGATCTTTAAAGTCCCTTTTTTTTTTTTTTTTAAATTTTGTTTTTTCTTTTTGAAATGGAGTCTCACTTCATCTCTCAGGCTGGAATACAGTGGCACAATCTCGGCTTACTGTAACCTCTGCCTCCCAGGTTCAAGCAATTCTCCTGCCTCAGCCTCCCAAGTAGCTGGGGTTACAGGCGTGCACCACCACTCCCAGCTAATTTTTTGTATTTTTAGTAGAGACAAGGTTTCGCCACGTTAGCCAGGGTCTGGTCTCGAACTCGTGACTTCAAGTGATCCACCCACCTCAGCCTCCCAAAATGCTGGGATTACCAGGTGTAAGCCACCACGCCTTGCCTAAAGTCCTTCATATGTGTGTGTGTATATATATATATATATATATATATATATATATATATATATATTTTTTTTTTTTTTTTTTTTTTTTTTTTTTTTTTTGAGACAGAGTCTTGCTCTGTCACCCAGGCTGGAATGCAGTGGTGCAATCTCGGCTCACTGCAATCTCTGCCTCCTGGGTTCAAGCAATTCTCCAGCCTCAGCCTCCCAAGTAGCTGGGACTACAGGTGCAGTGTCTGGCTAATTTTTTGGTATTTTTAGTAGAGATGGGGTTTCACCATGTTGGCCAGGCTGGTCTTGAACCCCTGACCTCAGGTGATCCACCCACCTCACCCTCCCAAAGTGTTGGTATTACAGGCATGAGCCACTGCGCCCGGCAAGTCCTTTATATTAATATTAGCCATTAGTGGTTAAACACCTGAGTACTCAGCCCTAGCACACTCTTATCAGATAGCAGAGTCCTCTGTGAGAAGATTTTTTTTTGCAAATTTCATATCATTTATTGAAATTGTTAACTCTCTGTTCATATCCTTTTGCACATTTTTTTTTTTTTTTTAAACAGACAGGATCTTGTTCTGTCACCCAGGCTGGAGTGCAGTTTGTACAGTCATAGCCCACTGCAACCTTGAACTTCTGGGCTCCAGCAATCCTCCCACCTAAGCTTCCTGAGTAGCTCGGACTTCAGGCGCATGCCACAAAGCCTGACTAATTTTTAAATTTTTTATGGAGATGAGAATCTCGCTATGTTGGATAGGTGGTCTTGAATTCTTGGCCTCAAATGATCCTCCTGCCTTGTCCTCATGAGGCACTGGGATTACAGGGATGAGCCACTGGGACAAGCTGTTTTGCACATTTTCTAAAGTTATTGGTCCTTTTCTTACTGGTTTCGAGGAACTTTATATAATATGGAGAATAGCCTTTTGTCTGTAATACAAACCACTTGTGTTTTCCAGATTTGTCATTTACCTTTTGGTTTTCCTTATAGTACACTTTTTGCCCATATTGAAGTTTTAAATTTTTTCTGTAGTTAAATTTATTAATTTTTCCTTTTTAAAAAATTTTGGGTTTTTTTTTTTTTAATTTTAGAGACAGTGTCTTGCTATGTTGCTCAGGCTGGCCTTGAACTTGTGACCTCGTGTGATCCTCCAACCTCAGCCTCCCAAGTAGCTGGGACTACAGGCATCTGCCCCCAAGCTCAGCTTTCTTTTTAATCAACCTTTTTCTCTTGTTTACCTTTGTGGTTTTGAGTAGATAATACATTTGCCTCATTAATATATTTCCTGGATATGACTTCATGTTTGAATTTATTGATCCAACATATATAATTTTAACAACCAATTAGTATTTATTTCTTACTATTTCTTCTACTTAAAATACCACGAGCAGATAGAAAATACCTTAAGGTTAGCCAGGTGCAGTGGCTCACGCCTGTAATCCCAGCACTTTGGGAGGCTGAGGCGGGCGGATCACCTGAGGTCGGGAGTTCAAGACCAGCCTGACCAATGTGGAGAAATCCCATCTCTACTAAAAATACAAAATTAGCCAGGTGTGGTGGCATATGACTGTAATCCCAGCTACTCGGGAGGTTGAGGCACGAGAATTGCTTGAACCTGGGAGACGGAGTTTGTGGTGAGCCGAGATCGTACCATTGTACTCCAGCCCTGGGCAACAAGAGCAAAACTCCTTCTCAAAAAAAAAAAGAAAAGAAGGAAAATACCTTAAGGCAGCCAGGTGTGGTGGCTCATGCCTGTCATCCTAGCACTTTCGGAGGCCAAGGCTGGAGAATCACTTCAGGTGTGAGTTCAAGATCAGCCTGGGCAACATGGTGAAACCTTGTCTCTACAAAAAAATACAAAAACACCGGGCATGGGCCAGCTACTTTGGAGGCTGAGGTGGGAGGATTGCTTGAGCCTGGGAGGTTGAGGCTACAGTGAGCTGTGATTGAGCCATTGCACTCCAGCCTGGGTGACAGAGGGAGACCCTATCTCAAAAAAATAAAAAATAAAAACCATAAAAACATTTACAAAAAAATTTTTTAAAGGAAAAGAAAATATCAAGCTGGGCATGGTGGCTTATGCCTAAAATCCCAGCACTTTGGGAGGCCAAGGCGGGCAGATCACTTGAGTTAGGGGTTCAAGACCAGCCTTGCCAACATGTTGAAACTCCATGTCTACTAAAAATACAAAAAAAAATTAGTCTGGCATGGTGGCGTGTGCCTGTAATCCCAGCTACTAGGGAGGCTGAGGCACAAGAAATTGCTTGAACCTAGGACACAGAGGTGGCAATGAGCGGAGGTTGCACCACTGCACTCCAGCCTGGGCGACAGAGCAAGACTCTGTCTCAAAAAAAGAAAATATCTTAGGCTCCTTTTTGTTCTAACATCTAATGACCTTTTTTTTTTCACCAGTGGGCTAAGGTCGTACAATGGCTTTAGAATGTGAGCAAGCAGGAGATAGAGGTAGGAAGGGGCAGCATGCTTAACAAAAAAGAATGCCTCCATATCCAGGGCTCGGCCATACAACACCAGCTGCTATGCCTTATCATGGACTTCTCTCTCTTCACTCTGAGTGATTTACTTACAGATACCTCTTTTTAGATACTGGCCATATTCTCTCTCAGTATCTCCAAGTCAGGTCAGGTTAGGTATGGGACGGATGTGGCAGTGGTTTTGCGTATCCCTTGTCCCCTCCCATTATTGCCCTGCTCTCAGCTCATTGTCAAATTTCTGCAGCTGACAAACAAAAGCTGTGAGTAGAACTGTCAAGGAGTAAGTCATTTAACAGTTGAGCATAACAGGTTTAGACCTTTGGAGCATCCAAATTGTTTTCATTTGGGAAATAATTATTGGGAGTGGATTGGGAGCTGGAAAACACATATAGCTTAGAAAATATCTAAATAGGGAGCTGAGGCAGGAAAAAACTGGAGGAGCCATTCAATGTAGGATATTTGAGGTTGGATAGAGGGTTTTAGGAAGCTTCTAGGCTCCCACTTTAATTCCTAAGAATCCAAAGTTTAATGTATAAGCCCTATTTCTTCTTTATATCTTTAATCTTACAGGAATCTAATTTTCTTGCCTGATGCTATCCTTTTCCTTATGGAAATAACTGGCACCTGTGACGAAGGATGAGTCATTGGTTTATGTGATTTCCATTTGCAAAACTCCTTTTTTTTGTTTTTGTTTTCACTCAACATAGACCAATCTCCAGTTCAACAACAACAAGTACTATCTGATTCAGCTATTAGAAGATGATGCCCAGAGGAACTTCAGTGTTTGGATGAGATGGGGCCGAGGTAATGATTTTTATTGAGATTTTATGAGTTGGCATTCAGAAAGTCAGAAGCAGCTTAGTGGGTGGCCAAAGGATTCTCTGGGTTTAAATTGGGTCAGTAGAGGCTCTGAAGTCTGGGAGAGCCTTAGGAATCAAGTTGAGCATCTTGAAATTGGGGAATGGCAGGCATCCTCCTTAGAGTTCCCACTGGAAAAACTAAGAGCAGCCCATTGAGTCTGAAAACTCTTCTATAGTTGAACTGCTAGTAGTGCTCATAGACTATGGCAGTTAGCAAGTAACTTGTATCAACATGATTAGTTCCCTAAATCCTTTCACCTTTCCCTTCTCCCTTTCCTGCCTGTTTGTCAGATGTTAAGCAGAGAGATCTTGGAGAGCTGGCCTGTTACTCTTAGGGAACTATCTTATGTGTGGCATTTCCTTTGCAGTTGGGAAAATGGGACAGCACAGCCTGGTGGCTTGTTCAGGCAATCTCAACAAGGCCAAGGAAATCTTTCAGAAGAAGTGAGTGCTGAAAAGTGACTACAAAAAAATATACCCTCCTCTTCTTAGATGTATATTCTCTAAAAAATTTTTTTTTAGACAGTTTCACTCTTGTTGCCCAGGCTGGAGTGCAATGGCATGATCTGAGCTCACTGCAACCTCCACCTCCTGGGTTTAAGTGATTCTCCTGCCTCAGCCTCCCTAGTAGCTGGGATTACAGGCGCCCACCACCACGCCCAGCTAATTTTTGTATTTTTAATAGAGATGGGGTTTCGCCATGTTGGCCAGGCTGGTCTCGAACCCCTGACCTCAGGTGATCCGCCTGCCTCAGCCTCCCAAAGTGCGGGATTACAGGCGTGAGCCACCGTGCCCTGCCTTCTCTAAGAATTTTATAAGTGTGTGGCTTATAAAAAACTTTTCGTTTTATAGGTGTGATTTGGCCTAAATGTTAATGTCTTTTCACCCTGACATTCTGTGGTTGAAACACCAAACTGCATCCTTAGTGATTAAATCAAACTAATACCTTGAAAGTCACTAAAAACAGAAGAATCTAATATATTTAACACATGACTGACAAATTTAGGAAATTTGGGATAAGTGGAGACTATCCTGGGATAGATAATATTCAACTAGGGGCTGAGCACGGTGATGCCTGTAATCCCAGCACTTTGGGAGGTTGAGGCAGGAGGATTGCTTGAAGCTAGGAGTTTGAGACCAGCCTGGGCAACAAAGCGAGACCCCTGACTCTCCCCCAAAAAAAAGGAAAGAAAAAAAGAGAATATTCAGTTAGAATTTTTAAAACTTTATGATATAGATGAAGAACTTTCTGGAGAATTGGAGAACATGTTTCTTTCAGGGAAAGAGATTAGATGGATATCTTTTGTTTGAAATCTCAATGGCTTTTGTGGTGTTTGGGAAGGACAAGCATTGTTTTTCCCATTTTTTAAATTCCATTTGTCTCCAGAGCTTTTTTGTCCATTTAGTGTCCTCATTTAGAATTAGACTAATTTTGATTTATGGAAAGTTGATGTGTAAAGGAGCTCAGTGCTGGAAAATAAATTCTTTGGAGATTTTCTGTCTTGTAAGTCCATCTTCATAGTAGACCTTTATTTGTAAAGTTTTCTTACACCTTGGACTCTACAGATTCCTTGACAAAACGAAAAACAATTGGGAAGATCGAGAAAAGTTTGAGAAGGTGCCTGGAAAATATGATATGCTACAGATGGACTATGCCACCAATACTCAGGTAACTCTCACTATACTTTTCGAAAGAAACACATCTTCTTTTTTTATTTTATTTTTTAGAGGCAAAACTGTGCTCTGTTGCCCAGGCTGGGTGGCACAATCATGGCTCACTGCAGCCTCAAGATCCTCAGGCTCAAGTGATCCTCCCACCTCAGCCTCCTCAGTATCAGGAACTACAGGCACGTGCCACTCTGCCCAGCTGATTTTTTTTCTTTTTTTTTTGTAAAGATGAGGTTTCACTATGTTGCCCAGGCTGGTCTCGAATTCCTGGGCTCAAGCAGTCCTCTTGTCTTGGCCTCCCAAAGTCCTGAGATTACAAGCATGAGGCACCACACCTACTCCTGTTTCTTCTTACTCAGGGTAAAGCAGAATAGCTTAGATCATTCCTGGACTGGGACAGGCCAGGATATCTTGAATCCTTTCTACTTCTCACCTCAGGGGTGCTCTCACTGATCTTTGTAATCCCAAAGGGACAGTAAGAATGAGGATAGAATGTGCCTTTCTAGTCTTGGCTCTGTTATTTACTAAGGTTCTTTTTTTTTTTTTTGAGCTGGAGTTTGATTCTTGTTGCCCAGGTTGGAGTGCAATGGCTCAGTCTCAGCTCGCTGCAACCTCCAGCTCCCGGGTTCAAGCGATTCTTCTGCCTCAGCCTCTCAGGTAGCTGGGATTACAGGTGCCCGCCACTATGCCCAGCTAATTTTTTTTGTATTTTTAGTAGAGACAGGGTTTCATCATGTTGGCCAGTCTGGTCTTGAACTCGTGACCTTGGGTGATCTACCCGCCTCAGCTTCCCAAAGTGCTGGGATTACAGGCGTGAGCCATCACGCCCGGCCTACTAAGTTTCTTATAAAATCTTAGGCCCTATTTCCAGACGTTTATTGTTTTTTTCGTTTTTTTGTTTTTGTTTTTTTTTGATACGGAGTCTCGCTCTGTCGCCCAGGCTGGAGTGCAGTGGCGCGATCTCGGCTCACTGCACGCTCCGCCTCTGGGTTCACGCCATTCTCCTGCCTCAGCCTCCGGAGTAGCTGGGACTACAGGCGCCCGCCACCACGCCCGGCTAATTTTTTTTTGTATTTTTAGTAGAGACGGGGTTTCACCATGTTAGCCAGGATGGTCTCGATCTCCTGACATCATGATCCGCCCGTCTTGGCCTCCCAAAGTGCTGGGATTACAAGCGTGAGCCACTGCGGCTGGCACCAGAAGTTTATTGTTATGGACCAAGAGAGGAGTGATAAAAAATCAAACTGATTAAACAATTAACATTTAAATTTGTTTTCACTTCTGGATATATACCACCATAAAAAATTTAATTTAGATAAACTGAGGTATACCAGGATGCTGAAACTGTCCGGAAACAGTCACATATCCAAAAAAATGGAGAAGTTTTAGTCTTTTTTAAGATGGGAAGATCTGAGACATAATAGCTGTCTTTACACACTGACGTCATGAGGAAAGCCTTTTTTTTCTAGACTTATTCTGAGTTGTAAAATGTGGGAGGCAGAACTTGGATGGTCAACCCTCTATATCCATGGATTCAATGAACTGAGAATCAAAAATGTTTGAAAAATTGCTTCTGTACTGAACCTGTACAGCCTTTTTTTCCTTGCTTCTCATTATTCCCTAGACAGTGCAATATAAAAACTTTACAAAGCATTTACATTGTATAATATTGGGTGTTATAAGGAATCTAGAGATGATTTCTTAGATTGTCTTGTGTTTTGTTTGTTTTTTGCTATAGGATGAAGAGGAAACAAAGAAAGAGGAATCTCTTAAATCTCCCTTGAAGCCAGAGTCACAGCTAGATCTTCGGGTACAGGAGTTAATAAAGTTGATCTGTAATGTTCAGGCCATGGAAGAAATGATGATGGAAATGAAGTATAATACCAAGAAAGCCCCACTTGGTAGGACTTCACATTTTCTTCTGCATTCTCTCCTTATAATTCCTAGCTCCTTTAATGGATACTTTATTATCATTATGATTTAAAGCTTGCTCATAGTACTGAATGAAGAAAATGGGATTTGGGGTGACAGGTTGTATGGAGGGAAGAGGAACTATTTTGAAAGTTGAGGCTGGGTGTGATGGGTCATGCCTATAATCCCAACACTTTGGGAGGCCAAGGCAGGTGGATTGCTTGAGCCCAGGAGTTTGAAACCAGCCTGGGCAACATGGTGAGACCCCATCTCTACTAAAAATAGAAAAATTAGCCAGGCATGGTGGTGTGTGCCTGTGATCTAGCTACTTGCGAAGCTGAAGTGGGAGGATCACCGGAGCCCAGGAGGTTGAACTGCATTTAGCTGTGTTTGTGCCACGGCACTCAGCCTGGGCAACAGGAGTGAGACCCCATCTTAAAAACAGGAAAAAAAAAAGTTGAAAGATGAAAGTCTTTTTTAGGGAAGGATGTTAAGTACAGTTCACTAGATGGGATCCTAGTTTGGAGTCTGATCTCTGGGTGGGCCTGCAGGGAAGCTGACAGTGGCACAAATCAAGGCAGGTTACCAGTCTCTTAAGAAGATTGAGGATTGTATTCGGGCTGGCCAGCATGGACGAGCTCTCATGGAAGCATGCAATGAATTCTACACCAGGATTCCGCATGACTTTGGGTAAGGCCTGTGCTGTTACTTCACTTTGTTCTTCTACCTATACATATCCCCTGTATCCATCAGCAGCAGCTATAATCTTTTAAATCTTTTATTCCTAAGAAAATGATCGTCTTGAATAGGTACAGAAACAAAATGATATATAGGTAGCCTATTTAATCAGCTTACAAATATGGGATGCAATCTCCCGGCTTGACCACAGCCATATTCTCTGACAAAGTGGAAGTTACCAACCCAAGAGAGAATGGGTCTAGCTATCCAACCACCCAAGTAAAACACCTTCAGGCATATCACCCCCTTTTCCTATTTGAGTAACTAAAACCACACAAACACCATTTCTGTGAACTCAAGTGATATTAGATAGACAAAATAACATTTTACATTTGTTGATTCTGTTTTCTGGTTTACATCCGATTTCTATTTCTTTTATAGCTTTATAGAGCCCCGTGACCTAGAAATAACCCTGAGTGGTCAACAGGTCTACCTGTGCTTCTAGATAGAACTGTATCCAACTGTTCCCTGTTGATATCAATATAACTTATTTTTAAATGATTTTATAAAAAATAATTTTAACTCTAGTCTCAAAAGTCAAAATCCACATAGTTCATCTTATACCGAGTATATATTTAATATTATTTTATATATTTGGAAGTTAAGATCTCTTTACAGATCTCTTTCTCTCTCAAATGGAAAACCTGTTTCTCATACCTGTTTTCTAAAGGACCTATCTGTCATTTTCTATTTTTAGTCATGCGCCTTTTAGCCACATGTCAGAAAGCTCATTATGGGTTATATCTCTGTTCTTAGACTCCGTACTCCTCCACTAATCCGGACACAGAAGGAACTGTCAGAAAAAATACAATTACTAGAGGTGAGATATGTATGATTTGAGAAGTATTATATCCCTTATACCAGTGTCCTCCCACATTGATTCTATATCTCATCTTCTCAGGCTTTGGGAGACATTGAAATTGCTATTAAGCTGGTGAAAACAGAGCTACAAAGCCCAGAACACCCATTGGACCAACACTATAGAAACCTACATTGTGCCTTGCGCCCCCTTGACCATGAAAGTTATGAGTTCAAAGTAAGAAAAATGATCATTTATTTTCATATTCTTGCACCCTTAACCACCTCCCCCATCCCACTGTTCTCTAACTACTTCTTGTCAAGAGCAAATTGTCAATTAGGGCAGACTTTTTATGTACTAGGGATTTGGGAAGGCCAAGCTTTTCCTAGCTGCCTTGTAAGACTGTTTGGGAGCAGAAAGGTCTGCCAAGTTATATCAGAATCCCCAAATTCTTCAGTTCAGCTCAGTCTCTTGTAGAGTCTACATCAGCCTTTTTGTCTTATTTTTCACAGGTGATTTCCCAGTACCTACAATCTACCCATGCTCCCACACACAGCGACTATACCATGACCTTGCTGGATTTGTTTGAAGTGGAGAAGGATGGTGAGAAAGAAGCCTTCAGAGAGGACCTTCATAACAGGTCTGAGTCTAGCTTTGCGTTTGGAAAGACACTCCTTGCCCGAAAGTACAGCTGTAGAACTTATAAGAGGGAGTCAGAGGAAGGTGTTGGCTTTTTTATGCTTATGGCCTATCTGTGCAGAACAACAGAGTACAATAATATTGGCTTTTCCTTAGGATGCTTCTATGGCATGGTTCCAGGATGAGTAACTGGGTGGGAATCTTGAGCCATGGGCTTCGAATTGCCCCACCTGAAGCTCCCATCACAGGTTACATGGTGAGTGAAATTGAACTCTGGGAGGAGCACAGGGGAAAGGGATACAGTAATGTTCTCAGTGCTTTTTTTCCTAGATTAGGATTAGATGGTTCCCCTCCCCAAGAGTTAAGCCAGCTCACTGATAACCTTGTCATCTCTTACTGTGTCCCTCTTTCTTTAAATTCCTAAAGATACCTCACCTTTCCCTCAGAAGGCGGAAATTCACAGGGGCTTCTACCCTCTCTAGAACAGAATTGTGAGGGGAAATGGAGAAGGGTCTATATTGTGTTTAAGGGAATGGAAAAACAGGGTCAGTGGTATGCACCTTCTCTCTAACACAGTGGGTTAGAAGCTGACCTTGGTATTCATGTATATATTTCAGTTTGGGAAAGGAATCTACTTTGCTGACATGTCTTCCAAGAGTGCCAATTACTGCTTTGCCTCTCGCCTAAAGAATACAGGACTGCTGCTCTTATCAGAGGTGAGACAGGAGTATGTCTGTGATCTCTAGTTTATTAATTCCAGTTTTTTTCCGATGAGAAAAGTTTGACCCCAGAACCAAGAGGTTTACCTGGGATAGCTTGAGAGAGGACCAAGTACAATTTCTAGTACATTGGATTCCTCTGCTGGAGTAGGGGAAAAAAGTACTGATGGGATTTTCTGTTTGGCTTTGGAGCCATCTAATTCTTAGTAGGATATGGGAATTCAAAGGTTTTTTGCTTTGCAGGTAGCTCTAGGTCAGTGTAATGAACTACTAGAGGCCAATCCTAAGGCCGAAGGATTGCTTCAAGGTAAACATAGCACCAAGGGGCTGGGCAAGATGGCTCCCAGTTCTGCCCACTTCGTCACCCTGTAAGTACTCAGAACCAGGAGGACTAGAAGACTCCTTTTGGCCAGATAAGACTACGTTCTCTATTGCAGCTTCTGAACCAGAGACTGATGTTGACACACTTTTTTTCCATTTGGCAGGAATGGGAGTACAGTGCCATTAGGACCAGCAAGTGACACAGGAATTCTGAATCCAGATGGTTATACCCTCAACTACAATGAATATATTGTATATAACCCCAACCAGGTCCGTATGCGGTACCTTTTAAAGGTTCAGTTTAATTTCCTTCAGCTGTGGTGAATGTTGATATTAAATAAACCAGAGATCTGATCTTCAAGCAAGAAAATAAGCAGTGTTGTACTTGTGAATTTTGTGATATTTTATGTAATAAAAACTGTACAGGTCTACCACTGGCTTCTTCGGGCTTTATTTCTCCAAGAACATATTTCTTCTGACATTAGTAGATCTCCATTTCCAGGACAGAAATTACTCATTGCTCTGAGGGTTATTCAGTATCCTGTTCTTAGTGGCATCTGTGCATTGAGGGACACTAATGGGGGCGCTAATGCTTTTACCTGTTTAATTCAATTTTTCTGCAAACTGGAATTTGTTGAGTATTATCACAGGAAGGGTAGAGGCAACAAAGGCTAAGTCGTGTTTTTCTTTCCCATGCATATGTATTCACTTGCCTTTTTCAAATTTATCCACTGCAGCCTAGGTCTCCCACTACTCAACATCCTAGGACTCATCACATGTCCAAAAATTTGGGAAGCCCTTGGAGGACTGTCACTAAGCCTGAATACATCTTGAGGAGGAAAGGAAAAAAGTGGAATGAGTTTTTACATAACCTGCTCCAACTAAGAAGTACTAAAGTCCAGGTCAGATCCTGATATGGTTAGGCTTTGTGTCCCCATCCAAATCTCATCTTGAACTGTAATCCCCAGAATCCCCACATTTTAAGGGAGAGACCAGGTGGAGGTAACTGAATCATGGGGGCAGTTTCCCCCATGCTGTTCTTGTGATAGTGAGTGAGTTCTCACGAGATCTGATGGTTTTATAAGGGGCTCTTCCTACTTCGCTTGGCACTTCTCCTTCCTGCCACCCTGTGAAGAAGGGCTTCCCCTTCACCTTCCTCTATGATTGTAAATTTCCTGAGGCCTCCTCAGCCATGGTGAACTGTGAGTCAAACCTCTTTCCTTTATAAATTACCCAGTCTCGGGCAGTTCCTTATAGCAGTATGAAAACAGACTAATACAGATCCAAAGACTTCCTGATTGTATTTAAACACACAACACAGATAAACAACACACTTCCTTAAGTAACAGAGAAGTTTGTTTAAATTTTTCCTGTAACTTTTTAGAAACCAGGTTTCCAATATCTATCAAAATTTGAAATGTTCATGCCCTGTTGACCTAAAACTTACAGATATATATGTTTGCATAGATGTCACTGAGGCATTGGTGTACACAAAAAGATCATAGATAAGGAACTAGTCAAATATATCTACTCACTGAAGTAACCTGCTATTAAAACTGAAGTAGACTGCATACTTTTCCAAAGAATAGAAGAGAGGAAAATACTTTGCAACTAATTCTACAAAGCAGAATGAAACCAAAACCAGATGAAGATATCACAAGAAAATAAAATTATAGACCAATATCCCTTAACAATATAATTGCAAAAATCAACAAAATACTACCAAGCCTAATCCAGCAACATTATAAATGGACTATATACAATGATCAAGTGAGATTTATCACAGTAATGCAAGATTGAAAACCAAGGTAGGGCAAAAATCACATGATCATCTCAGATGCAGAAAAAGCATTTGGCAAAATGTAACATTTTTTCATAATGAAATAAAATCCAACAAAGTAGGAATGAAAGGGAGCTTCCTCCACCCTATGAAGAACATCTATGAAAAACTCACAGCTAACATTACAATGGTGAAAGATTGAAAGCTTATCCTCTAAGATCAGGAATAAGACCAAGATGTTTGCACTCACCACTTCCATTCAATATTGTACTGGAGGTTCTAACCATGGTACTTAAGCAAGAAAAAAAAGGCATCAAGATTAAAAAGGAGATAAAACTAAATTTGCAAATTACGTGATCTATAGAGAAGGCCCAAAAGAATCCATATTTAGAGCTAAAAAGTTCAGCAAGATTGTAGGATACAAGATGAATTGTATTTCTTTTTTTTTCTTTTTCTTTTTTTTTTTGAGACGGAGTGTCTTGCTCTGTTGCCCAGACTGGAGTGCAGTGGCGCAATCTTGGTTCACTGCAACCTCCACCTCCCGGGCTCAAGTGATTCTCCTGCCTCAGCCTCCCGAGGAGCTGGGGCTACAGGTGCCCACCACCACGCCTGCCTAATTTTTGTATTCTTAGTAAAGACAGGGTTTCACCATATTAGCCAGGCTGGTCTCGAACTCCTTACCTTGTGATCCTCCCACCTCAGCCTCCCAAAGTGCTGGGATTACAGGCATGAGCCACTACACCCAGCCTGTATTTCTTTTTATTTTATTTATTTTTCTGGAGATGGCATTTTACTCTTGTTGCCCAGGCTGGAGTGCAATGGTGAGATCTCAGCTCACTGCAACCTCTGCCTCCGGGTTCAAGTGATTCTCCTGCTTCAGCCTCCCGCCTCGGCTTCCCAACTAGCTGGGATTACAGGCATGTGCCACCATGCCTGGCTAATTTTTGTATTATTAGTAGAGACAGGGTTTCACCATGTTGGGCCCAGGCTGGTCTTGAACTCCTGACCTTAGGTGATCCACCCACCTTGGCCTCCCAAAGTGCTGGCATTACAGGTGTGAGCCACCACGCCTGGCCTATGAATTGTATTTCTATTTCTACACACTAGTAAAGAATAATCTGAAAAATTAAGAAAACAATTCCATTTATAATAGCGTCAGAAAGAATAAAACACTAGGAATAGATTTAACCAAAGAAGCATGAAACTTGTACACTGATAACTACAAAACTATTGAAAAACATTCAAGGCCACCTTTATTTATTTATTTATTTATTTATCTGAGACAGAGTCTTGTTCTGTTGCCCAGGCTGGAGTGCAGTGGCACAATCTTCCCTTAATGCAACCTCTGCCTCCCGGGTTCAAGTGATTTTCCGGCCTCAGCCTCCCAAGTAGCTGGGATTACAGGTGTGCACCGCCACACCCAGCTAATTTTTGTATTTTTAGTAGAGATGGGGTTTCACCATGTTGGCAGGCTGGTCTTGAACTCCTGACCTCAAGGCCCACCTCAGTCTCCCAAAGTGCTGGGATTACACACTTGAGCCACCATACCCAGCTAAGACCTATTTATTTAGGTCTTGAATTTCTGTCAACAGTTCTGTAGTTTTCAATCTACAAGTGTTCGTAGATTGGAAAATTTATTATTAAAATGGTAATACTTCCCAGAGCAACCTATAGATTCCATACAATTCCTATTAAAATTCCATTATCCTTTTTTTTTGCAGAAATGGCCAAGAAAAATTCATAAGGAATTACAAAGATCATGAATAACAAAAACAATCTTGAAAAAGCTACAGTACTCAAGACAATGTGATAATGACATAGGATAGACATAGAAATCAATGGGATAGAATTGAGAGTCTGGATATAAACCCAAGCAAATATGGTCAATTGGTTTTCAACAAGGGTGCCAAGACCATTCAATGGGGGAAAAATAGTCTTTTCAACAAATGGTGCTGGGACGACTTGGATATCCACATGCAAAGTAATAAATTAGGAACACTATCTCACACTACGTAAAAATTAAAATGGATCAAAGGCCTAAATGTAAGCTAAAACTAAAAAGCTCTTAGAGCATAAGGAGAAATCTCTGTGACCTTGGATTAAGCAACAGTTTCTTAAATATGACACCAATGCACAAGCAAGCAAAAGAAATAAGTTGGTCTTCGTCAAAATTTAAAACTCTTGGCCGGGTGTGGTGGCTCACGCCTGTAATTCCAGCACTTTGGGAGCCAGAGGCAGGCAGATCATCTGAGGTCAGGAGTTTGAGACCAGCCTGGCCAACATGGTGAAACCCCATCTCTAGCAAAAATATGAAAAATTAGCCAGGCGTGGTGGCATTTGCCTGTAATTCCAGCTACTCAGGAGGCTAAGGCCTGAGACTAACAAATCTCGGCAAAGATATGGACAAATAAAAATCCTCACACATTGCTAGTGCGAATATAAAGTGGTGCAGCTGCTTTGGAAAAGCTTGGCAGTTCCTCAAATAGTTGAACATAAGAGTTATCAGGACCTAGCAATTCCACTACTAGGTGTATAACCAAGAGAATAAAAAAGCAATGTTCACACAAAAATTTGTACATGCATATTGATAGCAACAATATTTATAATAGCCAAGAAGTAGAAACACTCCAAACATCCATCAACCAATAAATGGATAAACAAAATGTGGTTTATTCCTGTTAGATATGTTAACTATCTTGACCGTGGTAATAATTTTATTAATATATATATATGTCAAGCTTTATCGAATTGTGTATTTTAAATATGTGTGGTTTATTGCATGCCAATCATAACTCAATAAAGCTGTAAAAACATAAAAAGTATATCCATCCAATGCAATATTATTCCGTCATAAAATGGAATGAAGTACTGATACTGCATGGATGAACCTTGAAAACATTATTCTAATTGAAAGAAGCCACACAGGTCACATATTATATGATTCCATTTATCCGAAATGTCCAGACTAGGCAAATTCATAGATACAGAAAGTAGATTAGTGGTTGCCAGTGGCTGGAGGAAGAGAGAGGGGAGTGATTGCTAATGGAGTCAAGGTTTCTTGGTGGGGTGATTAAAATGTTCCAGGATTAGCGGTAATGGTTGCATAATTTGTGAATATACTAAGAACCACAGAACCGTACACTTCATAAGGGTGAAAATGAATTACAGGCCAGGCACGGTGGCTTACGCCTGTAATCCCAGCATTTTGGGAGGCCAGGGCGGGTGAATCACTTGAGGCCAGGAGTTCAAGACCAGCCCGGCCAACATGGTGAAACCCTGTCTCTACTAAAAATACAAAAATTAGCCGGGCGTGATGGCACATGCCTGTAATCCCAGCTAGTCAGGAGGCTGAAGCAGGAGAATCGCTTGAACCCAGGAGGCGGAGGTTGCAGTGAGTCAAGATCACACCACTGTACTCCAGCCTGGGCAACAGAGTAAGACCCTGTCTCAAAAAAACCAGACAAACAAACAAACAACAACAAAAAGAAAATGAATTATATCACAATAAAAATATACCAAGTTTTTGTAATATAAATATATATATATATATAGGGGGATCACTTGAACCCAGGAGTTTGAGAGTACAGTGAGCTCTGATCATGTCACTGCACTCCAGCCTGGGTGACAGAGCAAGATCCAGTCTCAAAAAAAGAAAGGAAATCAGAAATAATTTCAATAACTAAATGTCAAAGGGAAATAGAAAGTATCAGGGAAAATGGAGGTGAATAGAAAATCATGATTAGAAAACCGCACTAATAATACTGCAGTCAAGATCCATGGATGAATGCTAAGATTAGTCGGGAAAATGATATTTGCATAGCCTCAAAAAACCTACCTCCAGATGTATAAATTTCTTTGATACCTCTCTCTTCTAGAGGTTTTCTTTCCTTCCCCTTGAGTATGGGCTGGACTTAGTGACCCGCTTCTAACAGAAGGTATGGCAAAAATACCTGGCAAATATCACTTTAACTTTAAAAGTGATCAAGGTTAACACCACCAGTTATAAGTTATGTTAATATCATATGCACCCAATAGGATGCAGTATGAAGGCACATCATCTCTTGAATTCATCCATTAAATCCATAATCTCAGCCTATTCATGAAAAAACAGAAAACAAAACCAAACTGAAGAACATTCTACGACATTCTTCACTCTTGTTGCCTAGGCTGGAGTGCAGTGATGTGATACTCGGGAGGCTGGGGCAGGAGGATCACTGAGCCCTAGAGACATGGGTTGCGGTGAGCTGTGATTGCACCACCACGCTCCAGCTTGGGCAACAGACTGAGACCCTGTCTCAAGAATAAATAAATAAATAAATAAATTTATTTTTTAAAAGTGTCAAGATTTTGAAAAGACTGAAAATCTGTCACAGTTGGAGGAGACTGAGAAAACGCAATGACTAAATGCAATGTGGGATCCTGGATTGGCTTCTGGAACAAAACAAAGTCGTTAGCGGAAAAATTGGGCAAATCCAAATCCTGACTGTAATTTAATTAACATTTTTAAATTAACTTACTGGTAATTTAATTAACAAATGTTAATTTCCTAGTTTTGATAAATGTAGCATGGTTATGTAAGATGTTAACATTAGAAGAAGCTGGGTGAAGGGTATCGAGGAACACTTTGTACTATCTTTGCAACTCTTCTGTAAATCTTACATTTTTTTTTATTTTTTAGAGACGGAATTTTGCTCTTGTTGCTGAGGCTGGAGTGCAATGGTGTGATCTCAGCTCACTGCAACCTCCGCCTCCCGAGTTCAAGCGATTCTACTGCCTCAGCCCCCAGAGTAGCTGGGATTACAGGTGCATGCCACCACGCCCAGCTAATTTTTATATTTTTAATAGAGACAGGGTTTCACCATGCTGGCCAGACTGGTCTTGAACCCCTGACCTCAGGTGATCTGCTCTCCTCAGCCTCCCAAAGTGCTGGGATTACAGGCTTGAGCCACTGCGCCCAGCCTAAATCTTACATTATTAAAAAAGAAGGATTAAGAGCCATTCTAGTGGGAAAGCACCAACACAGATATGTTCTTTGGGGATGTCATCTGTGTATTGGCTCCTGGTTCTTCTTTCAGACACATCGTAGGATACTTCCTCCCCATCCCTTGACATTAGGTATGGCCACGTGACTTGCTTTGCTTGTATTTATTAAATATGAGTGGAAGTGATGTGTTTTATTTCCAAGTGGAAGATTGAAGAGTTACTCGCCACGTGAAGCACAGAGCTCAAAATATGCGCAAAGTAGAGCAGGGCCTTCTCGCTGACCCTTAACGGGCCATGTGGCATGATTTAGAAATAAATCTTTGCTATTTTAAGTTGTTGAGATTTTGGGGTTGTTATGATAGCATAACTTTAATATTTTAACTGATAAAGAAACATACCCATCGTTCTGGATGAGAAGATTAGGTATTTGGAGGGTGGGAGGAGGGAGAAGATCAAGAAAAACAACTAATGGGTACTAGGCTTAATACCCGGGTGATGAAATAAACTGTACAACAAACCTCCATGACACAAGTTTACCTATGTAACAGACCTGCACTTGTACCCCTGAACTTAGAAAGAATACGAGTTTCACATTTTTTTGAAAACTAAAAAATTCGGTCCAGATTTTCTGATTGATTAAATATATACTAATAAATAAGACATTTATGAGAAAGAATAATGAGGTGATACTCGTACTGCTAGGTAACAAAAAGAACAGTCAAGTTAGCACTTATTGAATACTTACCACAAAAGTGTCACTGTTCTGTGTTTTACACCTTAACTCATTTAGTCCTTAAAACACTCCCATGAAGTAAGCACCATTATTATGGCTGTTGTACAAATGGGGGAAAGGAGGCATGAAGATTTGAACTCAGGCAGTCTTATTCCAAGTCCATGCTTTTTGCTGCTGTTACCCAGTCTCTCTAGAGTAGTGCTTCTCAAACCTTCTGAGATGAAGGACTAATTGTTCCTTTGTCTTTCTTTCTTCCTTCCTGCCTCCCTCCCGCCCTCCCTCTCTCTTTCTTGCTTTCTTTTTTTTCTTTTTTTTTTTTTTTTGACCAAGTTTCATTCTTGTTGCCCAGCCTGGAGTGCAATGATGCGATCTCGGCTCACTGCAACCTCTGCCCCCTGAGTTCAAGCGATTCTCCTGCCTCAGCCCCCCAAGTAGCTGGGATTACAGGTGCCTGCCACCATGCCCAGCTAATTTTTTGTATTTTTAGTAGAGACGGGGTTTCACCATATTGGCCAGGCTCGCCTCGAACTCCAGACCCCAGGTGATCCACCCGCCTTGGCCTTTCAAAGTGCTGGGATTATAGGCGTGAGCCACCGTGCCTGGCCTGTTTTAATTTCTTATCTGTCACGGAATAATACTTTTATAAAATATAATCAAAATGGATTATTAAGAAAATGAAATTAAAAAGCACACAAAATACAAGCCTCCATTTTTATTATTAAATTTGTCAGATATTACTTTTTAAATTCCTACACAGTTTCTAAATGGTTACTCTCAACTTCCGTACTTATCTCATTATAAAACATTAACAATTTGTGAACTGGCACTAGTCCATGAACCAAACTTTGAGTACCTCTGCTCTAGATTTCAAAAACAGATGTGGATATATGTGTAAAAATTTGGTATATAAAAAAGATGCTTTTCTAGATGGGTAGAAGAAAAGATTGTTCAAATGTCCTATGGTCTCACAATCCAGTGGTTATAACTGTAAAACTCATCCAGCCTTTGGGAGACACTGAAACTCCATTTAAAGATAAGAACTTGAAGGATGTTTAATGTAAACCTAAATTGATTTTCCCTTCAACTCCTTTTGGGTACATAATTACTTTTACCTAGAAGCTGTTCTTGACTTTACTCATAACAATTATACCATGACCTCACTGTCCTTCTCCAAGATGAAACAAAAAACCCTTCAAGTGGGCCTGGCCAACAAGACTGAATCTATTGAGCCTATTGGTCAAGTTAGCCTTTGCTTAACTTTCCCCAACCCCTTCACTCCAGCCTTAGCTGGGATGCTTTTATATAATTTTCAGAGCATGGAAGAGAGACAAATAGAGCTTCCTCCTGCAATTGGCCCAAGATTTTAGGGGAGCAAAAGGCAAAAGATTGAAATCAATGACTAGGATGATGCCATGCCATAGTTCGCTGCAGGATTTCTGGCAAGGATTATGGATCATAAATTTCAAAATACCATAACTAGGACTTCTAGTCACAAGGTAGATGTGGAAATGATGGTCCAGAAGGTATATTTCGAGGCTTGGCATGAGGCACATAAGAGAAGACAGAAGCATGGCCTATCAGCGGATGTCATCATCCTCTGGTCAGGATGGAAACCAGGGCATTGGATAGAAATAAAGTCCCTCAGGTTATTTCTCCATGTAAAACCTGGAATCAGGGTACAGTGAGAGTAAAACTCAGTGCCCTTTAACTCCCCAAGTCTTCAAAACTCATTTCTAGACCAGGGTGTAGTGGTATTTCTCCAAGAGAAACCTACCAAACCAGGACAAAATCCCTGTAATAGCCTTCACTTATCTCCTACAAGTCCTTGAATTCTTGGCCACAGAAGACATTTCCTTCTTCTTTAACCCTCAGAAAGAAAGGGCCTGAGGAAACTAAAGTCAGTGGTTTCAATCTTTTGCCTTTTGCTCTCCTAAAAGCATGGGCCAAGGGCAGGAGGAAGCTCTAGTTGTCTGTCTCCCATGCTCTGAAAATTCTACAAAACACCCCAGCTAAGGCTGGAGTAACAGAGGAGGAAAGTTAAGCAAAGGCTAACCTGCTCAATAGATTCTTCCATATGATTGAATTTTAGAAATATAATAAAGTTCTTTTATGGGCCGGGCACAATGGCTCACGCCTGTAATCCCAGAACTTTAAGAGGCTGAGGTGTGCAGATAACCTGAGGTCAGGAGTTTGAGACCCACCTGGCCAACATGGTGAAACTTCGTCTCTACTGAAATACAAAAATTAGCTGGGCGTGGTGGTGGGCACCTGTAATCCCAGCTACTCGGGAGGCTAAGGCAGGAGAATCGCTTGAACCCAGGAAGCAGAGGTTGCACTGAGCTGAGATTGCACCATTGCACTCCAGCCTAGGTGACAGAGCCAGACTCTATCTCAAAAACAAAAAAAAAAAAAAAAGGTTTTTTACTTAAGAAAATCAGAGTTCATGGCTATGATTGTGCCACCTCTCAATTAGTTTTAATCTTTGTGAATTTCAATTTGAGAGAGAGTAAGACACTTTCGTGATCTCTTCTGAGAATGCCAATTACCATATTGACTAAAGTTGAAAGTCGTGTCAGAAGTTGGGAAAACCAGAAGGTTTGTTCCGCTTTCAATGGCTTGGCTCCTCACCTCTCATCTGGGTAGTTCTTTTTTTTTTTTTTTAGACAGAGTCTCGCTCTGTTGCCCAGGCTGGAGTGCAGTGGTGTCTCGGCTCACTGCAAGCTCCGCCTCCTGGGTTCACGCCATTCTCCTGCCTCAGCCTCCCAAGTAGCTGGGACTACAGGTGCCCGCCGCCACACCTGGCTAACTTTTTGTATTTTTTAGTAGAGACAGGGTTTCACTATGTTAGCCAGGATGGTCTTGATCTCCTGACCTCGTGATCTGCCCACCTCGGCCTCCCAAAGTGCTGGGATTACAAGCGTGAGCCACCATGCCCGGCCTCCTCTGGGTAGTTCTGAGAAAAGGGCTGTCTCTGTGACAGAAACATAGCTCTTTCTAAATGCCCTGATGCATGACTGACTTATTCTCCCTCCCTCATTCTTTCCCGATGAACTGAAAGGTCTTCCATGCTCTGTTCAAATTGAATGTTGGCCAACATCACTCTCATTCCTCCTCCTGGCAAGAATGGCATCCTAGGGTCCTAGGGCCCGCGAGTGATGCAAGAATTCTAAAACCTAGTTTCAAAAGAGTACCTACTAAAGATTTCATTCACTTTCTTGTGGTTCTAGTAAGGATTAATGTTGAATAAGAAGAGACACACATTAGAATGTACATATACATACACATAGAATATCCTCCTGTTCTAAATCCACATGAGAACACAGGCAGGCCTACACTTGAGATTTTTTGACACTTCATTTTTATAATTATCAAGAAATTATTAATTTTATAATTATTAAAAGCTACCAGTGTCTTCAGGCTTTGCATCTCTAGCACAAGGGGTATCATTATTCCCGAGTGGCACATCTTCATTCCCAATTCAGAAAGTACACATTGCCCTGCACGTCTCCCACGGCAAGCTGCAGGGTGGAGTTAGCGCCCAGCCAAGGTTCCAGGCAGCTCACTGACCCTTCGCATCGGAACAGGCCCAGCTACGATGGGAACAAAAATAGGGGAGGTCAGGGCTACAAGCCTCCTTACTAACTTATTTTTTCTCACATTAATGCCTTTTATTTAGAAACAGGTTAGTCATACATTGCAAGTGATTGAAGAAAACAGAATTTTGATCTTTTGCCCTTTCTTACTCTAAGTTTGCTGTCTTGTGACATCCCTTTGGGATAGGTGTGCAGGCGCACGCACACACACACACACACACACACACACACTTACCAGCTGCATACTGGGTCTCTCCCATAGCTTAACATCTCTGTCCTTCGAAGCTGTCACCAGCAACTCAGGTAGCACATGGAGGGCTGTGACAGAGCCCGAGTGAATCTCAAAGAGGAAAGGGGAGAGCAGAATGGTGAGTTCTCAGGGGCCCCTCCTCAGAGAAGCATCACAATGTGCTGTGTCAGACCTACAGCCCTCCTCCCTTAGTATTTCTTTTTTTTTTTTTTGAGACAAGAGTCTCGCTCTGTCGCCCAGGCTGGAGTGCAGTGGCGCAATCTCGGCTCACCGCAAGCTCTGCCTCCCGGGTTCACACCATTCTCCTGCCTCAGACTCCCGAGTAGCTGGGACTACAGGCACCCGCCACCACGCCCAGCTAATTTTTTGTATTTTTTAGTAGAGATGGGGTTTCACCGTGTTAGCCAGGATGGTCTTGATCTCCTGACCTCATTATCTGCCCGCCTAGGCCTCCCAAAGTGCTGGGATTATAGGTGTGAGCCACTGCTCCCAGCCCTCCCCTAGTATTTCTGACCCTTCCTTCAAACTCACCTTTCTACGCTGCCGTGTCTTTAGATGTGGTGTTGGCTCACTATCCATGCTGGCATCACTATCCATGCTGGCATCAGATTCCCTGCAGGTAGATGGGTCTGTCCCTGGAGTTTGGGTTTCTGGAGTGTTTGCTTTTTTCTGCCACATGTTACCTGTGGTCCATTCTCCTTCTGGGCTGCATTTGGCCAGGTTCCATAGGATCCCATCAGAGCTGGCACACAAAAATGAGGACTCTGCCATTTTAAGGACAGAATTAGAGCCAAGTCTCAGGGATCTGCCATCCACCCTGGGCCATCTCCCGGCTCCTCAGGTCCTCCTGTTACCACTCACCAGATTCAGGTTTGGCTTGAGTTATCGATATTAGGGTCCTACTAGGATTCTCTAAGTTTATATCAAAGTTCAGCCTCTCTTCAAACTCTCCTGATTCCTTTTGCCTCTGTGAAAGAATAGGTAATTTTGTTTAGCCTACCCATATGAGTCAACTTGTACCAGACAAAACAACAGTTTTCTGCTCTGGGCTGGTCAGGAATTTTTTTTTTTTTTAACTACAACTTAGATACAATCAAGTGCGCAAATTTTTTTTTTTTTGAGACGGAGTCTCACTCTGTCGCCCAGGCTGGAGTGCAGTGGCGTGATCTCGGTTCACTGCAACCTCTGCCTCCTGGGTTCAAGCGATTATCCTGCCTCAGCCTCCCAAGTAGCTGGGAACACCGGCGTGCGCCACCACACCCAGCTGATTTTTTTATTTTTAGTAAAGATGGGGTTTCACCATGTGGGCCAGGCTGGTCTCGAACTCCTGGCCTCAGGTGATCCACTGGCCTTGGCCTCCCAAAGTGCTGGGATTACAGGCGTGAGCCACTACACCTGGGTAAGTGCACAAATCTTAAATGTACATCGGCGATGTATTTTTACATGTGCATCCACCCATGCAGTCACCCGACAGATCAAGATGTAGAGCATTTCCATCACCTCAGAAAATTGCCCTTATGTCCCTTTCCCATCAATACCAGACCATCACCACAAAAGCTAAAAATATTCTAATGTCTGTCAACTGAAATTAGTCTTGCTTGTTCTTGAAACTTCATTTAGGTGAAATCATATAGTATGTACTCCTTTGTAACTGGCTTCCTTTGCCCAGAATAATGTCTACGAGGTATGTCTGTATTATTCCATTCATCAGCATGCAGTATCACATTAATTTTTTTGCCATGTAGTATTCCATTGTATAGATATACCACAAATTATTTATCCCCTTTCTATTTATTAATATTTAGCTATGATGAATAAAGCTGCTATGAAGATTCTTGTACCCGGCTTTGCAGAATGTATGTACTCCTTTCTCTTAGGTATATATTTAGGAGTGGAATCACTGGGTCAAGCATAGGCTTTAGTAGATAACTTTAGTGGGTAGCAGGTCAGGATTTAATAACCTTCCCAATAACAAGCGGCTCCCAGGAAACTGCATTTGAAGTGAACAGCTAGCTTTGGCACACTCAATCCAAAAAGTGTTGAACATCTATTAAGTAACTGCTAAGTATGATGACAAAAACAAGATGGAGTCCTTGCCCTCAAGATGCTATTATTCATAGGGGCAAGACAAGAGAGACACGGGAAAAAATGCAATTGAGAAAACTTCTAGGTTTATGGTTTCCTATGGCTTTCTAAAACGGTAGAGTCCTTTCTTGTACCAGTGAAATCTTACATGGGAACCCAATACACAATGTCCTAAATTAGAACTGCTCCAGTTGAAGGAGGATAAGAGGATTTGCAGCCAACTGCCTTTCCCTTCCCTATCCTCCATGACGGGCCCCAAGGTGTAAAAACACTGGTCCTAGACGAATGTTTGCTTTAGCACACACTCAAATAGGACTTACCAAGAAAGAAAGAACTCCAGGATCCTTGGGCTGCAGGACAAATATGCCATACTCCTTGTGGGTGGACAATATCATAGGATTTTCTGTATAGCTGCTCCTGGTTTGTGAGAAAGGAATAGGTTGAGCTCAGGATTTAAAGAGAGGTAAAGAGAAGAACACCTCTCTTTAAGACTCCAGAGTTTTCTTCTAAGTTAGACTCAACCTCAGGATAACCACTAACTCAGGTTTCCTTTTTCCCCAGCTCAGGAGGAAATGGCATTTTGGATCTTACCAGATTTCAGATGGAGCATCCCCTGGCTTCATGCAAAGTAACTTCAAATCTGCTTTGGCCAAGATGAGAAAGTGACCATCAGGAGCCCAATCCAGACTTGTCAGCACCCCTAAGTCCTCCTGTAGAATTCGGTTCAGGTGAAGACTAGCTCAAAAAAGTACATGGACAGAGAAAGATCCTATTTTAGTTAACCTTTCTCAGGCTCCTCAATCCCACATGAATTCCTCAGGAATGAAGTACAAAGCAAAATGTATCACCTTCCCTGAAAATCCTGTTCCACTTTCTGGTTTTTGTTTTTTAACATTAGTATTCATCGGTGCCATCCCATTACTTGCTCAAACTAGGAATCTCTAACATTCTTGGCTTTTCCTTCCCTCTCTACCTCCAACTCACCAGTAAGGCCTGTGGATGCAACACATGCCTAAATCCGTATCTCCCCTTCTCATCTCCACAGCCCAGGTCAGGCCCACATTACGTCTTTCCTAGGCTATAGCTACAGGTGTAAATGTGGTCTCCTTACCTTTAGTATCTCTCTACTACCATCCATCTTCCATACTGCCACCAGTTCTCTTTATAAAATCCAGATAATTATTCCACCCAAAATTCTTAGCACTGTGCCCTCTACAGCCTGACCCCAGTTTATCTATTCAATTCCATTTCCCTTACTCCCACCAGGAATCCAAGGAGCTGGCTATACCCAGAATATACTACATACTCTCAACATCTCCATATCTTCTGTACATGTTCCTTCCTCTTCCTGAAACACTGTTCCCTTCTCTTACTGGTCCAGAAAACTCCTACTCATTCTGTAAGTGTCCAACCTTAAATACCAACTCCTTCCCACAATTTCTCAAATTTTGAAGCCCCAGGAATATGTGTGTGTGTGTGTGTATGTGTGTGTGTGTGTGTGTGTGTGTGTGTGTGTATCTTCATTATAGCACTAGTCAGTCTGAATAGTGCTGCTGGTTTAAATATATGCACATTCCTCTACTGTGAGCTTCCTTAATTAAAGGATGAATTTCATCTGTAACTGGTTCATACTGCCTGGCCCAGAGCTTGGCATCAAGTAGGCACCTGAGAATTATTCATTTACATTGCCATGGACAGAAGCAGAAAATAATGTCCCACTCAGTAACTAACATCCAATTGACCTAGTTCAGAAGCAGAAGTGCAGTAATTTGGGTAAAATGCCAGGAGTGAGGAGACTGCTGTTTCTATCCCATTAACCCATCAGCCTGTTTCACCTCAAATTTCCGGGTGCCGAACCCTTCCGCAGTTTCACTTGCCACTCGCTGATTTTCTCATCAGCACTGAGGACAAAAAAGGTGTGTGCCGAGGACCAGATCAGAGCACCAATGTGGCCTGGAGCCTGGTGTACACAACAAGTTCAATTCAGTGCTTCTGATGAGCCAGGATGCACCATCTTTTCCCTCCCAGGCACATATGCAACCTCTAACGCCCAGTAAATACACAGCCAGGGTAGAATTCACACAGACAAAGAACCAAGGGTACACCGACTCACCTGTGCTGTGGCCACAGCCTTAGCTTCCTGCCACAAGATTAGTTCCCCAGCTTGATTTCCAGATACTGCCATGGAACCATCTGGTGCCCAAGCCACAGCAGTGACGGCTGCAGAACTCCTTGGTATACATGTGTCATCTGGAGGAGAAAGGACGTGTTTCATTAGGAGCTGGGATACTGCTGGGATAAGAGATATCAGGCCACCCTTGACCTTTTTTTGTGCCAGTAACACACCCTGTCTCTCTCCAAGCCTCACTCACCTGCTTCCTTAGGAACCTGCCAGAGCCGTACAGAACCATCCTCAGAGGCGGTCAGCATGAGGCCTGAGGTTTCTGAAACAGCAGCAGCACGGACTGGGCCGCTGTGTCCCAGGAGGGTGTGGGTTTGGCACACCTAGGAGGAAGGGATGGAGATGGGCTCATGAGAGTGGGCACAACAGAAGGTTATTCCGCATACCTTCCCCACCTCCCTTGACTCTGGTCCTTGCAGGAACTCACCAAGAGTGGATGCCATAACCGTGTGGCCCCATCTAGCCCGACGGTTACCACCAGAAGCTCTGACCCAGGCTGTCCAGCTGATAAGACACAGAGACTGAGTCAGAAGAAGGGACGGAGCAGGGGAGAAAAGAAGAGACAGCAGGGAAGGGGAGGTGGCTGACGTTTTGTTACCTGCACGGGGCTCCATGGCAGCTGCACAGTGGCTAATGGGTCCTGAGTGAGCAGGGATGCTGGTCAGCTCCACGCCTTGATGGTCCCACACTTTCAAGGTCCCATCCCGGCTCACAGACACCACGTGCTCCTCCTGCCCACAGAGCACAAGATCAGAGCAGAGTCATATTGAGCAGGACATGGGAAACAGAACTTCCTCCACAGAGGTGGGTGGAGCATTAGGAGCATGGAAGATGTCAATGAGGGAGGAGAACTCAGGAACAGTGGGGTTGGGTGGCTCAGGACAGTGGGGTCGGGTGGCTCAAGTTCATGATACCAAGAGGCTGTGTTTTCATGCTCTCCTCTCTCCCTTTACACCAACCCTTAGCCTCAACACCATAATCCAATCCCAAGTATCTCATTTTCTTTTTCTCTTTTTTTTTTTTTTAAAGATAGGGTCTCACTCTGTTACACTGGAGGCTGGAGTGCAGTGGTTTGATCATAGCTCACTGTAGCCTTGAAATCCTGGGCTCAAGTGATCTCTCGCCTCAGCCTCCTGAGTAGCTAGAACTACAGGCATGTACCATGGTACCCAGCTAATTTTTATTTTTATTTTTTATAGAGATGGGGGGTCTTCCTATGTTGCCTAATCTCTAGGTATCTCATTTTTATGCTCATTTTGCCTCTGGGATTAGATACTCCATGCACCGTCTCCCAAAGCCCCCTTAGCCCTTCCAGAGACCCCCCAGTGGGATCTCCATTGCTTTCTCACCACAGCTGCCACAGCGCTCACAGCACTCTGATGACCCAGGAACTGACCAAGCCGCTGTCCTGACTCTGGGTCCCAGAGCCCCACAGAGCCATCACTGGAGCAGGATATCTACAGAGTCAGAAGTCAGAGGAGTGGGATTATCAGCATCCCTCCAGCATTTTGGTATATCTGTAGTGTAGGGTGGAAGGCGGTTAGCCACGTAATTAAGGGCCTGGGTTCTCCTGGGTTCAAATCCTAGCTCTGTCACTCATTACTTTCTGCTTTGTGGTCTGTTTCTCTTTCTGAGCCTTGGGTTTCCCAACTATTTAATGAGTATAATGATAATGTACCTATCTGATATGGTGGTTGTGGGGCTGAGTGCGTCTACATAAAGGACTTAGGCTGGGCACGGTGGCTCATGCCTGTAATCCCAATACTTTGGGAGGCCGAGGCAGGTGGATCGCCTGAGGTCAGGAGTTCAAGACCAGCCTGGCCAACATGAGGAAACCCCATCTCTACTAAAAATACAAAAAATTAGCTGGGCATGGTGGCAGGTGCCTATAATCTCAGCTACTCAGGAGGCTGAGGCAGGAGAATCATTCGAACCTGGGAGGTGGAGATTGCAGTGAGCAGAGATTGCGCCACTGCACTCCAGCCTGGGCAACAAGAACGAAACTCTGTCTCAAAACAAAAAAAAAAAAAAGGACTTAGCATGCTGCCTGGCACACAGTGAGCATATAATAAATGGTAGCTATTGTCCATATTATTATTGTTATTATTTTGAGATGGAGTTTCACTCTTGTTGCCCAGGCTGGAGTGCAATGGCGCGACCTCTGCCTCCCGGGTTCAAGTTATTCTCCTGCCTCAGCCTTCTGAGTAGCTGGGATTACAGGCATGTGTCACCACGCCTGGCTAATTTTGTATCTTTAGTAGAGACAGGGTTTCTCCATGTTGGTCAGCCTGGTCTTGAACTCCTGGCCTCGTGATCCACTCGCCTCGGCCTCCCAAAGTGCTGGGATTACAGGTGTGAGCCACCGTGCCCAGACCTAGGCTTTCTTATTAGAGAGTTCCCTGGCTCAGCTTCATCATTGACCTTGGAAATGTTCTGAGTTCAATTTCCTTGTCTGAAAAATAGAGATAAAAGGAGTATCTACTTTACAGGGTGTTGTAAAGATTAAGTGAAGCAATATATGAAAAGAGCTTAGTTCAATGCCTGGCACATATCAAGTTTGACAAATATTAGCTATCACTATTATTAATGGGTGCCAGAAAAAGGACGAGGTGGGGAGTGTTGTCTTGCCCCAGGAACCCAGCTGGGCTCTGTGCCACCCCTGGCCCTTTACTCACCAGTAGGTTATCTTTGGTCCAGGCACAGCCAGTGACCCAGTCACGGTGACAGGCAGGGAAGGAGTGGATCAAAACAGGGGTTTTGGGTGTCCTCACGTCCCAGCAGAGGAGACTCTGGATAGGCCCCAAGGAGAGGGAGCAATCAGGACCAAAGGAAGGATGGGAACCCCGGAGCCATTTCAGGCAAGAAATTTCAAGGAAAGAGGGGCACAAGGAAGCACAGGCAGACAGATCTATACTAGATTTGGCAAAACAAAAAGCAGGAGGAAGCAATGGGAAATGGGTTGTTAAGAAATCTAGGAACTAGAGAGGCTATGGGACCCCAGGGTTGCATCCTTCTGCAGCTCACCCGATCCCGGCCCCCGGTGGCCAGGCTGCCTCCATCAGTGCTGAAACTACAGCAGCTCACAGGGCCCTCATGTCCCCGCAGCTCAGTGCCACAGGGAAAGTCTTCTGCCTTGTGTGGCCGCGTCAGCAGCTGCCTTGGCCACAGCTGCACTGTGAAATCCTCTGCATTGGAAAAAGAGAGAGGGAACAGCTTCCTGAAAGAGGAAGCCAGACAGGCCCTGGGAGGCCAAAGACAGGAGCGGCCATGGGGGCTGAGGGTGACACCTGAGGCTCAGCTCCATGGGAGGGATGCAGGGAGTCACAAGGCTGTGGAGAGGCCCTGGGCAAGGGTCATCAGCGAGTGTGTACATAGGACGGGAACGTGCGGCACTCCCAGCTCCAGCTCCACAGCTCAGGCCGGGAACACAGTTCCTTGTCTCTGCTTCTCTAACTGTACTCCCACAGCAGCTGCTCCAGACCCCTCCTCTTCTCAAGTGTCCAGTGTCACTTCCACCTCGTGACCTGTGAGGACCAGTTCTCCCTCCTAGAGAGGGCCTAGGCCATTCTACATTTTCACCTCAACATCTCTCTCTCTCCTTCTAAGGGAAACCTATCCCTTTTCACAGCAAAGTCTCCCACGGGGCAGAAACTCAAAGGATTACTGGGAGGTTAGAGGTCCCAGAATGAAGGTGAAGGAATGAGTGGAAACAGTCTAAACAGATTATGCAAGATAATTGCATTCAAAAGCACTTTGAAAGTTGTAAAACAAAATCGCACATGTGTATTTTCATACACATATACATACAACTTGGAGAAAGGTGTTAGTGTCTTTAAAAGGAACAGTGATTTGTGGGCCAGGCGCAATGGCTCACGTCTGTAATCCCAGCACTTTGGGAGGCCGAGGTGGGTGGATCACCTATGGTCAGGAGTTCGAGACCAGCATGACCAACATGGTGAAACCCCATCTCTACTAAAAATATAAAATTAGCCGGGCGTGGAGGCGCATGCCTGTAATCCCAGCTACTCGGGAGGCCGAGACAGGAGAATTGCTTGAACCCAGGAGGCAGAAGTTGCAGTGAGCCGAGACCGTACCACTGCACTCTAGCCTGGGCAACAAGAGTGAAGCTCTGTCTTAAAAAAAAAAAAAAGAAAAGAAAAGAACAGTAATTTGTTAACCCTGCCCACTGTCTAGTAGTACCTGAGGCAGAAGCCAAGAGCTCCTGGGAAGTGGCCAGTCCTAGCACAGGCTTCTGGAATCTGGACAGGAGCCAGAGGGACTGAAGGGAGCATTCCTTGAGTGCCCAGCCCTGCAAGGACCCATCTTCTGCACCACTCACCAATACCTTGGGGCTTAGCCAGGCCAGGGCGGACACTGCCACATCCAGTGCCTGACCCTGAGCCCCCTGGGAACCTAGAGAATGAGAGAGAACAAGGGAGTAAGACACTTGGGAAGGGGTAGGGGGCAGGGGCTGCGCTCTTTCTAAAGGCTCAAAAACCCACCCATTCCCATTTCAGTACCTGAAGAGATTTTGTAGATCCTAATGCCATCCGCTCGATATCCAACAGCCACCCGATCACCATCTGGGCTGAGTGCCACAGAGAGGGCAGGAGAGAGAGAAAGGGAACCCAGGTGCCCACGGGGCCGACCCAGAGACCCTGACCACACCTGAACCTGGGAACCAAGAAAAGGGCTTAAGGATACCACCTCCACCACGCGGTCCTCCTTCCTGTTTTGAGTTACAGCCACCCCCATTAAAGTCCTCCTTCCAGAGACTCTTCTCATGAGAGCTGCCCCTGCACACAGCGGCACCCCTCTCCCCGTGGTTCCTGCAATCCAAGCTCCTCCACAGTCTCCTCGACAAAGGACCCCCACCCCCACCAAGATATTCTTTGCCTTTGCTACTCCTCCTCACAACCCACCACCAGCCCTCTGCAAGCTGACCTTGCCATCCTCTCCAGCCGTCAGTAACTGGCAACCCGCATGCAGGAAAAGCGCAGCAGCAACAAAGCCATGGTGGGCAGGGAAGGCAGCCAGCCGTGCCCCTTCTCGCCAGGCCCACAGCTCCACCATACTGTCCAGCCGGCCCACAGCCACAACCCCCCCAGGCACATTGAAGGCCAAGGTACGGATAGAGGCTCCGGGTGCCCCCAGGTCCTACACAGGGAGGTAGAAATGGAAACGTGAAGACCTGCTCTCAGCAAAATCTTAAGTGACCCAGAATGCTGCTGTCTGTCGTCTGCCACCCTCCACTCCTGTCCTCCTGTGCTTCCCCCAAGAGCAACACTGGACCTTCTTACCTTGGTGACTTTGAGCCCATCCACCTGGAAGAAGCTGATGCTGCCAGCCCAGCTGCCTGTGGCTATTACCTGCCCCTCTGGGTGGAAGGCAACACAGTTCAGGGACTTGGGGTAGGTGTGCTGGAAGGCCAGCTGCCCACGGACTGTGTCCCACAGCTGAGGGAGAGAGAGGAGGAATCAGGATGCTGAAGAGAGATGCCTGAACTTCTCAGTCCCAGACCTCCAGGAGCAACCTTGTCCAGTTACCCTGCCCTCAGCAGGGAAGGCCTTCTCTGGCCAGGGAGTCAGCAGCCTCTGCCGCACTGAGAGAACAAATTCACGAGGGTGAGTCATGGCTCAGGGCCACTCTGACCACTGCAGACCCCAAGTCTTACCTTTAGGCATCCTCCCAAGCACACGGTGGCTAGCAGCCGGCAGTCTGGGCTCAGGCAGCAGCCAGTGATTTGGTACTGGTGAGCCTTAGTCTGCAGCACCCTATCCCAGGAAGATGAAGTCAGTCCTCTGGACCCTGGCCATCAGCTCCCTCCTCATTTCCTTCTCCTGGGGCTTCCAAAAAATGGGGAAGGCCCTCATTCCAAGACAAATGGGGAGGACCCCTTACCGACAACCATGCTGCAGGTCCCAGAGCTCCAGGAGCCCGTCGAAGGCAGTAAGAAAGAGTGTATCATCGGAGAGGAACAAACAAGCAGAGATTCCATCACAGCCACTCACCACAGACTTCTCCTCCTGCGACAGTGGGTGAGGGAGCGCAGCTCAGGCCATCCCCTTGACCCTCCAAGTCCCACCACTCCAGGCCCCACCCAAAAAGAAGGCCAAGGCACAAAGGCCATGAGTCCTTGGCTCTCTATGTTCCAAGTCAAGCACACGTTCAAGTGGGGGCCTCGTGATCCAAGTGGGGCCACATTTTCTCCCCTACTCCAAACCCCATACCTATTCCCCAAGTTACAGAAAATTTTGATGGGTCTGAGAAAATGGGGTTACATGGGGTAGGGGATGACATGAGTGTAAAGAGGATAGAAAGAGGCTGTGGTTCTAGGACTCACCTCTCCAGCCTAATGTACTATTAGCCTCCCATAAGCACGCTGTGCTGCCATAATTCCCAGCAATTTACAAATTTACCAGGAACATTCCCCTCCTGTGTCTTTGCTCAGGTTCCTTGTTCAAACAAGAGTGCCTGCCCTTCTCTATCCTATGTCCTCCTATAGCTGCACAACTCACTCATGTCTTAATTAGATTACATGGCTATGTTTTGGTTCCTTTTTTACCTCGTATGTCTTATCTCCCAACAAAACTGACCACTTGGTGGGCAATGACAATGTCCCAAATCCTGTGTTTCTTGCAACGCTTAGCACAGTGCCTTAAATGGAAGGTGTGCAGCAAATATTTGCTGTGTGATTGATTTTTTGGCCAAGCCCTTTGAGCTGATGTGCAGGCAGTAAAGTTGCTGAATTAATCAGAGTGATAACAGGTGTGTTTGGCTCATCTAGGGCTTCAGGGCAGTCTGCATGGATTTTCAGAGGGTAAATTCTGCCCCTCCTTGATTGTCATACCTGCCAAGTTCTCAGGTCCAACAGGTAAACTGTCCCATTGGCAGTGCCCACAGCTGCTCTTTGCCCATTGGTGGAGAAGGCCACAGCAGTAGGGGATGAGGAAACTGCCAGAGACAGGCTGGAGCTAGAGAAAGAGTAGGAAGAAAGGGAGGAAATAAACGAGAGAATGCAAACAGGAGTTGATTTATGTGCTTCTGTGCCTGGATCCCTCTCCAGTGTTTCTGGTCATCCTTATTCCTCAGTTTCAGAAAGAGCTGCAGCTTGCTCTCTGGTGGGCTTACTAGGGTCTGGGGTCAAGGTCTTACCTTTGCTGATTTTTCATGGTCCGGGGTTTATTAAGCCATCGTAGTGTGTGTTGGAGGTGCCATCTCCGGGAGAGCAGCGAGGCTTGGTGGCAAAGAGGTGAGTCCAGGGGCTGGTTGGCTGCCTGCTGGGGCAGGAGCCGGGGGTACTGGCTGAGGATTGAAGCCTGCTGCCTCAGGAAGGTGCGAAACACTGCAACGTCAGCCTCGGGGAGCTTTTGTTCCTCTTTGGGGACTGAAGAAGCTATAAAAGGGTGGCAGAATGTCACTGGGGAGCCAGCTGGACCCCATTAGCCCCAGCACCAAATAAAACCATATGGTGTGTCTACAATAGTAAGTCTCAAAGTGTGGCCCTCTGGCCCTATATCAGGAATATCTCTTAAAAGTACAAAGCTTTGAGCCCCACTCCAAACCTAGGAAACCAGAATATGGAGACCCAAGGATCTGCAATTTGAACAAGTTTCCTAGATAGTTTTATGCTAACTAAATAAAGTTGAAGAATCTCTGGTCCAAGAGATCAAGGTGAAAGGTCTCCTGAGAGTCACGTGCTCACCCTCTTGGCATTTTCAACTCGAAATGGAAATTTGAATCTTTTTTCCCTGACACCCACACCCCTGCCCCAACCCTGAGCAGGGCCCCCATAAGCACACCCAGGAGTCCCATATCTCAGAGAAGAACCCAGCCAGTGACTCATCTCACCATAGAGGGCATGGGCCTCCAAGAGCCGAGAGACCAGACCCAATTCCAAGTGTGCAGCCACCACATGGAGGTTGGTAAGGAACTTCGAAAGAAGTCCACGGTTCCCGCTCTGGAGCTGAGAAGGTCAGATTGAATTCATTAGGGATATGAAGGGGCTGGTGAGAAGGGACAGTTTAGTCTCAGAACCTGGATACAGAGATAGGATCTGAGCTGGGACAAAGGACTTGAAGAAGAAGGGCAGGAAAACTGAAAGGAAAGAGGTCAAGGGAGTTTGGGAGGGGTAATGGCGGCGGTGATGGTGGAGATGGTAACGGGGAGAGGGGTCTCAGAGCAACCAAAGCACTCACTTTGGGAAAGGTGTCTATGGGGTCTAGGAACTAACCAGGTGGTAAGGCAGGTCTCCCAGAGCCTCAGGAGGGCAACTTCGGAAGGTGCCTGAGGCATCAGCGTCACATGTCTTCCAGAGCTGAGCTGCATGAACAGATATTGAGAAAGGCTCAGCCCTGCATCATTCCCAAGGGCAGTAGGTGAGCTGGCCAGCAGATGGGAGCACAGTGGGTGGTCCTGGCCTCCAGGCCCAAGCCCCACACTCAGTGCCCAGGCTGACTTGGGCTGCAATCACCTGCAATGAGGATGTGTGCCGTGTCCTCTAGCCCTGGCCTCTTCCCATAGCAACGTTTAGCTGCTGTTCTCAGGGGCCCATCAGGGAGGCACAGCCGGGCACCAGGGCGCTCCAGAGGGCCCTCCCCTAGCAAACTGTCCTCGTGTGAGGAAGGGAGAGAGAAGAAGGAAGAGGCCTGTCAGTGAGCTTCCTGGCACACAGTGGGCTCCTATTCCCCCCTCAAATAGCGGAAACTGGAGCAGCTGGAGCAGTAGCTCATTCATGGTCTGGGAGCCAGTTGTTGAAGCTATACAGAGGGCCCCGGCTCAAAGAAGGGAAGGCACAGAGAGGTCAGCGGGAGCTCTGCTGGGGCACCTGTACCTGCGCAGACTCTGGACGAGGCAGGCAAACGGGCCCATGGGGTAGGGGTCTCCACTGTTACCAGCAGCCACTGCTTCTTCCCAGCTCTTAGTCCCCTTCGGTAGTGTCCGCCACACACTCAGCACTCCGTGCAGCTGGTCCACAGTCAAACCTGAAAACTCAAGCTCTCTGAGGCCCTCATCTAACCATACGGTGTCCCCGCCCCCACCACACCCAGTCTCTCCTTGAACTGCCTGCTGAGACCCCAAGGGAACCAATGTAATCCGAACCCTGGCCCTCAGCCTCCCAACCAACCCACCCCAAGCACTGACCACTCCGTGTGACTTCTAGGGCAGTCAAGGCCTGGGGAAGGACATCAGGCCCGTGCTCCTTCTCCAGTGTGCTCAGGATGTGCTGCAGCAGCAGGGGGACAGTGGCAGGCAGGGTCCGGAGTCTCTCAGACACCTAGGATGGCGGGAGGACAGCCTTGTTCAGTGCAGTGGGAGGAGAAGCAGCTTGGCTTGTGGGATAGGGAAGGGGCAGCAGGAGGACAGTGTGGAGGAATGAAAAAGTAAAGAACAACAGTAGGAGGGAAGTGAGGCGAGGTATGAGGCGAGGATAGGGAGTGGGTGATCACAAGACAGCAAAGGACGTGGGATAGGGATGAGACAAAGCAGCTGAAGAGAGAATGGGAAGTAGTGATTAGGACTTGGAAGGTGATGAGAACTGACCTGCTCATACAGCGTGAAGAGCCTCAGGTGATCGGTGACCAAGCGCAGGTAGAGCGGCCGGCCTGATTCCCGCTTCACCAGCAGCAGTCGCATCTGGCAAGACTCAGGACTCAGGGTGGGGTCCAGGAGGGCTGCCCGCAGCCAGCCCTCTGCCCCAGCACCAGCCCCTCTGCCAGGCAGCTCCTCCTCTGAGAGTCCCCAGCAGACGCCAGGTCCATGGCATCATCCCAGGACACAAACCATCCCTCTCCTACGCTGCTCTGCCCAGCCAGCCCTGCCAGAAAACCCCTGTGGCTCGGCCTACCCCACCAAAAACCACTTGACTCATCCCCTCACCCCGAGAGGCCCTGGAAAGGCCATTCACCGGGGGAAGAGGGCTGGGTGACATGATCAGGAATCACAATTTTCTTATTAACAACTTCCCATGGACAGAATTTCTGAGAAAACAAAGGAGCAGGTCTGTGCAAGGCAGCTAGCGGCCTCGGCACCCCAGGTCCTCATAGCTCCCAGATTCACCCCACACACCCACCGGCCCCGGCCTAGAACCCAACCTGGTTGTTAAATGGTGACTCCTCCAGCCGCTTCCCGTACAGGGCCAGCTCCTCTCTCACCAGCCGGGCCCGAGCAGAGGCCTCCAGAGGCCCCAAGGCCAGCACGTGGGCACCCTGGCTCTGCTCAAGGGTCTCCCCTAGGCCTGCATCACTAGACACACTCAGCACCAGGTGTACACACTGTGATATTTGGGCAAAGGGGCAGGAAGGTAGAAAGAAAAGGAGAACCACATTGGAGAGGCCTCTCTCCTCCGTGCCGTATCCCTCCTTCTCCCCAGCCTGCCTCCCGACACCCACCTCCTTCTCACACTCACCCGGGGAAGCTTCTTTGGGATCCAGTCTGAAATCAGCTGCCCATTCTGGTCCACTAACCTATCAGCCCCATCGATGATCAGGACCTGGGTCTGGCCAGGATGCAGGGACTCAGCAGACTTGGGCAGCAGCCTCTGCTGCAGCTCCCACACCAGGCTTCTGTACATGGAGAGGAAGTCAGGGTCAGTGGGAGAGAAAAAAAAAGCAGGGGTGGTACGTGGGCATCAACAAGGCTGGGCTCATTGGGGGATACCCACCGGTAGGTGCTGGGGAGGGCACCTGGCTCTTTTAGTTGGCCACGCAGATAGGTACAGAGGCGTCTGAGCAGAGTGAGGGCAAGACCCTGGTCAGGACGAGCCCCAGAAAAGTGGAAGAAGACTAATGATGCCACCTTGGCCCCATCAGGAGCCTGCAGGGCTGACACAAGAGATGCCTGCATGGGACAGGAACAGAAAACATGGTCACATTTTACATGCCTGAGCTCCCTGTGCCTTACCTCCTTAGCCCACACAGCCTTCCCTCCCTCCTGCCCAGGCCCCTGAGACTCTGTACCAGGAAGGCTGTCTTGCCCTGTCCTGACTGCCCCGTCACCAGGCTCAGCCTTCCGTGGGGCAGCATCAGCCGTTGCACTGTGTCCTGAAGAAGGCGTGGCCGGGCAGGACTCGGTGGCTTCTGCAGCTGCTGGAAGGTGGCCTGGACCAAGTCATCGTCTGGGATGGACACTGGCTGCTCCAGCAGGGCCCCAGGCTGAGGGTAAATGGGTCAGTGACTATCCATGGTGCCATGCTCCTCAGCACTCCCAGGCTAAAACTCACAGAGCCCCCGCCAAGCTACTTCCTCCCCAGGACAACCCAGACCACCCCATGTCCCTCTCCATGCCTCTGGTCACCAGTGCTTCTGCTGACCTGCAGGTAGAGCTTCTGGATCATATTCCATACATCCTGCAGAACCAACTGCCCAAACTCCTCCAGCCCGCCAACATAGGGCCGGCCAGCTGCCACACCCCCCCACTCACAGGGGTATCTGTGGGCAAATCAAGCACAACCAGGTCAGAGCAGGCCCGGCTCCTCTCACCACATCTCTGTACAGGTGCTCCCTACCTCCCTCAGCTCACCTGCGGCAGGTGATCCCTTTCTGTCTGCTTAGGTAGCTCTTCAGTTCTGAGATCCGACGTGCGGCCTCTTCAGACTCAGAAACAAAGTCAGATTTCCAGGCATCTGGCACAGAGCTGACCACCAAAGACCCCAAAAGTTGGAATAGACTCAGACCCCAGCCAGCCTCCCTCCACCAACCACCAGACATAGCTGTAATTTCCTGAAGCTCCTCAAGTAGAGAGCTCCTGACTCCAGCACCAAGGCTGACGTGGGGCTGCAAAGGCATGCTGAGTCCTGTTTCTGCCTCATAGCACTCCCCTTCTATACTCTGAATACTGAGGAGAGAAGACTGGCCTGTCTGGCCTTTTGGGGAAGGAGCCCCAGCCTGCAGGCAACAGACAGTACCTGAGGAAGCTGGAATCCCGGAAGTAGATGAGAGCTTGGGCAGAGGGCTGCAGACGTTGGTTCCGGTTCAGGAACTGCATCACCTCCATCTCTGTCACAGAGCGCCCTGAAGGGTACTGCTGGGCCTGCGGGGAGGACAGAGACAGTGAGTTTAGTCCTAGGCCACAATGACCCTCCCTCCAGACCTGCCAAGGCCCCAGGACTCCTGTATCTCTGATGTTCCTCTCTCCTTCCCTCCAGGCACAAGCAATAAAATATAGCTAATAGCTAATGTTTTTTATTTATTTTTATTTTTTTTTCCTGGAACAAGGCACTAATAGCTAACATTCATTGAATGCCTGTAATGTATTGAGTATTCTGTTACAGACCTTTGATTTTTTTTTATTTTTTATTTTTTGTTTTTTTGAGACTGAGCTTTGTTCTTGTCACCCAGGCTGGAGTGCAATGGCGCAATCTTGGCTCACAGCAACCTCCGCCTCCTCGGTTCAAGCAATTCTCCTGCCTCAGCCTCCTGAGTAGCTGGGATTACAGGTGTCTACCACCAAGCCCAGCTAATTTTTGTATTTTTAGTAGAGACAGGGTTTCACCATGTTGGCCAGGCTGGTCTCAAACTCCTGACCTCAGGTGATCCACCCGCCTTGGTCTCCCAAACTGCTGGGATTATAGGCGTGAGCCACTGCACCTGGCCCTGTTACAGACTTTCAATTCTCATAATAACCCTCCAATGTCAATGTCATTGCTTCTCTTTAATATAGGGAAATGGAGGCTAGGTCAGAGTAAGCTGCATCACACAAAGCCACACAACTTGTAGATGACAGAAGGGAGATCAGTACCCAGATCTATCTGATGGCAACACCTAAGCAGACCCACCCTCTTACTTTTGCTCATGGCCAACCCCAGAGGCACTTCTCAAAGGACTTTTCTCATCTAGAGCATGGTCACTTGCAGTATCTTCAGCCTGTATTTCACTTCAAGTCTCAAGGACCTGCCTGTTCATAGTTGCAGGGTTTCTGACAGAGTGTGGCTTCTCCCAGCCTCTGCCCCAATCTTTGCTTCCTCCCCAGCCCTCCTCCAAACCTGTCTGCCTTACCCAGTGGAAGTGTGGATGGTCAGGAAGGTTGTAGCTGGGGGGAATGTATCCATAACGGGAGCCCAGAATCCCCACAAACAGCTGTGCGTTCTCCACCTCCCCAAGGCACACTTCCAGTTGTCTGTAGGCATGATGATAGGGACGTGTGGGAGTCACTGGGGGCATGGTATCAGGGAACATAGGCACAAACAGGGAGACGGGGCCCTGACTCGCAACTGAGTAAAGAAAAGGTAGGCTGCTCTTGTTAGTATCCAAGGAGCGACTCCCGCCTTCACCCTCATCCATTCTTGCAGCCCCAACCATGCCCACCTCAGGTCCACCACTCAAGCCCCTCATCCCCGACCCAGCCCCTCTTCTCTGCAGCCCCCACACCTGTTCCTACGGGTCTCCTCCTCAGTGACGCCCCAGCGGAGGTCGATTCCGTGAAGGCTGATACGGTGAGGGGCCGCTCGGGCCTGCAGTGCTGGCAGCACAGACCTCAGCAGCAGGTCCCGCTCCCCATGCATGTCTCGGAAAGTGGATGAAATGAAAAGCCGGATGCTGCGCCATCTGGGGATAAGCAGAGAGCTGGGCTCAGTCTAGGGATGATTCCCACCCCCCATCCATAGACACTGCTGTGATCACCCTTTAGCACTGAGCACAAGCCAGGTACGACAGACAGCAGATGGGTGCCCAGCAGGCCTTCAGAGAAGCACCTGCTAGTGGTCTCAACTGCAGGGCCCTGGAATTTAATGCCCACTTGCTATTTCTTGTACACCTCTCTTTTTTCTGGTAATCATTTTTATATACTTACTGCTTGTTCATGACAGCACTGTGAGGTAAGCACTATCATTATCTCCATTTTAGCAATCAAGAAACGATAACTTTTTTTTTTTTTGAGACAGAGTTTTGCTCTTGTTGCCCAGGCTAGAGTAAAATGGCGCGATCTCGGCTCACTGCAACCTCTGCCTCCAGGGTTCAAGCAATTCTCCCACCTCAGCCTCCCCAGTAACTGGGATTACAGGCATGAGCCACCACACCTGGCTAATTTTGTATTTTTAGTAGAGACAGGGTTTAGTCATGTTGGACAGGCTAACCTTGAACTCCCGACCTCAGGTGATCTGCCCGCCTCGACCTCCCAAAGTGCTGGGATTACAGGCGTGAGCCACGGCGCTCAGCAAGAAACTATAGCTTTAAGAAATTAAGCAACTGGTCAGGCGCGATGGCTCACGCCTGTAATCCCAGCACTTTGGGAGGTCGAGGCGGGCAGATCACCTGAGGTCGGGAGTTCAAGGTTAGCCTGTCCAACATGACGAAACCCTGTCTCTACTAAAAATCCAAAAAAAAAATTAGCCGGGCATGGTGGCAGGCGCCTGTAGTCCCAGCTACTCGGGAGGCTGAGGCAGGAGAATGGTGTGAACCCAGGAGGCAGAGCTTGCAGTGAGCCGAGATCACGCCACTGTACCCCAGACTGGGCGACACAGCGAGACTCCGTCTCAAAAAAAAAAAGAAATTAAGCAACTAAGCCAGATTCAAACTACTATTTGGCAAAGCCACAATGAAAAAGCCAGAACCTGTGCTCCTAAGCCCTCTGCCTACGCCCTGGCCATACGGCCATGATGTCTGCCGTCATCTTTGCATTCTGACTTCCTTTCCTCAGTAGAGAAAGGAAGGGCTTGCTCACAATCTGACAACTCCCTGTGGTAGAGAAACCTCCGCCTGAGAAAGAGGAAGCATGCCTTCATGAAGAGAACAAGCGGCACCTCACCAGCTAGAATTTCAGCCCCAGGGTTTCCCAAGGTTTGACTGCAGCCCCTCCCAATTCACAAAGGCATAGAAACACAGACTGACCCTTGCTGGGAAACAGGAGCCAAGGGGCTTGGAGTGTCCTCTTCCAGTGGCCGGAGAGACTGGACCCCTGTCTTTCCTGGGGGTGGTGGAATCTTGAATATTTTGTCCATTTGGCCCACATGTTCCAGAAGATGGGAGGCCCCATGCTCTGCAATGAACCTGACATAAATAACAAGATAAATGAGAGTAGAATACCACAGGTCGAAATCAGTGAGGTCTTCCGAAAAGGGCAGGGGGAAAAAGATATGTCCAGGTTTGGTGACCAGTTAAGTCAAGCTCCTTAAGAAGAGGACCATAAGCAGTTTATGCAGACTTAAAATAAATGAGGATGCAGAACCACAGGAATGAAGGAAAAGAGAAGCCCAGCTCTAGCCCCTCCTGCTGTGCGTGGTAATCACAAACTTGCTGTTGGGCCGGGGCAACGGGGTAGGGAAAGGTGTAAAGATTAAAGCCATCCCAGTCTGGGCTTGAGCAGCTCTGTGCCAGCCATAAAGGCCCCCTGGAGAAGGAGGAATGTGCCTGAGGCTTTCTCATAGGAGTTGAGGGAAATGGATGGTATCCAGAGGAAAAGCCAGGGGAGAAAACAAGTAAATAAGAAGGCAAAGGATGGAGAGACAGATAAAAAAAACGTGAAAAGATTTCTGTAATTTTAGCTTAAATAGACATAATTTTCTCTGGATCAAGAATTGAACAGAAGCCACAGTGACATGGCCAACTCTTGACAGTGAAGTCTCCCATGTCCCCTTTCTTCTTTCCTACTGGATATAATACAAACTTGGCTGAATACCAAGATGGCTGGAGCTCAGGCAGACATATTGAATTATGAGGTAGAAGCTGAGTATTTGAGGATCATGGAGCAATAAGAGAGAAAGTGCCTGGGTCCCTGTGACACTGTGTTGCTGCTATGCCTGGATGGCTGTAAAAGAGGAGTGAACTACCTCACTTTAAAAAAGAAGTAACTGGAGCCGGGTGCGGTGGCTCACGCCTGTAATCCCAGCACTTTGGGAGGCTGAGGTGGGTGGATCACAAGGTCAGGAGTTCAAGACCAGCCTGACCAACATGGTGAAACCCCGTCTCTACTAAAAATACAAAAATTAGCCGGGCATGGTGGTGCATGTCTGTAGTCCCAGGTACTCGGGAGGCGGAGGCAGGAGGATCGCTTGAACCCAGGAGATGGAGGTTGCAGTGAGCCAAGATTGTGCCACTGCACTCCAGCCTGAGCGACAGAGTGAGATTCTGTCTTAAAAAAAAAAAAAAGTGACTGGAGTAGAGATAATCTCCTAAAAACTTTCCAACAAAGTATCCAACCCTTCAGTATCCATTCTGTACTCACTTCAGTATCGCATCAGTACAGCCTGAGAGTGTCACATCATTGGGATTCAAATCTGTTGACCTGGCAAAGGAAGAAGCAGTCATTAACCATCACAAACAATACCTGGAACACAGTCACTGCCCACTAACATCCCAAGATGAAAACCCCACTTCTGCACCTTTAATAGGGTTATGTGGTAGGCTAGGGCTAGGGTGGACTCTCACAGAGGGGTACAGAGTTAGGCTAAAGTATCCACCTGAAGTGCAACAGAGGTAAGAAGGCAGAGTTGGGGAGATCCCTGCCAAGTGGGAGTGTCCTATGCTTTGGCAGGCGTAGAGAGGAAATGTAGACCACTGATTTCTGACACTGGGCAGGAAGTATAAGCACCCTTACAGGTATTGTACCCTTCTTAGGAGGATACCAACAAAGAGGCACTTGGAATTCACACGCTGCCAGTAAAGCTGTTTGGCCACATTTATCATTCCATCATCCATGCTTTGGCCAAGGAGGATGACCCTGTCCACCTGTAAGATGAAAAGGGAGAAGATGCTAGAGAAGGGATGCTAGACAGCCCAGGACATTAAGATATGAGCTTTCTGAGGACAGGAGGATTAGGAGAACTCTGAGAGGAGTACCTCTCCTGAGAGCACATAGAATGAGGGAAGCCACTGCATTTTAACTTACAGGGGACATCAAAGTGGAGGTTGGAGTGGGGCAGTGGTATACTGCAGCTGGCTCATTCAGGCTCAAGAGAGCTGATTGTTAAGTTTTCAGGAAGTTTGTGGGCAGTTGTTAAAGGTGGACATTATTAAACATTAAATTGTATACATTTAAAAAATTAAATAAGTTATATTTAAAACAAATGTGGCTGGGCATGTTGACACACACCAGTACTCCCAGCTACTTGGGAGGCTGAGGCAGGAGAATCACTTGAGCCCAGGAGTTTTAGTTGCAGTGAGCTATAAGCGAGCCACTTCACTCCAGCCTGGGCAACGGAGTGAGACCCTGTCTCAAAAAATAAAAATCAGAAAATAAAACAAATGTAATAAATACTCAAAATGTATAACTTCCTAATAATTTTACTACATTTTACTATTATCTACACGTGCTTATTTACATCTACTATATCAGGAGTGTGAGAATACTACACAGCAGTGTGCTCCTGAGCGTCTTTTCCCAACTCTATGTTCAGTAGCATCATGTCGATAGCTTGAAATCAGCCACGGTAGGACTGTTTACACCATGGAAATTTAGCAGATGCTACTAACCAAGGCTTATTTTTCTAGGCAGCTGGTTGTTAGATATTCAGCAGCACACCACTGGGTAGGGGGTTGTAGCCAGTAGAGCTGATCTGACTATTGTATGTGGTTGGAGAAGTCAGCTCTAAAGGTCAAGAAATGAAATATATCAGTTGCAGAGGAAAATGTGGGGGAGGGAGAGGGTTTCTCAGGGATTAATACTCACAGGAACCCTTTGGCCAGCCAGAGACAGCAGGTATTTCCCAAAAGTATTCAGGGACCATCCATCATTTTCATCAAACTCCTGAAGGAAAGAGACTTCATGTTATGTGGTTGCACAGTAAGCGACAAACACTGCAGTCTTGCAGTCTGCTTGGGAAATCTTCAGAACTGTGTATTGTCTGTGCCTTTACCAAATATCTGGGCTATTCCCAGGCCTGTGTCCTTCATGTATTTTTGGATGGTGGGTGTTGAGTGTCTGACCTGGACTTGAGCCTGGAGCTTGATGGCAGTCTTCAGGATGCCTTCTTCTGCCTTAAGCACTGCAGTCTTCAGAGTGTCACCTCCACACAGCACGACGTCCACCTGCTCCGCCCTCGTGATCATCATCCCAATCAACAGCAGTGCATAGTTCAGCGGGGGCTGATTGGACAAGTGTCAGGGGAAATAAAGCTCCCCTGCTTTGGAATTCACCCTTGCCCAGCCAGCCCTGGAGGCCAAACCCTTCCATTGGTTAGAGGGAATAAGAAAAAGTGTAAAATCCCAAGTTAGGAGGGGTCAGCTTCAGCAGCCCTCAGGAGGAGCTGACTGTGGAGGGAGGAAAAGAGGAGCCAGGATCCCTGCCCAAGTTCAACACCGGGATGTAGTGAGGTGAAAGTGAGACATATTTTGGTGATGCAAATTTAGAGAGTACCAAGTACCAGCCAAAGGTGAAATGTTAGTATTATAATCCATAAACCTGGTTGAAACAACATCCTAGGAATTGCCCCTAGGAACCAAGGACTGATACTTGGAAGCAAATTCATATCATTTATTTCAGTCTGAGTGTTTGCCTGGGAAAACCAGCTCTGGGAACAGGATACTGCTCAGGATCCCCAGCATTCTACCAACCCAACCCCTTGGAGGATGCTTTTTGTTTTCTTACCCCTTGTGGGTTGCTCTTTGGACAGAGCCTGTCTGCATTAGCATCTGTCAGATAGACCAAGACAGTGCGGCCTGGCAGCAGGGGCAGGCTGTGCTTCACAGAGAGGTTCACAGCTGTCTCTAGGGCCTGTCGGTACCTGTTCAGCATCTCACCATCATATTTCCACTGTCTACATGCAAGAAAGACACAGACACAGGGGCTCAGGGACTTATCTGCCCCTTAGAGGCAGACGGGGAGATGAGAAGTTGCCACTAAGTATTGAGTCTTCTCCCTCCCTCAAGCACCATACCCGCTTCCACAGCCCACTCCATTTCTGGTGTAGAGGACTGGGAGAGAGCTTCCCTCTGCCCCCATCCTATAGGATTCTTCTAATCCACACTCATGGTAGGAGAGGGGAAGTCACCTGTAGACCCACTAGCTACACTTACCACATGAATCCATTCTTACTTCATGAAGCAAGATTCAATGGCTACATAGTTTTAAATTGTATTTTAAAAAACAAATGCTAACTCCTTACTCTGAAAACTGGCAATTAAAGGAGAATAAATTGAATATTCATCCCACCTTTCCCATACAATCTATTTCCGGGTAACTAAATAAATATAGTTGATAAGGGAGGCTGTTTTTAAAATTCCAGTTAAAAAATATGCAGGAATGATAAAACCCTCATTCTGCAACCGCCAATGAAACAATTGGTTCACGCAAAGATCACCAATGGATGAGCATTAACTACTGTGGAGAGATTAGGCTATTACTACCTAGAAGTGCTGATCAACATTAGCATTACTGAGTAGTGGTCCCACTTAAATAGTATATATATAGGATCACCTATGAACTACTTGGCAAATCTAAATCTGTTCGAGGCTTTAGAGCTAATGCCCAGTGAACAAAAACAGAAAAACAAGTTAGATGACATCATGAGGAAGGAGGCAAATCCAGAATATGGGATATTCTTTGGGGTCCCTGAACCTGGTTTTCACAGTAGCTCAATGCCATAAGAACAATTAAAAGGTTAAAAGTGACATAACAGACTTAACAACCAAATGTAATGTGTATACCTTGTTTAGATCTTGATTTGAATAAAACTGTGAAATGATATTTTTAAACAATTGGAAAATTTGAATATGGACTAAATAACAGATGATTTCACCGAGGAATTATTTTTAGTTTTGTCAGGTATATTAATGACATTCTCATTGTATAAAAAATGTCCCTTTTTAAAGAAACACACATGAAATAAGGAAAGGTGAAATAAAATGTGTCTTATTATTTGACATTTGTTTTAAAAATATCTTCAAAAGAAAAGAAAAAGAAAAAAAGATCAGTAAAGAAAATGTAAGCCGGGCACGGTGGCTCACGCCTATAATCCCAACACTTTAGGAGGCCGAGGCGGGCAGATCACAAGGAGATCGAGACCATCCTGACTCACATGGTGAAACCCCATCTCTACTAAAAAAAATACAAAAAAATTAGCCGGGCGTGGTGGTGGGTGCCTGCAGTCCCAGCTACTCGGGAGGCTGAAGCAGGAGAATGGTGTGAACCCAGGAGGTGGAGCTTGCAGTGAGCCGAGATTGTGCCACTGCACTCCAGCCTGGGCGACAGAGCAAGACTCGGTCTCAAAAAAAAAAAGAGAAGAAAAAAAAGAAAATGTAATAAAATCTAGATAATCACTGAATCTGATAGTTTTATGAAAGTCTATTAATATTTTTATTACTTGTGTGCATATTTAAAGTTTTTTATACTAATTTTTTAATCTAGCAAAATCAGTAGTCTTCCCAGCACTATCCAATAGAATTCAATTACAATTAAATCAAATTAAACTTAAATTATACACATATAATTTTCTAATAGTCACATTTTAAACAGTAAAAATAAATTGGTGAAATTAACTTTTCTTTTCTTTAAGAGACAAGACAGGCATGGTGGCTTACGCCTGTAATCCCAGTACTTTGGGAGGCCGAGGTAGTTGGATCACTTGAGGTTGGGAGTTTGAGAGCAGCCTGGCCAACAGGGTGAAACCCTGTCTCTACTAAAAATACAAAAATTAGCGGGGTGTGGTGGTATGCACCTGTAATCCCAGCTACTTGGGAGTCTGAGGCACGAGAATCACTTGAACAGGGGAGGCAGGGGTTGCAGTGAGCTGAGATCACACCAGCCTGGGTGACGAAGTGGGACTTTGTCTCAATTAAAAAAAAAAAAAGAGCCAGGGTGCTTAGCTAATGCCTATAATCTCAGCACTTTGGTTTGGGAGGCCAAGGTGGTTGGATCGCTTGAGCTCAGGGGTTTGAAACCAGCCTGGGTAACATGGTGAAACCCTAACTCTACAAAAAATACAAAAAATAGCTGGGTGCAGTGGTGTGTGCCTATAATCCCAGCTACTTGGGAGGCTGAGGCAGGAGAATCACTTGAGCCTGAGAGGTAGAGGTTGCAGTGAGCTGGGATTGTGCCATTGCACTCCAGCCTGGGTGATGGGAATAAAATCCTGTCTCAAAAAAAAAAGGGACAGGGTCTTCCTCTGTTGCCTAGTCTGTGCAGTGGCATGATCATAGCTCACTGCAGCCTCAAATTCCTGAGCTCAAGAGATCCCAGCACCTCAGCCTCCCAAGTAGGTGGGACTACAAGTGCAAGCACCTGCACCTGGCTAAAATTAATTTAATACTGCATTTTATTTAACCCAATATATGAAAACATTTTCATGTCAGCCTGTAATTAATACAAAAGTTATGAATATTTCACACTCTTTTTTCAGACTGCCTTCAAAACCTAGCATGTCTCAACTCAGACGTCACTAGCATATTTCAACTGCTAAATAGCCACATGTGGCTAGTGGCTACATTGGTCAGTACACAAATACCATTTGGACTGGCCCCTTGGGCTTTTTTTTTTTTTTTTTTTTTTGAGACAGAGTCTCACTCTTGTTGCCCAGGCTGGAGTGCAATGGCGCGATCTCAGCTCACAGCAACCTCCGCCTCCCGGGTTCAAGTGATTCTCCTGCCTTAGTCTCCCAAGTAGCTGGGATTACAGGCACCCACCACCACACCCGGCTAATTTTTGTATTTTTAGTAGACAGGGGGTTTCACCATGTTGGCCAGGCTAGTCTCAAACTCCTGACCTCATGATCCACCTGCCTCGTGATCCACCTGCCTCGGCCTCCCAAAGTTCTGGGATTACAGGCGTGAGCCACCACACCCAGCCAGGCTTGATTCTTAAATGGCCCTCTGTTCAGCTACTGATTCAGGAGATTCCTAGTTACTGAGCCCTCTAGAAAGTTAAGTGAGTCCTGTGTTTGTTTTGAGTAAAAATAAGTGTAAGATACTGATGAACCACTTAAAAAGACAGCTGAGACTTCATCAAGCCTACAAAACAGATGGTACATCTGTCTTTGAGCCTGCTGATGGTAACTATCTTTGTGTGTATTTCAAAATACACACACACACAACAAAAACAAAAAAGATGAATGGGTCAAAAAATACAGAAAGATAGAAACAAAAAGAAAAACAAACATGTCACAGAAAAGAAAAAGAAAACCATGAATCAGAGCAGAAGCAGAGAGGACACCAGCATACACCACCATACATCAGCATAACTAAAAGAAAGGAATCTACATAAACCAATAAAACAATCACAGATAATAGAGTGGAGGTCCAGGAGTAGACTTTGTTTCATGATCTCTCTTTAGGACAATGTTAAAGACAAGGTGTGCTGTGCAAGAAACCAGGCAGTTCTGAGCCACTGCGATGACTGACAAGCAAACCTTTACAGAAAAACAGTTGGGATTCCCAGATGACTTCCAACCTGTGCCAGGGTAGCCCCGATTGCCCACCCTTGGCTCCCAGACAGTGCATACATACCTGGCCTTGTGTACTCTCAGCTTCTCCCTCTTGAGCTGCTCATACAACACAGGTATCCTCATTGCCATCCGAAGCTGCTGACGGCTTAGGTGGCAAAGAAACCTCCGCCTGGGACGGTTCTTTTCATTTCTAGTTAGTATCCGCCTCATCAGTGTTATATTCGAAGGAAAGGGCAATGCTGTATGATGACAGGTAAATTTCCGAGTTAGGCAGCTTCTATTCCCTCATCTTTTCCTACCAGTAATGTGACCTGAGCCCCAACCCTTGGGGCTGGCAAGTGCCTGACCTCTGCCCCCCACCCCGATACACCCTGAGACTGCAAAGCAAGAGGCTAAAAATATTGGTGCTGCTGCTTCATTTATTGTCAGATGTGGGAGGCAAAGAGGAGTTGGAAGAAAGGGGAGAATACCTTGATTTCTGAGTTGAGCCTCGAGGGCATCAATGGCATCATGGGCGTTAAGAAATCTGAATGGAAACTGCCGACTGTGGATCACCGACTTCTAGAAAGCAAAGGAGGGAGGGGTCATGAGCACAGGAGCCGGGAGTATGGGGGGCTTCAGGGGTCCACTCTATTAGCTTTGTGGGAAGGTACAGAAGGACAAAATGAACTTAGACAAGAGATATAGAAAAGGGGTAATAAGAAGAAAGAAAAAAGTCATCATTTTAGGATGTGAGAAAAGGTAACAAAAGAAGAGAAAGTAACAGAAGGAGCCCCGTTTCTTTTAAGACTCCCTCTGGGCAGGGTGTGGTAGCTCACGCCTGTAATCCCAGCACTTTGGGAGCCTTAGGCAGGTGGACTGCCTGGGCTCAAGAGTTTGAGACCAGCCTTGCCAACATCGCAAAACCCCATCTCTATAAATAAAAAACAAAGACTCCTTCTGAAATCAGTTACATCACACAAGTGTCTCTTCCTGGTAAGTCACTGAGCTCAGAAAATTAAAATGAAAGTTCTTATACTCTACTGTAACTTCTCAAAGGATTTACTGAACCCCAAAACTTATCTCCCTCAACCTAGCTGTATTCCCAGATCTACTTACAGCCCACATGGAAACAGCTTGAGGGCCGTACCTGCCTCTGCCCCCTGAAAAAGCCTGGCCTCTAAAGCAGCAGTGGCCTCTCCACGTGCACATCTAGTTGCTGGGCCCCATGGCTACCAGCCCCTCACACATACCGCATGCTGGAGTCTCTGGAGAATGAGCTCATGGTGGCGGGAACTGATTCCAACCCGCAGCAGGTTGCACAGGTTCCGAAGCATGGCCATGAAGGGAAGCTTCCCATTTTCTGTGGAATGTGGGGCATAGAGTGAGAAAAACAAATGAGAAGGCCAGGCACAGTGGCATGCACCTATAATCTCAGCTACCAAGGAGGCTGAGACAGAAGGATCACTTGAGCCCAGAACCCAGGAATTAGAGTCCAGCCTGGGCAACATAGCAAGACTGTCTCAAAAAAAAAAAGCAAATGAGGGATGATTAGAGAGAGGTCAGAGACCAGAGCAAGAAGTTCAGAAACCAGGCATGTGGAAAGTCCAAGATAGAGGAAGTGAGGAATTCACATACAATCTACCCTACTCAAAATGTTTTAAAGGCTTGGAAAGATTAAAAACAGGGTTGGCCCAAAGTTTGGAACAAAATTTATGCAACACTGTTTATGGGATGGCTGTTATGTTACCACTTAATCTGTTGGCTCTAGCCCTAAGATTGGGTTCAACTGGCAAAATGTATTATCTAGTCTAGAGCAAAGGTTTCTAAACTTTTTAGATGGCCAAAAGAGAAATTTCGTAGTGTAAGTTGATTTATGAAGTATATACTAACATAATGTAGCACATTCATTAGTTAATATTTCAAGGCACAATATCCATTTAAAAGAAGGTTCACCATTTATGAAACCCCGTCTCTACAAAAATACAAAAATTAGCCAGGCGTGGTGTCTGGTGCCTCTAATCCCAGCCACTCGAAAGGCTGAGTCAGGAGAATCGCTTGAAACCAAAATGCGAAGGTTGCAGTGAACCGAGATCACGCCACTGCACTGCAGCCTGGGTGACAAAGCAAGACTCTGTCTCCAAAAAAAAAATTAAAAAAAAGTTCACCATTTATAATGACGAATGTATGTAAATCCATATTTGAAATAGTCTTCATAATTTGTAAGCTTCTCACCCAATTTCTTCTATTTGATTAGTCATTACTTTTTTTGCTTAAATATAGGTGAAAAAGATTTGCACTGGAGATAGAATTTCACCACTGACCTCTGTCACTTCCTTATTGTTCCCTTGTACCTGTGTTATTAATATTATCTTCAAGCCATAGTTTCTTTTCTTTTTTTTTTGAGACGGAGTCTCACTCTGTCACCCAGGCTAGAGTGTGGTGGTGCAATCTCAGCTCACTGCAACCTCTGATTCCTGGATTCAAGCAATTCTCCTGCCTCAGCCTCCGAGTAGCTGGGATTACAAGTGCTCACCACCATGCCTGGCTAATTTTTGTATTTTTAGTAGAGACGGGGTTTCACCATGTTGGCCAGGCTGGTCTCAAACTCCCGATCTACAGTGATCTGCCTGCCTCGGCCTCCCAAATTGCTGGGATTACAGGCGTGAGCCACCATGCCCAGCCCATAGTTTCTTAATAATAATATTTTTAAGGTTTATATCAATTTTAGGCCGGGTGCAGTGGCTCACGCCTGTAATCCCAGCACTTTGGAAGGCCGACTCAGGCGGATCATGAGGTCAGGAGATCAAGACCATCCTCGCTAACACGGTGAAACCCCATCTCTACTAAAAATACAAAAATTAGCCGGGCGTGGTGGTGGTCGCCTGTAATCTCAGCTAATCAGGAGGCTGAAGCAGGAGAATCACTTGAACCTGGGAGGCGGAGGTTGAAGTGAGCCGAGGTCGCGCCATTGCACTCCAGCCTGGGCATCAAAGTGAGACTCCGCCCAAAAAAAAAAAAAAAAGGTTTATATCAATTTTAGACAGTTAATTTGGTTAATACTGAATAATATAATTCCAAATCCATCTACAATTGAAAGATAAATTGCTATAAGTCAAATTATATAGAAACCAAAATTAAAAAAAAAAAAGAGTGAAGGGGTGACATTAATGCCCTCAGATTGTGGATGCTCAGAAAACCTCAACTATTACACGTAACACATAACACTGTATCATATGGATTCAGTGACTATGTGGGTTCAATCTGCATGGTAAGTACTGGGAAAATTCTTTTCTTTTAGATAAAAGTAAACATAAATAGGAGGTGTGATTTTCTTTTCCTGGACAGAGGTGCATTCAAACCACTTTAGAGGCCAGGCCGGTCAGTCCGTCACCATGCCTTGTGCACCAGCCCACACCATCAGCAGCTTCATCAGGTAAATGCTGCTCCCTTTGTAAAGGGGATGTAAGTCTTATTTGAATTATAGCTGGAAGCTTTCAGCCCTCTGGAAGTCTTGGGATTCTCCAGTCATCATTCTTTTTTTTTTTATTTTTGAGATGGAGTCTGTCTCTGTCACTCAGTGGCACAATCTTGGCTCGCTGCAACCTCCACTTTCCAGGCTCAAGCAATCCTCCTGCCTCAACCTCCCAAGCAGCTGGGACCACAGACATCAACCACCATGCCCAGCTAATTTTTCTATTTTTGGTTAGAGACGGGGTTTCACCATGTTGCTCAGGCTGGTCTCAAACTCCTGAGCTCAAGTGATTTGCCCGCCCCAGCCTCCCAAAGTGCTGGGATTACAGGCGTGAGCCATGGTGCCTGGCCTCCAGTCATAATTCTGATTCACAAACTGTATGGAACAATTAGGTTGTATATGTACTATAAATGAACTATTGCATCCATTGTCGACTCAAGTTTTTTCCACTGTTACTATGTATAAAAGGTTTTCTAGATCATTTTCGGTAAGAAATTAAGTCCAATATCATACTGGTGATATTAGAAAATAAACTGGACATTTATCCTTAAGATTGCAAAATTCACTAATTTCATTCCAAAAAAATGTTAATGAGTTATTAATGAGATCTGTGGTCTTCAAAAAGGGTTCTGTATATCCAATTACATTTTATCTTATATTTTATACTTATATCTTTTTTTATATTTCCTTTTATTTATTTATATTTATTTTTGGCTGGGCACAGTGGCTTACATCTGTAATCCCAGCAATTGGAGACCAGCCTTGGCAACAAAGTGAGGCCCTGTTTCTTAAAAAAAAAAAAAAAAAAAAAAAAAGTACATATACATATATTCTGGTGTATCCTAAAAATTGTTTTTGTAGTATATGATTAAAAAAAAGAAACACTAGCCACCACGGGATTAGACTATGGGCATTTGCCTCAACCAGGATAAATGACATTAAAAGAATAAATTTACATGTCCTTACATTTTCAGGGACAGTGGTTCTCAACCAGAGGGAGGAAGTGGAGATGGGTGCATATAGAATTATCTTCATATGGCTGGGCGTGGTGGCTCACACCTATAATCCCAGCACTTTGGGAGGCCGAGGCGAGTGGATTACTGGAGGTCAGGAGTTCAAGACCAGCCAATATGGTGAAACGCCGTCTCTACTAAAAATACAAAATTAGCTGGGCATGGTGGCATGCGCCTGTAATCCCAGCTACTCGGGAGACTGAGGCAGGAGGCAGAAGTTGCAGTGAGCCAAGATTGCGCCATTGCATTCCGGCCTGGGCAAAAAGAGCAAAACTCCGTCTCAAAAAAAAAAAAAAAAAAAAAAAAAGAATTATCTACATATACCGGCTTCTATCCAGGCCCCTTTATTCTACTCCACCCCAAGTGGTTTCAACCATCAGGGAAGAAGAGGCTGTCAACTGGGGGCAGGTGTGTGTGTGTATGTGTGTTTGTGTGTGGGTGCGTGTGTGTGTGTGTGCAGTGGCTCATGCCTATAATTCCAGCACTTTGGGAGGCCAAGGTAGGAGAAATGCTTGAGGCCATGAGTTTGAGACCAGCCTGGGCAACATTACAAAGACCTTGTCTCTAAAATTTAAAAAGAAAAGTAATAATTTTATAAAGTAAAAAACGAAAGAAAGAGCCTGCTATAGGTAAAAGTAGACCAAAAAAAAAAAAAAAAAAAAAAAAACAGAGAAAGAGAAAACTGAAGATAACTTGATCCTCCTCTATTTGACTTTTTTTTTTTCTGTATCAATGTGGGCAAATTACCTAAAACTTCCATGTCCTAAATACAATATGAGGTTCTGTACAGATTCCAATATGCCATGTGCCAGTCCTACCTTTTTTGGAATGAGTTACAGAGATATCGATATGAGTACAATGAGAGAGAAGGTACTTTTGTCATATGTTGATAAAAACTTGTACATCACCTAACTACATCTGGTATAATGATCTATGATGCCAACATTACTCAAAGCAGGTACCACTGTTTACTTTGGTGTAGTCAATGGCAGACCTTATAAATCAAATACAACAACCAGGCAAAGTAATAACTTCATCATTCCACAGAAATCTTCTAGTGAGGATCTAAAATGTGGAGGCATAAATGGGGAAGAGAAGGAGGGAATGTGATGGTCAAGGTCACTCTACCAATGAGTTCCTCCCAGACCGACGCTTTGTTCCCCCGTAGGCTCAGCTCCCGCTCCCAGGTCTCTGGCCTAGACAGCTTCATCCTCTTCCCAGCTCTGCTAGAATCCCAAGGCCCAGGAAGGCGACTTCGAGAAAAGAGCTGTAGGTTGGAGGGGTATCTGAGGATAGGTAAGAAAGAGGTCTATCATTTCAGAGTCAGCAAGAAAATAACTCAGAAAAGGAAAGGTGAGTCATGTTTACAGGGCATGTCTGCCCAAATATGCCTAAAAATAACTCAGAAAAGGAAAGGTGAGTCATGTTTACAGGTGAGTCAGAAAAGGAAAGGCAGCAATTGGAAAGGCAGTCATGTCTACAGGGCATGTCTGTCTAAAGTCATGTTGCTGGGTTTGAGAACTACTGGGATGGGGGCCACGGATGTTGAAAAGTTAAGGAATTACTTAGATGGAATGCATGCTCAGGGTGCAGCTTCTCACCTGTAACCCAGCAGGGCTTGAACGTGCTGGGCAGGCTTGTGGATGTGCAGTCGCTGAACCAGCTTCTTCAGGGTGAACCTTGGAGGATTCTTTTTCTCTGACACTGTATCACCGGCCTTCTCAAACTGTGGAAACATCCCCAAGTCCCACAGGGGTCCTTTCATCCATGACCATGGGAACTTTCTTCAATAAAGCAGATTGTAAGACCATCCGATCCCTATGTGGTAATTTCTTTCTTCAAAATAGATTTGGCCAAGGAGCAGGAATAGAGGGTACAAATCTCTGGCAACAAGAGCTCCCATGGTAAGCAGCACAGGATGGCAACTCTTTGGGGTCACTGTTTCATTCACACAAGCAGTTAACATGGGTTGACTGGCTTGTGAGAAACAAGGTGGGGATAGAATGAACACAGGACAGCTTTGTTTGTAGAGGAGGGGAAAGGGAAAATCAGCTCCGATTTAAATCACTAAGACTCTTAATAGATAAATAGAGAAACGAGCACAATGCAGGCTACGAGGAGTTTAAAAACTAAAAGTAGGCAGGGCGTGGTGGCTCATGCCTATAAACCTAACACTTTGGGAGGCCAAGGCAGGTGGATCATTTGAATCCCAGCTACTCGGGAGGGAGGAGTAGGAGGTCAGGAGTTTGAGACCAGTCTGACCAACATGGTGAAACCCCGTCTCTACTAAAACTACAAAAAAATTAGCTGGGCATGGTGGTGGATGTCTGTACTCCCAGCTACTCGGGAGGCTGAGGCAGGAGAATTGCTTGAACCCAGGAGGTGGGGATTGCAGTAAGCCAAGACAGCACCACTGCACTCCAGCCTGGGCTACAGAGCAAGACTTCGTCTCAAAAATAAATAAATAAATAAAAACTAAAAGCAGGTAGCTTTCAGCATCTTCTATGGCAGAAGAACTAAATTTAGGATATATTAATAGGATGAAGAGAAAAGACGAGTTGACCAACTGAGAAAGCGTTTTTTCTTATAACGCTAATATATATTTTCCTAATCATCTGTTTTAATAACGATGATGGTAGTGATAGCTAACACTTATTTACTTCCAGGAATTGTTAGAAATACTTTAAATATAGTAACTTATTTAATCTTTATGACAACCTAACAATGTAGGTTCTGCTTTTATTCCCATTTAATACGTGAGAAAACTGAGGCAAGAGAGGTTAAATCATTTGACCAATGTCTCATAGCCAGTAAGGGGTGGATGGAAGATTCAAAGCCGGGTGACGTGAATCCAGATTCTATGCTCTTAAATGCTACGTACAATACCTTATTTGTCCAAAAGTAAAAAGATTTTGTTTGGTTTGTTTTTAAAACTTCCTGTGAAAGGTATATATTTCATAATGTTTTTAACTCACTTATCCAACTTTACTGACATGTCACCCGGCAGTAAAGTACAATACCAGCTGGGTGTGGTGGCTCACATCTGTAATTCCAGCACTTTGGGAGGTCAAGGCAGGTGGATCACGAGGTCAGGAGTTCGAGACCAGCCTGGCCAACATGGTGAAACCCCATCTCTACTAAAAACACAAAAATTAGCCAAGCGTGGTGGCACACGCCTGTAGTCCCAGCTATTCAGGAGGCTGAGGCAGGAGAATCGCTTGAGCCTGTGAGGTGGAGGTTGTAGTGAGCCAAGACCGTGCCACTGCAGCTCTCCAGCCTGGGCCACAGTGCATAACTTCATCTCAAAAAAAAAAAAAAAAAAAAAATACAATACCAAGGAGAGTGAAGTGAAAAAAAATAAAACCACATGCCTTTCCCAGTGCTCTCAGAACCTTACCCACAATCACAGCCAAGAATCCCCAGGAAGAAAGTATTTTCAACCCTAATAGAATTTTGTTCGTAAATATTAGTCCAGAAGAGATTGTACATGCACATATACAACCCCAGAAGAAGGGACTCACCTTTCTCTGCTCTTCTCTGAGAAACCCTATGTACCTTGGAAAACATCTGTGAGAAAATGGAGGCTCCATCCCCTGTAGGGACAGGAGAAGCAATTTCAAAAAAAGGGAACTGGCTGTCCTTGAAGAGATCCAGTCAATAGCCCTGAAGGTGCATCTCTACCAAAAAGGAAGCCAACTAGAAAAGAAGACTGCCCTGCACCATATGCCCATGAGCTCTACCCAGCTCCCCTGCATTTCTCTGACTCCCTTTGCTCCTGGTGTGGGACTCCCCAGCATCAGCATGCTCCCTTGTCCTGCCCTTCCTGGAGAAAAGGGGCGTGGGTCGAGGGCTGGGGCAGTGACTGACTGGAGAGCGGGGTGGCCGGCGGGGGTGTCTCTTGGCCCGGTGCTTCCGAGGGTTGTACTTAGCCAGCTGGTACTCGTCAAACTGGGCAAATTTGTCCGTCATGGCAGTACGGAGACAGGCGGGCAGGGGCACCAGCTTATTCTTATCTCCCTCAGCCAGGCTCTGTCAAAGAGAGAGGAGAGACCACTAGAAGCAAGACCCAAACCAACCCTCCAAAACAAAACGAGATCACTTCATGGAGATACACGAGAGCACAGAGTAGCGAGCAAGTTCCCAGCCCTAGCTCCAAAATCACAATTTCTGTGGTACTGATTTTCATTTCTTCATTAGAAACATGAGGTCCTGGCTGGGCAGGGTGGCTCACCTTTACGCCTGTAATCCCAGCACTTAGGGAGGCCAAGGCCAGTGGATCACCTGAGGTCAGGCGTTCAAGACCAGCCTGGCCATCATGGTGAAACCCCATCACTACTAACAATATAAAAATTAGCCAGGCGTGGTGGCGCACGCCTGTAATCCCAGCTACTTGGGAGGCTGAGGAAGGAGAATCGCTTGAACCTGGGAGGCGGAGGTTGCAGTGAGCCGAGATCACGCCATTGTACTCCAGCCTGGGCGACAAGAGTGAAACTCCGTCTCCAAAAAAAAAAAAAAAAAGCATGAGGTCCAGAATAAGACCATTTTTTTTTCTCAAACTTTGGTCCAGCCCTTCTCAATCACATTCTCCATGCTGGACAACCCAGCCTAGTGGAGGGAGAAGCTGTCCTGTCTGGGCACCAATGCTGAGGAAAGCTGAGGGGAAACCAAATTGCCTGAGAATTTTCTCCAAGGATGCAGTGAGCATAAGAGAAGGAATGAAGTGAAGGCCCAAGCTCAGGGAAATGAGCACCATACCTGGTAAAGCTCAGCCACCTGGATCCAGTCAGAAGGCAGCTGGACAATGGCACAGAAATATCGTCGCAGGTGGGGGCGACACGCCGGCAAGAAAGCAGCAATGGCCAAGATGTTATTGGCCACATTCCGGACGTTCAGCTGCTGCCTGGCATACAAAGATGCCTAGGACACAGGGTGAGAGGACTAGAATCTCAGTCACTCCTCCCGTAGCTTTCTGCCCTGAAATTACTTGCTGATTGAGTGTGCCTGTATAAAACCTTTCCTGAGCCCTCCACGTTGTCCACAAAATACGAAGCCCAGGCCACCTGACTTGGCATTCTAAGTCCTCCATACTCTATCCCTTACTCAACTTTCCAGCATGTCTTCTTCTGAGTCTACTGACTGCCTTGCAAGTCAACCAGGCCTTTTCCTTCTTTGGAAGACCTCCTGCATCAACAGCTATCAAAAATTTATTCTGGGTTCAAATCATTGATTAAACCTGCCATTTTCCAAAGCATCATAGAAGATATTTCCCACCGCGCTCTTCTTTGCTTCAGAAATGTTCACTATCTAATATTCCAGCTGTATTTGTATGATATTTGGAAAAGTATTTTGCTTCCCTAACAATACTATAAGCTCCTTGAGAGAATGGGTACTTACTAAACAAACCAAGTCTAGTATACTCTTTCCCCACTCTTCACTGAACCACAGGGACTAGGCCGCAGACTCACCCAGAAATCCTTCCTAAGAGAAGCTCCTCCCACCCCCAACATGAAGCTAGTCACCACCCCGCCACACACCATAACCACACTCCCAGTCTACCAGCTTCACACCCCCATCCCCTCCTTCACACCTCAATACCTTGAGGATAAACTCAGGCTCCAGGAGGGCAAGTTCACGACAGATTTCAAAAATGGCAGCCAGGGTGGGGTCAGATGTATTGTTCATGTTTACTTCTGAGACCAGAGTAGAGCACAGCAAGCTCAGTAGAGCCATCTGGGAATTGAGAAAGAGGGAAGAAATGAGAAGAGAGGTAACAAGGACCAACTTAAGCATCCATGCAGACTAACTTACAAAGTCAAGGACAGAGAGAATGGACCCGAGATGTGGAGTCCAGTTGAGAACTTACAAAAGGGGATTAGGGCCAGGCATGGTGGCTCACATCTGTAATCCCAGCACTCTGGGAGACTGAGGTGGGCAGACCACCTGAGGTCAGGAGTTCGAGAGCAGCCTGGCCAACATGGCGAAATCCCATCCCTACTGAAGATACAAAAATTAGCCAGGCATGGCAGTGCACGCCTGTAATTCCAGCTACTCAGGAGGCTGAGGCAGGAGAATAATGAATTCAGGAGGCAGAGGTTGCAATGAGCTGAGATTATGCCATTGCACTCCAACCTAGGTGACAGAGTGAGACTCCATCTCAAAAAAAAAAAAAAAGAAAAGGAAAAGAGAGAAAGAAAGGAAAGAAAAAAAGAAAAGGAAAATAAAAGAAAAAAGAAAAGGGGATTAGGAAGTGAGAAATAAGAGCTAGGTTGTATCCCTACCTTCCCCTTCCAACTGGGGAGGGGACCTGGTTCAAGTACTCCACCACCAACCTCCCCTCCACACCATTATTAACCTTCCCCTAACTCTTGAATTTTTACCTTCTTTTCCTGAAGGACATGGTCAGTAGGCTCTGGATGAGATTCAGAGTCTCCAGAGGTGAGCTTCACGGCCAGATCCTCCACCTCCTCCTCCTCTCCCAAGCTCAGACTATAAGAAGGCATTTGGGTCTCTGCCCCTTTCTTCTCTTCTGAATCAAACCAACGACCCTGGGGTAGTAGTGGCAGTTATGAATCACAGCAGGTATCCACAGCCCCTCAAAGCCAGATGGATCTGAAGGCAGCACCAGGCCACGGGAAAAGTCTACATCTCCATTAATAGCACCTCTAATGTTCTCTCCCTTCACACACCAGCACTGATGTGTCCTGTCTGACTTACTGCTCTCACACACCACCTTGCTCTACTCAACCTTCAGAGCCTTCGCCCACATGCTTCATGATCTGCCCCTGCTTTCATCTCTTCATTGGCGTCACAACCTGGGAGCATGGGGCTCTTCACACACCTTTTAGGATATTAGTAAGATGTTTTGGGGGTCAGAAGAAAAAGGGCAAAGCCCCATATTAATCCCCCAGCAGCCTTGGGCTGCTTAACCTCTCTGAACCTCAGCTTTCTCTCATTCACTACCACCTATCTGATAGGGCCACTGGGAAATTAAATGGAGTGTTATATGTATGTATGACTCTTTGCAAAATGCAAAGCCCTAAATCAATGTAAGATGGCAGCAGTTGTAATCCTGATAACAACCCTGTGAAGTAGATTTTCATTAAATTCATTTTAAAGGCGAGGAAATTAAAGCTCTAAAGGGTTAAGAGGTTGCCCAAGGTTGCATAGTTTGTAATTGGCAGAGACAGAAGAGGGTTCAGATTAGCCTTGTCCCTCAACCCGAAACACAAGTATATACAGAAGCAATGTGTGTCTTTCTAGTGATTCTGAACTGTATACTAAATGTAGGCATGTAGATGTGTAAAAGTGGACGTGTATTTGCACATGCACAGACAATTAAGTGGTCTCTGGTACAGGCCCTGATAGGGCTGTTGGAAAATTAATTAGCAGATGTATCTCATGCCTGATCTCAAAAGCACCTAACTGACTCTGCTATAGTAACATTAAGCTGGCTCACCTGAACAGAGGCTTCCTAAGGACAGGGACTGTTTTTTGTTGTGTCTTTTGGGCTTTCATTTTTTTGAGACACAGTCTCTCTCTGTTGCCCAGATTGGAGTGCAGTGACACAATCTCGCCTCCCGGTTTAAGCAATTCTCGTGCCTCAGCCTCCCAAATAGCTGGGATTACAGATGCGTGCCACCACACCTGGCTAATTTTTGTATTTTTGGTAGAGACGGGGTTTCACCATGTTGCCCAGGCTGGTCTCGAACTCCTGGACTCAAGTGATCCGCCCGCCTTGGCCTCCCAAAGTGCTGGGATTACAGGCATGAGCCACCGCACCCAGCCAGGACAGGAATTGTTTTTGATCTATTGCACAATATCTCCAATGTAGATATGCAATAAAAGTAATGATGCCAGTGAAGATGGTCCTGCAACAAAAGGCACCTTAGGAGAGGCTCTGAGGAGAGAAGATAGCCAGACACAGAGCAGCACAGAGGGAAACTGAGACACTGAAAGCTAGAGACAAGAGCATACAACAGACATGGCTGGAGTCAAGATGAGTGCCTGGAGCTATTACCAAAGTTGCTTCCTGAGCTGTCTCTGTGGCAGAGATGGATTTCAGGGCTATAGGGCAGGTTGAAAGGTCTAGTCCCTTAGAGAAATGCTGAGCCCTCCAACTTGGAGGCTCAGAGAGCAGGCAATTGCTGTTGTTCACACGGTACAAATCAGCTTGCGTCATGTGAGATATCTGTAGACTCTGGAACAAGGGGCTGGCAGACACAGTGCTCTTTAGACTAGAGAGGGTGGCCAGGCACCGGTTCTCCAAGGAGAGGATGTCTGGGTGGGCAGAAACATGTCCATGTGGTTTCTCCATGGTCTTCAGGTCAGAAAGTGTGGCCAGGCACTGGTTCTCCAAGGAGAGGATGTCTGGGTGGGCAGACACATATCCATGTGGTTTTTCCATGGTCTTCAGGTCAGGAAGCGTGGCTAGGCACTGGTTCTTCAAGGAGAGGATATCTGAGTGGGTAGATACATGCTGATGTAGTTTCTCCAAGGGCTGTAAGTCAGGGAGCATAGCCAGGCACCGGTTCTCCAAGGAGAGGATGTCTGGATGGGCAGACACATGCCCATGGAGTTTTTCCATGGCTGAAACTCAGCTTGTATATGCCTAGAAGGAGAGAAAGACAGGAGATGAGCACCTGGCTGCACTGAGCGTGTATTTGCATGAGAGCATATCTTCCCCACAGCCCTCCTGATAATGCCAATGATTTGTGGGTAGAAAACAACCAATGTTGTTTTTCCCAGGACTGGGTTCATCCAGAGAATATTCTAAGAGAGAGGGATAGGGAAAAGGTAAGGCAGAGGCTTAAGAGCAGAGAAATTAAGAAAAGGCCAGGTGCAGTGGCTCATGCCTGTAATCCCAACACTTTGGGAGCTGAGGCAAGAGGATTCCTTGAGCCCAAGAGTTTGAGGCAAGCCTGGGCAACACGGTGAAACCTCATCTCTACAAAGTTTTAAAAAATAAAAAATATTTCTTAAAAAAAAAAACAACAAAAAGGAATGGCTGGAGAGGAAGGGACATGCCTTCTCATAAGAAGGTAAAGGAGACCCAACCCCCCTGACCCCCGCTGCAGGACTATCAGTTTGATCCCTACTTAGTAGAGAGGCCTCGCAATATAATCTGGACTGTGGGTTCATAGCTCCAGAGAAACAGGTACTTTAATCAAGTTGTCAATATTCACCACCCCAGCTTCCTTGCCTCCTATTCACTCTTTAACCAACTAAATGGGATTCTGTCCCCACCAGTCCACAAGTCCTCTTAGGTAACCAAGGAACTTTTTCTTACTCCCATAAATAAATATATCTTGGCCTTTATCTTATTTCACCCCTCAAGTAGAATATGACATTGTTGATTACTCTCTCATTAAAACTCTCTCTTCCTTTGCTTTCCATGATGCTACTGTCCTGATTTTCTTCTTAAAACTATTCTGACTAGATCTTCTGAGGGATTCTTTCTCTGCCATTTCTTAACATCAATGCTCCTTGCAGTTCTATTCTAATCCTTTTACATACTTTCCTGGAGTGGTCTCACCCACTATGTGGCTCCAAATGACATTTCTATGCTGGCGACTCACAGATCTATTCCTGGACCTAGATCTCCCTTCTGAGCTTCATATTCACTTATCCATTTCCCCGTTGGACATCCCCACTGGATGACTCAAAGGTGCTCCAAATTCCACAGATCCTAAATGTATCATCTTTCTCCTTCTCATATCTCTGCCCCAAATCCATTCCCCTTCCTTTGCCCCCTTTGCCCACTGGAGTTGGAAGTGAGACAGACTTTACTTTGAATCCTCCTTTACCTTGGGATCTTGGTTGGATAAGATACTTAAATTCTCTGTGTCTCTAGGGTTTTCTCATTTATAAAATTAAGAAAAATGCTGGCCGGGCGCGGTGGCTCACGCCTGTAATCCCAGCACTTTGGGAGGCCGAGGCGGGCGGATCACAAGGTCAGGAGATCGAGACCATCCTGGCTAACACAGTGAAACCCCATCTCTACTAAAAAAATACAAAAAATTAGCCAGGCAGGGTGGCGGGCACCTGTAGTCCCAGCTACTCGGGAGGCTGAGGCAGGAGAATGGCGTGAACCAGGGAGGCGGAGCTTGCAGTGAGCCCAGATTGGCCACTGCACTCCAGCCTGGGCGACAGAGCAAGACTCTGTCTCAAAAAAAAAAAAAAAAAAAAAAAAAAAAAAAAAAAATGCCTACCTCACAGAGTTGTTATAGAAATAAATGAGAAAAAAATATTAGGCACTTTGAGCATTGCCTGGCACTAAGTGTTCAATATAGAAGCTATTATTATTTGTTATTATTATCCAGTAAACTACTAAATTCTATTGATTCTACTCCCTCAGTGTCTCTCAGATCTATCCAATTCTCTCCATTCCTCCTACCACCACCTTTGTTGAAACCCTCTAATCCATGTGGTGACATACTGTATATAGATTTGTCTAAAGGACCTCCCTGCTAGAGCCAGATGTGGTAGCCTGCAATCCCAGTGACTCTCAGAGGCTGAGGCAGGAGGATCACTTGAGCCCAGGAGTTTAAAACCAGCCTGAGCTACATAGTGAGACTCCTTTTTTTTTGAGACAGAGTCTTGCTCTGTCACCCAGGCTGGAGTGCAATGGCACGATCTTGGCTCACTGCAACCTCCGCCTCCCAGGTTCAATCCATTCTCCTGCCTCAGCCTCCCGAGTAGCTGGAATTACAGGCGCCCGCCACTATGCCCAGCTGATTTTTTTTTCTTTTTTTTTTTTTGTATTTTTAGTAAGAGACAGGGTTCCACTATGCTGGCCAGGCTGGTCTCGAACTCCTGACCTTGTGATCCACCCACCTTGGCCTCCCAAAGTGCTGGGATTACAGGTGTGAGCCACTGTGCCTGGCGGACTCCTTTTTTTTTAAGCATGTTTGCTTATTAGCCCACTTGCTAATTGTTTCTCCTTTGTGGTTTTTTTTTTTTTTTTTTTTTTTTTGCTTTTTGTTTTTTGAAACGGAGTCTCACTCTATTGCTGGCTGGAGTGCAGTCGCACAGTCTCAGCTCACTGCAACCTCGACTTCCCGGGTTCAAGTAATTCTCCTGCCTCAGCCCCCCAAGTAGCTGGGATTACAAGTGCCTGCCACCACACCCAGCTAATTTTTGTATTTGTAGTAGAGACAGGGTTTCACCATGTTCATCAGGATGGTCTCAATCTCCCGACCTCATGATCCACCCACCTCAGCCTCCCAAAGTGCTAGGATTACAGGCGTGAGCCACCGCACCCAGCCTAATTGTTTCTCTTTACTGAAATACAACTCCTTAAGGTAAGGGCTCCTTTGTCTTGCTCCCCTCTGCATCTTCAGCATCATACACAAAACCCGACTTCCGGTCACCTCCCAGCATCATCTCTCACTAACACCCCGATCTAACCCTCAGCACTCTAAGCTTCAATCATACAAATTTTATTTAGCTTATTAATTGCCAAGGTATCTCTTGACTACGGGCCTGTGCACAGGCAGATCCCTGGAACACTCTTTCTTCTACCAATACCACCCCTCCTTTACAAGGCCAAATGCTACTTTCCTCTCACTCTACAGACTTCAGTTTCATCAACTCCTCCAAAAAGCCTGTGCTGACACCAAGCCCCAGTCTGATTTAGGTGGCCTTCTCCTTGTTTTCACAACACCCATATGTCCCCTATCATAGAGCACATCACCTGTTTGTCTTTCTTCCCAATAGACCATTAAGTTCCTGAGGAGAGAGACCCTTTTAGCCTTGTTCCCACAATTGCTGGTCAGCGGGATTCAGAGGCTTTTGAGAATCTGGTAAAAGCTATGGAGCTTTTTCACAGAAAAAAAAAAAGTATATACTGTTTTGTGCTCAATTTTCAGAGTGTCTATGAAGCCCATTTATGGACCTCCCAGGATCTCCATAAACTGAAAATTAGAAACCTCTGCCTAACAGAATGCTTGAATTATACCATCAGGAACCTATTTTCTGGCTGGGTGTGGTGGCTCACACCTGTAATCCTAGCATTTTGGGAGGCTGAGGTGGGAGAATCACTTGAGGTCAGGAGTTCAAGACCAGCCTGGGCAACATAGTGAGACCTCTATTTAAAAAAAAAAAGGAATGTATTTTCTTACTTATTTGGACAAAGGCTAATCTCTCATTCATATGTAAATATTTTGGGAATAATATTGTTAAGTCAACCACCTAAACTTAGTGTGAAAAAGCTTAGGGACAAAAGTACAGAACACTTCCAAGAAGACCTGAATGACTAACAATCCAGGGCCAAAAAGGACAACAATATCTCACTGGACGTCAGTGTGACAAACACGTAAAAAATGATGGCTTCTGTGCCCAATACACTTTGCTCATGTCGTTGCCCTATATAAGCCCCCAAGGAAAGGAGTGGGGAAACTCAGAATTGACTCAGATTTTTTTTAAAAGAGATCTCAAGCCAAAAATAAACAGAAAAATAAGGACAGTTTATTTGAGCAACATAGTGAGACTGTCCTATCCTTAAAAGGACAGTCTCACTATTTTGCTCATTTTATTGTTTTGCACCCTGGAGTTTTTGAAAGGAGATTCGGCTGAACCACAAATGGAAAGTTAAAGTTCCGTCCCCACTTCCATCTCTAGTTCCCTTCTCTGGAAGTAAACATTGCTCACAGTTTTATACTAACAGTTTCACAGTTTCTATGCATATGCAAATACATGCCTTCACCATCACCACTGCTTTTGCTTTTGCTTTACACAAACAGGATCATAAGTTAGATGCTATTCTGCACTTAGTATATCTCAGAGACCTTGCCCTGTTAACACATTAATACCCACCTCACTCTTTCCTTTTTTTTTTTTTTTTTTTTTTGAGGCGGAGTCTGGCTCTGTTGTTCAGCTCACTGCAATCTCTGCCTGCCGAGTTCAAGCGATTCTCCTGCCTTAGCCTTCCGAGTAACTGGGATTACAGGCGCCCACCACCATGCCCGGCTAATTTTTTTGTATTTTCAGTAGAGAGGGTTTTCACCATGTTGGTCAGGCTGGTCTCAAACTCCTGACCTCAGGTGATCCCCAACCTCCGCCTCCCAAAGTGCTGGGATTACAGGCGTGAACCACCGCGCCCGGCCTCCACCTCACTCTTCAAGTGGCTGTATGGTAGTCTAGCACATTTAAGCACAGTCTGGGTTTCTATTATCACAAACGGTTCTCATACTACCATTTGTTGGTGACAGCCACTGTCCCCTTTCGATGGGCACACAGGGCAAGGAAGTAAGAGGGGATGATTCTTACGTGGTCTCTCTTCCTGTCCCTCCCTCTCCTTCAGCCTTCTCCTCCTCCTTTCTCACCTCCCCTTTCACGCAGTATACACTCCCTCCCCTTCCCGGAGCCGCCGGGAGGAGCAGGGTGGATGCACCCCTAGCTGAGTCTCGGGTGGTTCCTAACCGGCCCCGCCAGGCACTTCCCACCCAGCTCTCAGCCTCAGAGCCCAGCGCCCTAGACCCAGGGCCAGGGCAAGTTCTGCCTGCGCTCGGACCCTACCTTAGACTGGGGCTGGAAACCCTGGGTGCCTGACCTGGGGCGTCCGATTCCCGCAGCAGGAAGCAGAAACTTCGCTCTGGATTCTGCCGGTGGGAAGGGTGGCAGCCGGGGGAGGAGCCGGATGCGGATCTGAGAAGAGACGGTGCGGGCGGAGACTCTCGGGCCCGGGCGGGGCGCAGCAGCTGCTGGAAGGGCAGCGAGCCGAGGGCCGGGCAAGACGACATGCCAGGGCTGCGACGCGAATGCCCAGGACCCCTGCCGCCTTTTCTGGGGCCCGAGTTTAGTTTGTTATTGTTTCTATTTTTTTTCCCTTTCTGGTCCTATTTTCTCCTGTCCCTAGGGCTTCCCCCTCTACCAAATTCGTCTCCTCTGGCTAATTTTCGTCTTTTTTTCTCCCATTAACTCTTCAAACACCGTTTCCTGGAAAAGATTTTAGCATGCTCGCTGCCTAGCTGTACACCTCTCCTTCCTAATATCAAAGACGGTCAGACTCAATTCATCCTAAAGTTCCTTTGAGGAACTCCTTAAAAGGAGACGGAAAGCGGAAAGCAACCGCCTGTAACCAAGTGTAGACATCAGTCAATCAAAGTTCGCTGAACTGAGAGCAAGTGCCTCCCCTCCTGTTGATCAGAAGAGAGATCCGTGGATCACACAGAATCTATCTGGAGCCATCCTGAATGATTAATGCTGAACCCTTTCCAGGAAGATGGAACCAGGCTTAGGAAAGAGACAAGTGACCCTTAGGTTAATAATCCTAGCTTCATAAAGAGAGGACCAAACATAGTAGCAGGAGAAATATGCTTTCTGCCTTTATATAAAGCAGATTAGCTGTCTTCTGGAAAATATCATTGCTTTCCTTAGAGAGGTACCCTTGAGTCTCAGGTAACAGCTGAGCTTCCGCTCAGAATTGAGGGCATTCTGTCCTCTATTAACTGAGCCAGTACCCCTTTCCTTCCTTAGAAACCTCTATTGCCACCAGTCCCAACACTCCCTGCAATGGTCTTTATGTTTGTGTCTCCCCAAAATTTATATATTGAAACCCTAATCCCAATGCGATGGTATTTAGGGTGGGATCTCTGGGAGGTCATTAGGTCATGGAGTTTAGAATACTCATAAATGGGATTGGTGGCCTCATAAGGAGAGACGGAAGAGCTAGCTAGCTCTTTTTCCACGATATGAGGATACAAGAAAACAGCCATCTGCAATCCCAAGGAAGACCCTCATCTTCAGAGGCAGACCATGCTGGCAATCTGATCTTGGACTTCCATTCTCTAGAACTGTGAGAAATAATATTTGTTGTTTAAGCCACCCGGTCTACGGTAATTTGTTATAGCAACCTGAACTAAAACATTTCCTTTTTATAACAAATATTTTAAAGCTCTTTTTATTTTTCTGAAACATAATTCGTAAAGAATGTAACTTACCCCCACGCACAATTTTAAACCAAAATTTAAAGACAAAAAGTAGAGACAGGGTTTTGCTATGTTGCCCAGGCTCTCTACCTCCAGGGCTCAAATAGTCCTCCTACCTTGGCCTCCCAAAGTGCTTGGATTACAGGCATAAGCCACCATGCCTGGCCAAAAAATTAGTAAAATCTCTTAAAGAGATATAAAGGAGTCTACGGCCATACCACCCCGAACGCGCCCGATCTCCTCTGATCTTGGAAGCTGAGCAGGGTTGGGCTTGGTTAGTACTTGGATGGGAGATAAAAGGAATACTAGAAAGAATATGACTTATAATTAAATACTATATGTTTAGATATGTAAATGTTTGTGTATAACATTCAAGAAGACACAATGTGGTACTCAGATATATGCATCTGTATATAAAATCACCTGGAATGTAACAGCTACAAATGCAGAATGATACAGGCATTATAATGGCGATTCAAATACCATGAACAGAATTACTGATGTGGTATGATTTTCCAGAATACTAAATAGCTTTTGGCAGATTTTCAAACAAAACAAGGTATGATCATCCCATGATTTTCATGGTAGTTGCATCCCTGGAAAGTTCAGTGTGTATTAAAACTACGCATAAAATGCCTTGTGTTTATATTTAAAATTAAATTATGGTCAGGCACGGTGGCTCACGCCTGTAATCCCAGCACTTTGGGAGGCCAAGGTGGGCAGATTACCTGAGGTCAGGAGTTTGAGACCAGCCTGGCCAACATGGTGAAACCTTGTCTCCACCAAAAATACAAAAATTAGCCGGGCATGGTGGTGGCCGCCTGTAATCCCAGCTACTTGGGAGACTGAGGCAGGAGAATGGCTTGAACCCAGGAGGTGGAGGTTGCAGGGAGCCGAGACCACACCACTGCACTCCAGCCTGGGTGACAAGAGCAAAACTCCGACTCAAAAAAAAAATAAAAAAATTAAGTTAGATCCTAATTAAAACAAGTTTTCAGCTACATGAATGACTGGCAAGTTATTCAAAGTTAAAGATGCGGAAATGTCACTCATTGTGTGGTAGTGTCCTAAACAGTTCCTGAATGTTGAGCTATCCTGGGCCCTACCCATTTAAATGTGTAAAATCATCCTAATTATTGTGAAAGCCAAAAACACCCCCTAGAGGGCAGTACCACTCACATCGAAAACCTTCATTAGTGGTCTGTTTAGAGGAGAAAGAGAGGAGTTTGGTGAGGGAACACAAGAGCTAGGAAACCTGAAAGAAAGGGTTACGTGAGGTGACTACAGTGGGAGCATATTGAGGAGAAGGAAGTGAGGGGAGGGATTGAAGGAGTCCACACAGGGCCTTTCTTCTGAAGGCCAGCTTTATAAGGCCTCTTCCCCATAGAATATGCCTTAGATAATAATCCCAACCTCAAGACCTCGTAGTCTGTGACTCTCTGTGGGAAACACCTGCCCCACCAGTGAAAGAACAGCATATGCAAGCCCTTCCATCATATTCCCATAAATATCAGACCTGAGAAGACTGGCAATACAGGAGGGAAGGCAATTGGTGATGGCTTCCTGATTGGCTTTGAGGATCTAGTTTTACTTTCTGGTTTCCTGAAGCAGCAAAGAGATTCAAGGCCAGCAAGGCTTGTACACTGGAACTACCTGGAGATCTTTTAAAAATTCCAAAGTCCAGGCCACACCCCAGACCAATTAAATCGCAATCACCCAGAGTAGGACCCAGGCATCAGTAGTTTTTGAAGTTTCCTAGGTGCTATGGTCTGAATATGTCCCCCAAAATTCATGTTGAAACTCAATCTGCGATGTGATAATATTAAGGGTTGGGGTCTTTAGGAGGGATTAAGTCGTGAGAGCAGAGCCCTTATGAATGGAGTTTGCAGCCTTATAAAAGGGCTAGAAGAAACCAGCAATCACTCCTTTGTTTGCCCTTCCACCTTCTGCCATGAGAAGATGCAGCAAGAAGGTATGTTCTCACCAGACACCAAATGCTAGTGCCTTGATCTTGGACTTCCCCAGCCTCCAGAATTATGAGAAATAAATTTCTATTATCTATAAAATTACCCAGTCTCAGGTATTTTGGTATAGCAGCACCAGTGGATGGAGACATCAGGTGATACTAATGTGCAGAAAAGTTTAGGAACCTCTGCTCGAGGGTCTCACTAATCAAAGTATGGGATTGTGGACCACAACATCAACATCACCTTGTTAGAAATGCAGACTCTCAGGCTCTACCCCAGATCTACTGAATCAGAATCTTTTAACAATATTTTCAGGTTATTCCCACTCACATTAAAGTTTGAGAAACACTGATCCAGACAAGTGGGGTGGAACCTGAGAATCTATATTTCCAAACACTGTGGTCAGGGCCCAGTGATTTGTATTTTAACAAGCTGTCCGGTTGGTTTTGGTACATGCTTAAATTTAAGAACCCCTGATTAGGCAGGGTGTGGTGGCTCATGCCTATAATCCCAGCACTTTGGGAGGCTAAGCGGGCAGATCACTTGAGCTCAGGAGTTTGAGACCAGCCTGGGCAACATGGTGAAACCCTGTCTCTATAAAAGATGCCAAAAAAAAAAAAAAAAATTAGCTAGGCATGGTGGCCCACACCTGTAGTCCTTGCTACTTCTGGAGCTGAGGCAGGAGGATTGCTTAAGTCCAGGAAGTCGAGGCGGCAGTGAGCTGTGTTCGTGCCCTGGCAACCTGGGTGACAAAGCAAGACCCTGTCTCAAAAAAAAAAAAAAGCTCTGATTAAAACGAAGATTGTTGCTCATCTCTTTTGAAAATTTCTGATTCAGTAGGTAGGTCTGAGATGGAACCTGAGAATTTGCACTTCCAGCAATTTCTCAGGTAATCATGACTCTTATCTCTGATCTGAGGTAAACATTTAAAAAACTATTAATCTAGGATGATTACCTAAACAGAAGCGATAGTTACTACCTACCACATGGCAGAGGTAGGTAGTAAATAATGCACCTGTCACACTTGAATTGCATATATAAATTAAAAATTTGGCCCAATTCCCAGATGTTCTGTTCCAATCACACAGCCACTGAATGATCCCTAAAGGACATTTCAGCTGTGTTTTGAGGAGCCAGATAAACTATCTCTGCCTTGCAACAGAGAAAACCTTTCAACTGGCAAGATGTTCACAATGTTCAAATTCAGCTTTTCATACCCGTAGGAAGTGCTAATCATATTGCCAATATTTGCTTCTTTGAGTCATGCTTTCCTAAGTTAGCCATTCCCTTGAGTTGAACCAATCTTTCTTCAGATGACTATCATTAGAATAAATCAGGAGTTTTGCCAATCAAATAACTATACCAGGGCTGGGAAGATGTGCCATTTCCCACTGGAATGAAATCACTTAACTCTCACAGAACCATCTTACATTCCTTATTTGCAAGTTCTTAAAGGACCATTCACTTTCTCCTGCATATAGGCCAACACCACCTTACTGTTGATTAGTAGCATTGAGCTGCGATGGCCAACTGATGGGTGTAATATCCAGATTTGTCTCTGGGACAAAGGAGTGCCACCCCCTCAGTCTTCCCTTTTGGGAAGGGTCCTACCACCTGTTAAAATTGCTCACTTGTGGTCAGTTTTCTTGCATGTTCATTGTCCTCCTCTACTTTGATCAACAAACATCTGCTAATCCCCTGTCAAAGAATAGTGCTAGTACATGGGTAAAATGTATACAACATGCCTTCTTCTCAAGACTTCATCATCTTGTAGAGATAGACACATGTAGAAATCACAAAAATACAAGGCAGATAAAGAGAAGTGCTATAATGGACTAAGAGACAAACTATAGGGTTATATAGGTGAGAGCAAGGATCTCAAGCAACTCCCTGGAGAGATGGACTTTGAACTGGGAAGGGCAGGCCTCTGATAAGCTGGGAGGGGAGTGACCAGTAGGAAGTGGAAAGGCCATTGGTTTTACCTGATTTTTTTCTTCTTTGTGAATGATTACCTTTAGATTCACAGTATACGTTTGTTTGACCTAACCATCACAACTTAAAGCATCACACAAGCCGTGATATGTGGACAAGCACACACTTACTGGATAGCCACTTGTCACCTCAGACAAGCCCTTCTGGGCCATCTGAAAGCAGATTACAAGAACCTCAGTGTCTTCTCCCTTCTGACTCTTCTGAATCAAAACAACCCTGCATTTGGCCTCTGGTCTGTGGACATTTGCCAATATCTTTCTTCATCTTTCTTTTTTTTTTCTTTTTGAGGCAGAGTCTTGCTGTGTCGCCCAGGCTGGAGTGCAGTGGCACGATGTCGGTTCACTACAACCTCTGCCTCCTGGGTTCAAGCAATTCTCCTGCCTCAGCCTCCCAAGTAGCTGGGATTACAGGCACCCACCGCCATGCCCAGCTCATTGTTTGTATTTTTAGTAGAGACAAGGTTTCACCATCTTGGCCAGGCTGGTCTCAAACTCCTGACCTCAGGTGATCCGCCCACCTCAACTTCCCAAACTGCTGGGATTACAGACATGAGCCACCATGCCCGACCTCTTTCTTCATCTTTCTTCAAGGACATTCCTCACTGACTAGTCTCCCTAATCGGGTATGGTAATTAAAATAGGCCACAAATTCTTTGCTTCCTCTCCCATTGAGAGGCAGAGTCTAATTCCTTCTTGAAACTGGGCTGACCTGGTCACTTGCTTGACCAATATAATGTGGCAGCAGTTGCATTCTGGGACTTCTGAAGCTAGGTCAAAGGAAACTTGCACTTCCTCCAGGACTCTGGAACACTCCCTTGGGAAGCCCTGAGCTGCCATGTGAGTCCAACTACCGTAAGACTGCCACTCTAAAGAGGCCACATGTAGGTGTTTCAATTAACACACTCAACTGAGCTCAGCCTTCTAGCCATCTCCACCAGGGCACCAGACATGTGCCCTGTCTGGTGCCCTAGTGGAGAAAGAAGCAGTCTTAAGTCCCTCAGACCAGTTCATCTACCAATTGTCTATTATCAAGTAACTTCCACTAATGACACATGAAACAGAAGAATCATCTAGTGGAAGCCTGCCTAAATTTAGTGAAGTCAGTTACACATAAAATTGTGAGATATGATTAAATGGTTGTTGTTTTAAGTCACAAAGTTTTGGGCAGCAAATGATAACTGGTACACTAGGCCTGCAAAACATAAGACAGTTTACATCAGGGTACTCTGTAATCATCCTACTTTTTTTTTTTTTTTTTTTTTGAGACAAAAACAGTACACCTGATCCCGAAAAGGATTTGAGTCCTGCTTTTGGATGGGATGAGGCAGAGGTAATTGGAAGTAAACTTTGGATCTCAAAATAGTGAACTTGGTGCCGGGCACAGTGGCTCACACCTGTAATGCCAGCACTTTGGAAGGCAGAGGCAGGCAGATCACCTGAGGTCAGGAGTTCAAGACCAGCCTGGCCAACATGGTAAAACCTCGTCTGTACTAAAAATACAAAATTAGCCGGGTGTGGGGGCGTGCACCTGTAATCCCAGCTACTTGGGAGGCTGAGACTGGAGAATTGCTTGAACCTGGGAGGTGGAGGTTGCAGTGAGCCAAGATCACGCCACTGCACTCCAGCCTAGGCAACAAGAGTGAAACTCCGTGTCAAAAAAAAAATGAAAAAGAAAAAAAAGGCCGGGCATGGTGGCTCATGCCTGTAATCCCAACACTTTGGGAGGCCGAGGTGGGCGGATCCCAAGGTCAAGAGATCAAGACCATCCTGGCCAACATGGTGAAACACCATCTCTACTAAAAATACAAAAACTAGCTGGGCATGGTGGCATGCGCCTGTAGTCCCAGCTACTCGAGAGGCTGAGACAGGAGAATTGCTTGAACCTGGGAACGCGGAGGTTGCAGTGAGCTGAGATTGTGCCACTGCACTCCAGCCTGGTGACAGAGAGAGATTCCGTCCCAAAAAAAAAAAAAAATAGTGAACTTGGAACATTTTAATGACTTGTAGGAAGAATTTAAAAAATAGGGGAATTCAGATAATCAGGGAAGAACTGGAGTACTTGGCTGCAATCCAAGATATGGGTGAAGATAGTATATTACATATATATATATATATATATATATATATATATATATTTTTTTTTTTTTTTTTTTTTTTTTTTTTTTGAGATGGAATTTTGCTTTTGTTGCCCAGGCTGGAGTGCAGTGGCATAATCTCGGCTCACTGCAACCTCTGCCTCCTGGTTTCAAGCAATTCTCCTGCCTCAGCCTCCCAAGTAGCTGGGATTACAGGCACCTGCCACCACCGCTGGCTAATTTTTTGTCTTTTTAGTAGAGACAAGGTTTCACCATGTTGTCCTGGCTGGCCTTGAACTCCTGACCTCAGGTGATCCGCCTACCTCTGCCTCCCAAAGTGCTGGGATTACAGGAGTGAGCCACCACACCCAGCCAGATAATATATTATATATTAAATATGGTTGTTTAAACATGAACTCTGGAGTCCAACAGATCTGGGTTTATTTTTTATTTTTTTATTTTTATTTTTTGAGACAAAGGTCTTGAAACATGTGCCACCACACCTGGTCCAATGGATCTGTGTTTAAATCCTCCTCTGCTACTGACTAGCAGTGTGACCTAAGCTGTAGAAGAAAATAAGGTTAATAATCTCAACCCTCAAAGGGGCCAGAGAGTGGTCCTTGAGTCTGCAGTAAGATCACATGATGCTGATTTGGCAAAGGGGTCAGGCTAGGTTCTCCGTTTGAAAAGTCTCACCTCCTGTCTCATTTTCATAACAATCCCCAGCTCAATACATCCTAATAAGTGAAAAAAACTGCTGGAAGGAAGAACCCACTGCCCCTTTCTCTGGCTGAGCGTCTTTTAAATTCACAGCTATTTGCATTACAGCAATTGGATGTTAATTTTTCAAGACCATGTCTCCAAACCTCCAGTGGCACTTATACTCGCTCATTGCTCCCACTTGTAGAGCCCATGTATGAGTTTCATGGATAAAGCTTGCCACTCAAGTGGAGATGGAGCTACATTAGAGAGGGGGCATAATAAAGTCCTTCTACCAGTTTAAATACATGCTCAACATTTACAAACTCCTCTAATCTTCCAGTTTTCTCATCTATAAAGTGGGAATAATAATAGCACCCGCTTTTTATGGACTGTATTGTCATTCAAATTAGATAATATACATAAAGCACTTAGCATACCACCTGGCATATAGCTAGCACAAACAATGATAACTATAATCTAAAACAAGCAGTTCTAGGCTGGGCACAGTGGCTCACACCTGTAATCCCAGCACTTTGGGAGGCTGAGGCAGGTGGATCACCTGAGGTCGGGAGTTCAAGACTAGCTTGGACAAGATGGTAAAATCCCATCTCTACTAAAAATACAAAAATTAGCCAGGCATAGTGGCAGACTGCTGTAATCCCAGCTACTCTGGAGGCTGAGGCAGGAGAATCACTTGAATCTGGGAGGCGGAGGTTGCAGTGACCCAAGATCGCACCACTGCACTCCAGCCTGGGCGACAGAGTGAGACTCTGTCTCAAAAAAATAAAAAATAAAACAAGCAGTTCTTACTCTGCAATGAAAGAGTTGGCTTTCATCAGTGACAGCTTGCTTGAAAAGTGTGTATTGGGGCTCAGATTGCCTACCTGGCAATTAGTCAAACTGATATATAGGCCGGGCGCGGTGGCTCACTCTTGTAATCCCAGCACTTTGGGAGGCTGAGGCGGGCAGATCACTTGAGGTCAGGAGTTCAAGACCAGCCTGGCCAACATGGTGAAACCCTGTCTCTACTAAAAATACAAAAATTAGCCGGGCATGTGCCTATAATCCCAGCTACTCGGGAGGCTGAGGTAGGAGAATCACTTGAACCCAGAAAGTGGAGTTTGCAGTGAGCGGAGACTGCGCCACTGCTCTCCAGCCTGGGAGACAGAGCAAGACTCTGTCTCAAACAAAACAAAACAAAACACCAACTAACTGATACATAGCTCTCTAACTATATGCCTTGGCCTCATTTGGAATCCAGATGAATCTGCTTCCCTGTCTCAGGAGTACATCAGGCTGGAGTAGCTTATAACCTTCTGTACGGTACTCGTGGTCTCAGGAGCCTGTCACTACGGTATACTGGCCTCCTTGTTTGGCATCATTTAGCTCTCTGATCTAAAAGGATATGTCCTAGGAACTTGATTTATAGATTACCAAGGCACACTTTTCCAAATGTGCCTAGAGGTCCTTAGGACTGTCCCAAGCTCTGGGGTTCATGAGCTATAATAACACTGTGGTGTTTACAATACCATTATGGTGCTTATTTTATGGGGTACGAACTTGGAATTCAAACTGGTTAAAGGACTTACTCATAATTACCAAAGCAACAATTGAATTGAAACTTGAAGCCAAGTTACTGAATCTAGCTCAGTACACTTTCAAGGCTATACGTTTTTTTTGTCATTCTTCTAATACTGTATTTGTCTGTTCTCACATTACTATAAAGAAATACCCTAGACTGGGTAATTTATAAAGAAAAGAGGTTTAATTGTCTCATGGTTCTGCAGGCTATACAGGAAGCATGGCAGCATCTGCTTCTGGGGAGGCCTCAGGAAGTTTTCAATTATGGAAGAAGGCAAAGGAGGCGTGAAACGTCTTACATGGCAGGAGCAGGAGCAAGAAAGAGAGTGAGGCAGAAGGTGCTACACACTTGTAAACAACAAGTTCTCACGAAAACTCACTACCAGAAGAACACCACCAAGGGAATGGGGCTAAACCCACCATGGAAACCACTCCCATGACCCATCACCTCCCACCAGGCCCCACCTCTGACACTGGGGATTACAATTTGACATGAGATATGCACAGGGACACAGATCCAAAACATATCAAACACGAAATATAGATTATTAAATTCTGAATCAGCTACAGTAATAATACCATGATCATTTCTCTCTCAGAGAAAACAGACTATAATCTCACCACTAATGATATATATGTATGTATGTATATACACATAAATATCTATCTATCTATAATTTTTTTGGTAGGTGTTTTACCAGGAGCTGTGATGAATTCACACGTTTTCACTTAGGGCTCCTTGATCTCAAGGGCTAGACAGGATTTAGGATATAGTCTATGATCCTGAAAGAGTAATTATGACTGTCCTGTCTATAGACCTCGTCTGTGATGTTTGTCTTAGCCTGCCTGTTGGTCCTAATGTATGTGAGAGACTAGTTTCATGAAAAGCCTTCCTCTTCATTATCCAGACTGTGTACCACATAACTTTATTTCCTAAGCTGTGTAACAAAAGGTTTGAATTACATGATCTCTGAAACCTCTCCATTCTATAATTCTATTAAATAATCTTTCTATGCAATTTTTCTTTTATTCCTTTTTTTTTCAAGATGGGGTCTCACTATGTTATCCAGGCTGGACTCGAACTCCTGAGCTAAAGCAATCCTCCCACCTCAGCCTTCTGAGGAGCTGGAACTATGGGCATGTAGCACGGTGCCTGGCACTTTTTCATTCTTTTGATTGAACATTGTTGCTTCTACAACCCAGAGTGTCTGTCTGGGTAAGTAATAATTCTTGGTTTCACAGCTAGTGAAATTTTCATATAAATTTGCTCTTCTATTTTTTTAAACCTTCCTTGCTATCAATTTTCCATATATTATTATTATTAATTTGAGACAGAGTCTCACTCTGTCACCCAGGCTGGAGTGCAGTGGTGCAATCTCAGCTCACTGCAACCTCCGTCTCCCGGGTTCAAACAATTCTCGTGCCTCAGCCTCCCATGTAGCTGGGATTACAGGTATGTGTCACCACACCTGGCTAAAAATTTTCCGTATATATTATATTTAACACAGAAAAGATTGGGAGAAGACACTAAGTCAGTTTTTCTTTGGGTAGTCCAGTATTACATGATGAGTCAAGTAAAGAAGAAAAGATAAAGGAAAATAAGCTCAAGAGGATTCCAAAGCTTCAGGCCCAGGAAATAGGAGAAATGATAGTGCCAATAAAGCATGAGGAATCTGAACTAATGATGCTGGCACATCTAAATGGAGGTGAGAATCACTGAAAAAAATCAGACTAGAACCCAGGCGAACCATCAAGGTTGGAGACAGAGGAGAGGTGAGCTTCCTGACAGGGAGCATAAAACAAAGGAAAGGAAGAACGTGAGCAACCCAGCCAGGACTAGGCACAGGAGACAAGTGATACCTAGAGTCCCACACACTTACTTGTACTAAACATTAACCTGCATGTCCAGTCCTACCCAGTACCTGAGTCAACCTTGGAAAGATAAGAGAGATATCAGAAATTTCACCCTCACCAGCAAAGGGGGTGGAGGGAAGACTGTTGGGGGAGCTATTAGAGAGCATCTAGAACACCTTGGCTTATCATCTGATTCACCAAAGGTAAGAATCCCAGGCCTCTACAGTCATCAAACTAGTCTTGCCAGGTCACCACCACGGCTGCCCAATCTGTATGCATAGTTTCTATCCCAATTCCTACTTCTCACTCCACTTCCCTTCTGGGGTTGAAATGTTACCCTGATATTACCCTATTCTTAGTCTGCCTGGCTGAAGACCCAGACTGTTACCTTGCCTATATTCAGTCCCTTCTCACTGATGAATGGACTATTGACTAGGGTCCTCCTTCAAGTCAGAGGTCTCCTCTCTCCTCACTCTTCCCTCAGTTTTAAAGACAAATAATGAAAGTCAGAACTTTCTGCAATGAACCACCCTCATCCACATACCTGTGGATCCTTGGCTATCAGCTCCAAGGATGAAGCCACACCCCCCTGGACACTTTGATCTGGCTTACTGGATTTTGGATTGGAGAAATAAGAGAAGGTCCATCCAGGAGAGTGTGCTATCTCTAAAGCCAGAAGAAGAGAAATTTTTAGGGTAAGAGCCAGTTTTCACGCCAATCAGTTCCTGTAGAAAGATGAAAGAGAATGAAGATGGCCACAGATTGTTAGATTTGGTAAGAAGCAGGTCACAGTAACAGTGGAGGGAGATGATTTCAATCATGTGGTAGACCTAGAAGGCAGAATACAGGGAATTTTATTTTGAATGCTTTTTATAGTAGAGAAACTCAGATAAGAAAGATTCAGTCACTATGAAACCTTTATTTAAGTCTGCCTTTAGGTACAAATCACAAAAAATGTTCATAGAAGTTCATCCAGAGAGCTTGTCATCTCCTTCAATTTCCTTCTTCCCGTTCTTTATTCTTCCTTCTCTTTTCTCTTATACATCCTACTTACCCCTTCTCATTTTCAATTACATTCCTAGTCTATCTTAAATAGAGATACAGAAAAAGATCTTACTAAAATAACGAAATCTAAAAATAAATAAATAAAATACATGCCAAGTACTTCTGGGGCCAGAATGAAGAAGGGTGCAAGGGAGACTCCATCATCACCCTTAGAAACATGAAAATCTTAATAAACAATGGTAATAGAAAACTGACCTACACAGGCCGGGCATTGTGGCTCACGCCTGTAATCCCAGCACTTTCGGAGGTCGAGGTGGGTGGATCACCTGAGGTCGGGAGTTCAAGACCAGCCTGACCAACATGGAGAAACCCCGTCTCTACTAAAAATACAAAATTAGCCAGATGTAATAGCTGTAATCCCAGCAACTCAGGGAGGCTGAGGCAGGAGAATCACTTGAACTCAGGAGGAAGAGTTTGCGGTGAGCTGAGATCACGCCATTGCACTCCAGCCTGGGCAACAGAGTAAAACTCTGTCTCAAAAAAAAAAAAAAAAAAAAGAAAAAGAAAATTGACAACAGGTGCTGGAGAGGATGTGGAGAAATAGGAACACTTTTACACTGTTGGTGGGACTGTAAACTAGTTCAACCATTGTGGAAGTCAGTGTGGCGATTCCTCAGGGACCTAGAACTAGAAATACCATTTGACCCAGCCATCCCATTACTGGGTATATGCCCAAAGGAATATAAATCATGCCGCTATAAAGACACATGCACACATATGTTTATTGCATCACTATTCACAATAGCAAAGACTTGGAACCAACCCAAATGTCCAACAATGATAGACCGGATTAAGAAAATGTGGCACATATACACCATGGAATACTATGCAGCCATAAAAAATGATGAGTTCATGTCCTTTGTAGGGACATGGATGAGATTGGAAATCATCATTCTCAGTAAACTATCGCAAGGACAAAAAAACCAAACACCGCATGTTCTCACTCATAGGTGGGAATTGAACAATGAGAACACGTGGACACAGGAAGGGGAACATCACACTCTGGAGAATGTTGTGGGGTGGGGGGAGGGGGGAAGGATAGCATTAGGAGATATACCTAATGCTAAATGACGAGTTAATGGGTGCAGCACACCAGCATGGCACATGTATACATATGTAACTAACCTGCACATTGGGCACATGTACCCTAAAACTTAAAGTATAATAATAATAAAATAAAATAAATTAAAAAAAAAAAAAGAAAAAGAAAATTGACCTAAACACACACAAAAAAACTGACCCTTTTTTGCTCTCAGCTGTCCAGTAGGCAGAAATGGAAAGAGCAGACAGGAAGGATAGAGGTGAGTCATAGAGGGCGGGAATACACAATCATTAAGTGAAAGCCATTATCCTCAGGAAGGCTCCAGAGAAGAGAGTAGGTGGCAAGAGCAGCAGAATTATCTGAAAAGCCTCTGGAATACCCACTTCCTCTTTGCTATGGAGAAACAGGGCATGGCATGCCCCACTTCTTTCTGTTTCAAATGCATTCCCCCTTCTCTAATGGGTGAGACTCTAGGCAGCCTTTAAGATCCAGTTCAAAATACACCCATCGGATGACACCTTTCCTAACAGAAGCCTTCCTGAGCAGAGTTCACTGCTCTATCCTCTGGGCTCTCGCAAGACTCGTCCATACATGTAAGTCCACTCAAAATTTGTATTTGTTTATGTCTATCTGCTGGTCAGGAGCTCTCTGACCTCTGTATCTTGGTGCCTCCTACAGTGCCTGCCACACAGTAGGTAATTAATAACTGTGTGAGGGAGAAAGAAGAGAAAGAAAAAAGAGAGGCAGTGGGGAGAGCAGGATGGGGGAAGAGAGAAAGAGGAAGCACCTGACTACCTTCCCTGGCCAAGATAAAGGGAAATGGATTTAAAAATAACTCTGGGGGAAAGGAACTGAAAGGGGGAAATGACTTTTCTGAGTCTTGTCTGCTTCTCACTCTTCTCTCCCCCCACATCCTCTCACCACTTGAGACCTCAGGCAACAACGGTCTCATTTTCACTCCTGATTCCTCAGTTTGCCCAAAAGAAAGAAGGCACACAGGCTTCTGACTTCTTCCACCCCATCTCCTTAAACCTCAGATCATCTGTTTTTCCACTGTGGGCCTCTCCCTCCTTGGCCTCTGCCCCCATCATCTTTCCCACACAACACTCCTGCCACATGGCCCTGGGGGGCCCGTCAGGCCTCTCAGGCCCCTGTGCCGTGCATGTCCATGTGGGAGCTTCTGCCTCAGAAGGAAACCAAGAGGTTCTCAGGGGCAGCCTGTGGTGTCTCGCTGGGAAACGCTAGACCAGGCCTACAAAGTTACCCGGGAGAGAATATTGTTAAGAAGGTTTAGGCATCCCAGGGGTGGGAGAGGAGAAAGGAGCAAGTTCCAGGAAAAAAAGGGCTGAACGATTTACAGTCCTTACTCCTACACTCCTCAAACTCTTTCATGGATGGCCATTCCACATTTTTCCCATGATCCATGGGTCAGAACCATTTTTCCAACTGTCCTCCCATGGTCTCTACACTTTGGCTACTGAAGCTTCTTAACTCTCTTTCAAACTAGATGCCCTTTCCCTAAGAATCCCTAAGCCTTGTGGAGTTGCTCCCGAGTCTCCTTTCCTCACCTGGGTATTCAGCTGCCTCCCCTTTCCCTATATGTTTTCCCTAGGAGTTCTGGAACCACCATTTCCTCAACGGAGATCATACGTACAAAAGCAGTTTACAATGCACAGTGTGAGAATAAAATACTACCAAGAATAAAGCCTCTTTTCACTCCCCACAATCTCTGTCCTTCTCTCAGGCTATTTCTTATGCCCTCCTCTCCCCATACACTGTTGCTCCCTCTTCACCCAGCAGGTTTGGTTTGGTGTGGGGTGGGAACCAAAGCTATGTGCTGCACAGCGGGCAGTGTCAGGATGCAGGCAGGCATCTCAGCCCGAGGCCTTGGCAGAGTTCCCAGGCAGAGCCATCGGCCCAGGCCAGGACAGTAGGCATGGATAAGGTGAGAGAGGGCATAAGTACGGTGACTGTAGCCCCCGAGCACCAGTAGCTCCCCCTGCAGCACAGCACTTGCAGCCCCCACATGGGGGGAGGGTAGGGGTGCCAGGTGAGTCCAGCTATCAGTCCTTAGTTCATAGGCCTCAAAGCTTAGCAGGTCCTCAGTCTCACCCAGCCCACCTGCCACATACAACCTCCCACCCAATGCAGCCATGACATGGCCAGCCCGAGGTACCCCCATAGGGCTCAGAAACGTCCCTGGCTTCTCAAGTTTGGGGTCATAGTGCATCAGTGAGGCCAGGTATTGGCCAGTCCCACCACAGCCACCGCTCACGTACAACTGGCCCTCCAAAATCGCAGCTGCGTGGGCAAAACATGGTGCTGGAAGTGCAGGTGCTGGCCTAAGGGAGAACAGGACACAAGATAAGGCAACTAGCATCTTCAACTCTCCTTCTATTCCAAGTCTCCTAATCTCTCCCAGATGCCCCCTTGCCTGCTTACCTCCAGACATTGAGCTCAGGGTTGTAGGTCTCCACAGAGTCCAGGGCAACATCATTGTGTCTTCCACCCAGGGCATAAAGTTTTCCATCCAGTGCCACCAAGGAGAAAAGGCTTCGAGCCTGGGACAAAGGAGCCATCTCCTCCCAGTCCTCTTGACTGGGCTCCCACCTGGACACAGTAGGACAAGAGATTGGAAGAGGGACTCTGGGCATCCGTGGTTGGCTAGGCCAGCAATTTCTCTCCCTGCCCACCTTAGGGCCTGCCACACCCTGCCCACTCCTAGAAGCTTATACCTGAGAGTTGAAGCCAGGGTGTTGGAGTGACTGTAGAAATCTTGTCCCCCACACACATAGAGTTCACTTCCTGCCAGGCTTGCAGCCCCATGCCGGAAGCGTCCGGGGGCAGGCAGGGCAGGCAGCTGCCCCCACTCAACAGTTCGTACCAGTCCCACGCCACAGCGGAAGGCCCGGGCCCACCACACTGCTCGGGATGGTTGTCTTAGGGCCATGTCTGGTCTGAGCCCATCCCCGCCAATCACTACCAGTGCCCGGTCAGGCTCCCTCCGTCTCTCTTGGCCTGGAACATCAGCCTCTACCATCAGCTGGTGCAACAGATCTGGGGTCAGGGGTGGAAGTAGCCCGGCTGCCCGCACCCTCCGCAACTCCCTGGTGGACATGCGGCCAAAGCGGACACATCGCAGCAGGGCCTTGGCCTCTGACTCCTGGGTCTCGGGGTTGGCAGCCAGCCAACACCGTGCAGCCACAAAGGCCTCAAACTCCTCCTGCACATGGAGCTCATCACTATCCAGGAGCTCAGCCAAGCAGGCAGCTGGTAAAGAAGGGAAAGCAGGACACAAGGCTACAGCAGGCAGGTGGGTGAGGAGGTAGTGACGGGCTTTGCTCCAGAGCCTCTCCAACCCAGGGGCTTCCGCCATGGGGAACAGGGCCAGGCAACGGGCAGGGCTGAGGCCCCGTGCCAAGCCTTTCTGACACAAATCCAAGCAGGAAGAGCTCTGGTACTGCAGAGCAGCCTGGGCAGCTCTCAGTAGCCCTGGCCACCTTGCCCGCACAACTCCGGAGTAAGCAAAAGAGACGAGGAGTCGCAGGTCCTGGGTGGAGATCGTCCGCAGAGATACCTCTGTGCCCTGGGATTCCCTCATCCCGCTCAGGAGCATGGCCCCAAAGAACTCACTGCCACAGGCCAGGGCGGCTCGGTGCACTGCAGGAGGGGAGAAGGAATAGAGGAGGACTCAAAGTATTGCAAGACCGATAGGCATTACCCCAACTTGGTACTCTAAGTTTGGCCAAACTCTAAGTTTGGCCCTCCAAGCCACCCACTGCTACAGACCAAACTGTGGTGTGCATCAGAATACCATGGGGTAGTTGTTAAAATGCAGGTTTCAGCAGTCCACTCCCAGAGATTCTGATTCAGCAGTTCTGGACGGAGACCCTAGAAATTTGTATTGTAACACTTCAAGTAACCCTATGTGATTCTCATGTTAGTGGCCTGAAGACACTTAGATAAACATTGCTTTAGTCTTTTTGGTCAGATGAGTCAGAAAAAGAGTCTTCATGGATCAGGTTGAGAGGAAAGCATTTGCTAAGAGGAGCACAAAATAAATGGGAAATGACCAACAAGCAACTTATATAGGTCTGTCTATATCGTGACAAAATAAAATTCTTTACAATCAAGAGCCAAGACTGTCAGCCATTCTGTTAGATTTTGCTGGGAAAGTGGCACCACTCGGGAATGGCTGTAATCCAACCTCATCGGATTGCTGTCTCCTCTTGCCTAAGATTTAGTGTTTAATGTTTTCCGTGCGTCCCAGCTTTTCTCTGCATAACCCTCTCCTGTTCTTGGTGTAATTTGTAGAATCATGAGATCTGAAACTTGAGAACTTCAAAATAATCTAATTCAATTATTCCCTTTAAAATAAGGAAACTGGTTGGGTGTCGTGGCACACACCTGTAATCCCAGCACTTTGGGAGGCTGAGGTGGGTAGGATCACTTGAGGTCAGGAGTTCAAGGCCAGCCTGGCCAACATGGTGAAACTCCATCTCTACCAAAAATACAAACATTAGCCGGGCATGGTGGCAGGCGCCTGTAATCCCAGCTACTTGGAGACTGAGGCAGGAGAATAGCTTGAACCTGGGAGGCGAGGGTTGCAATGAGCTGAGACTGCGCCGCTGCACCCAGCCTGGGTGACAGAGCGAGACTCCATCTCAAAATAAATAAATAAATAAAATGTGGAAACTGAGTTGGGTCCCAAAGAAAGCATGTGATTTATTTTTCATTTCCATGCAGTGGCTGTGTGGGCAGATCATCTCCATCCACTGCCACTGATGTCAGGCTGCAATAAGCATGCTTGTGTACCAATACCTTGGTTATCTGCATGGTCCTCATGACAATGAAACTGTCCTATTAACCTACGCTGTTAAACAATTAGACCTCATACTCAGCATCACTTATGGATTATTCTGGCCAAAATATTTAACTTGAATCTGTTCAACTCTTTAGATCTAAAGTCAAGTTTATAGGAAGTTGAAAGGCTAAAGGAACAATTTAGAGGGGAAAAACCACACAAATCAAGAAAATGGAGCATTTTATAGGATAACCAATTTTTTTTTTTTTGAGATAGGGTCTTACTCTGTCACCCTGCCTGGAGTGCAGTGGTACAATCTCGGCTCACTGCAACCTCCACCCTCCAGCTTCATGTGATTCTCGTGCCTCAGCTTCCAGATTAGCTGGGACTACAGGTGCACGCTACCATGCCTGGCTAATTTTTGTATTTTTAGTAGAGACGGTTTCGCCATGTTGGACAGGCTAACCTTGAACTCCTGGCCTCAAGTGATCTGCCTGCCTCGGCCTCCCAAAGTGTTGGGATTACAGGCGTGAGCCACTATGCCTGGCCCAGGGTAACCAATCTTACATGTTATTGTCTTTACCAATCAATATATAAAGTAATAAAAAAAAAAAAGGAGGAAGGACTGTACTAGATTAAAGGAAGCTTAAGAGACATGCAACTGAGAATAGCATAGTCCTTGATTAATTCCTGGGTTGAACAAACTCACTTTAAAAAATGTTTTTTGGACAACTGGGAAAATATAAATGTGGACTAGGTGATATTAAAAAATTACTGGCCAGGCGCGGTGGCTCATGCCTGTAAACCCAGCATTTTGGGAGGCTAAGGCAGGTGGATCACCTGAGGTCAGGAGTTCAAGACCAGACCAGCCAACATGGTGAAACCCCATCTCTACAAAAAATACAAAAATTAGCTGGGTGTGGTGGTGCACGCCTGTAATCCCAGTTACTCGGGAGGCTGAGGCAGGAGAATCACTTGAACCTGGGAGGTGAAGGCTGCAGTGAGCCGAGATCGTGCCATTGTACTCCAGCCTGGGTGACAGAACAAGATTCCATCTCAAAAAAAAGAAAGAAAGAAAGAAAGAAAGAAAGAAAGAAAGAAAGAAAGAAAGAAAGAAAGAAAGAGAGAAATTACTATTAATTTTGTCGTGCATGATAAAGGTATTATGGTTATGAGAAAATGTCCTCTTTGTTTTATTTTTTCCTTTCACACCTAGTCCCACAGAATTGTCTTCTTTTAAAAAGATACATACCCAAATACTTATGAGTAAAATGTCATGAATTTCCTTTAAACTTCAGTAAAAAATAAAATGAACAGATGAAATAAATATAGTAAAATATTAGTTGTTAAATCTGGGTGATGGGTGTTGTTTGAATGTTCATCTTAATATTCTTGGTTTTGTAAAATGCTTCATAATAAAAAGGTGGGGGGTAATGCTCCTAGAAGTCCTTTTAGGCAGGTCACAGAGGGCCAAGCTGTTTAAGAACTCCATGCTGCTTTGACCAACTGAGGCATGCGTGCCTTTCCCAAAGGGCAGGTGTTGTTCATATGACTTTCCACTGTCTTTTAAGCAGTAGGTAGTGGCCTGGTGCTTCCCAAGTAGTAAACATCAATGACAGATTTCAAATATATATTGTCTGAGAAAATCTGCATTCCTCAAAACAAGCTAAGCCATCTCAGCTCCCATATCATCAATCAACCTATAGTTCAGAGCCAACCCTGAAAGGGCTCACAGCCACTTGTATTCACCTCTTACTCATTACTATACCCTAGGATTTTAAGTGACAGATTCGCAACCATTAAGTAGGAATATTTCCTAGGGAAATAAAAGCAGTGATATGAGTATGCTTAAATTCAAAAGCCTAGTGAGAATTTTATGATTATGAAAAATTTAAATCCCCTCTCCATCTAGTGCTATCATAAATGAAAATAGACTTTTGGAGTGGTTTTCCTTCTAGGAGTCCCAGAAGCACTTCAGTTCCCAGTCACTCCTCTAATGGGCAGTAGCTATGTGACTTTGGACAAGTCTTGGATTCTGATTTCGTCATCATCAAAGTGTAACAGCCCAACTAGATAATCTCTAAACTAATCCCTTGTAATTTTAAACTTTCAATGTGTCCACATGGCCTAGTGGAAGGAGACTGGACTAGTGATGTAGGCTTGTATCCTGGGGTTGTCCCAAGTCAACATCTCCAAATTTAATGTTCCTTATGTGCACCTGTAGATAATGATATTGACCTCACCAGCTTTCAGTAAAATTTAAAAAGAGATGTCATGTGTAAAAATTTCAGGTACCCAGTGCCTCACTAAATGTTAGTAGACTCCGAATAATACTCAACTTATGCAACCCTACTTAGCTTTCCTGGTGATGAGCAGAGTTAACTTCAAAGTGCCATGGCCAGGCCGGGTGCAGTGACTCATGCCTGTAATCCCAGCATGAGACAGGTGGATCACCTGAGGTTAAGAGTTCAAGACAAGCCTGGCCAACCTGGTGAAACCCCATCTCTACTAAAAAAATACCAAAAAAATTAGCCAGGCATGGTGGCAGGTGCCTGTAATCCCAGCTACTCGGGAGGCTGAGGCAGGACAATCACTTGAACCCAGGAGGTGCAGGTTGCAGTGAGCCAAGATTGTGCCACTGCACTCCAGCCTGGGCAACAGAGTGAGATGCTGTCTCAGAAAAAAAAAAAAAAAGTGCCACGGCCTGGTAACCTTAAACAGTACCAGACCTTGCTCATTAGCTGCAGGGCCCATAAGTCAGCCATGGCGTCAAGCACACCAAGGTGAAAGCACACATTGAGTTTTCCACCATGTTCCCCTGGCTTTCCTGTGTCCTGAATGGAGGATGCCAAGAAGGGCCTTTTGTTAATTTCTGCTTGAGTCAATCCACTTTCTGCTTGTTCTACTGCCATGGATTGTACCCTTAGCTCTAGCCAGCTGGCTGGAGATTCCTTGTTACTGGACACAGGAAAAGCCAGACAGAGGGTCAGTTTAAATCTGTCAGAGCGCCTAGAAAACAACTCGACTGCGCATGCCCGGCTCTCCGTGGGGCAGGAGAGGCACCAAAGGCCACCCCAGGGAAATTCTGACAGCAGCAGGGATCAAAACCATCATGGTGGGGATAAAACCACCTGCTGCTTGCACACACCATTCCGTTAGCATATGCACCTGCAGTAATTTAATGCCCCACAGGCCCTCACCCGACAGCTGGCAGCCGCCTGCCTCCAGCTTCAAGTCACACCCGACGCCCTCTCGGTAGAGGAGCTCGATTCCGCGCAGGTTCTCCCTCAGCTCCTCTGCCTGGCTGGGCTTCTTTACATCTTCCCTGGCATTTCCAGCCCTCTCGCATGTCTGCTGGGCAGCAGCCTTCACCCGGGGCGCTCCCAGCGCCTCTGCTGCGGCCAGCACATCCCCCTGCGAGGCGGGGCCCAGCACCCCCTCATAGGCAAAGGTCAGCACGGCCTCCCAGCCCCCTGGGGACACCTCGAGGCTGAAGGGGGGCCGCGGACCTCCGCCGCCCAGCAGCCTGTCTCGGAAGAGGCTGCTGATTGCGGCCAGGATCACCCGATGCACCCCGTATACCCGCCCCGCGACTGACACCTCTTCGTCCAGCAACAGTCTCTGCTCCCGCAGCCGCTGGGCCTCGGCGAAAAACTGGCTCGGATGCTCCTCGCTGCGCAGCCACTCGGGCTCTGCCGCATCTTCATCTTCTTCCTCTTCCTCTTCTTCCTCTAGGGACAAGGCTGGAAAGGGAAGGTTCCTTGGGACCAGGGGCCTGGAACCAGGCTCCTCCAGAGGAAAGGAAGGCAATCTGGGATCCTCGTCGGGGGAGGGAGGCCAGGAAGGGGTTCTCTGGGCGTGCACAAGGAGTCCAAGGCAGTCCCTCTGGACGGGATGAGAGACACTCTCCAGCTCAGGGGGATAATGTGGGGTGTCCGAGACGCTCATGCCGAGGTTTGCTGGATAGCTGCAGGTGAGCAGAGGCAAGACAGCCTGGCGTCAGAGCTGGGCCCAAAGAGGCCAGAGCAACCATGTCTCCAGCCAGTTGAAATGTCAGTCTCTCCCCTGCTCCAACACCCTCCTCCTACCCTCAGCCACATCCCAGCACTGGAGTATCTGGGATATACAGGACAGCTATAGGGTGCACGCGGTGCAGTGAAACATGCAAGAAGCCCTGTAAAGATCCGGTAACCGGGACCACACCCCTCCCCTATTGCCCCCATCCTTTTAGTCACCCTCAGGAGACACCAGCGTTCCGCTTGCCCTCTCACTTAAGCGCCCGCTGTGCTTGGGGCTGCGTGGCAGAGGGAACTTGCCCACATGGCATCCCAGTCAGCCAGTGGCCCCATGGGGCTAATTATAGCCAGTCCTGGCTGGCTAGGCACTTGGCACCTGGTGTCCTAACTCTGACACCCAATCCCCTGGGCTCCCTCCCAGACTGACATCCCCACCCTTCCACCTGTAGGTCATACAGGAGTGTGCTGAGCTAGGCAAATTAGGAAACCAAGGAGAATGAGGGGATCTGGTGGAATGAGCCCAAGGCCAGAAGGGCTGGGCCACTAGAGTGGGCTGGAAGGATCAGGCAAAGAGTCTGGACCAGGCTTTGGCTGTTGACTTTTCTGTGCATGATAAAGCTGGGACCCCGCCGGGCATGGTGGTTCTTGCCTGTAATCCTAGCACTTTGGGAGGCCAAGGTGGGTGAGTCACTGGAGCCCAGGAATTTGAGACCAGCCTGGGTAATATGATGAAACTCCATATTTTTTATATCTACCAAAAATTACAAAAATTAGCTGGACGTGGTGTCTCATGCCTGTAGTCATAGCACTGTGGGAGGCCAAGGCGGATGGATCACTTGAGGCCAGCAGTTTGAGACCAAACTGGGCAACATGGTGAAACCCCATCTCTACAAAAAAATACAAAAATGAGCCAGGCATGGTGGGGCACATCTTTAGTCCCAGCTTCTTAGGAGGCTGAGGTGGGAGGATCACTTGAGCCCAGGAGGCAGAGGTTGCAGTGAGCTGAGGTCGCACCACACACTCCAGCTTGGGTGACAGAGCAAAACCCTGTCTCAAAAAACAAAAAAGCTGGGACCCAGGAGCGAATATAGCCCAGCTTTATTCATGGAGGGCAGAAGAGTGGGGAAAGTGAAGGGCCAGGGGGCAGGGCTACGGACCTAGGTGGCTCACCCCACACAGGGATTACTATCTGTCCAGAGGTGGGGTCCAGGGTAAGAGCCTGAAATCCAACCCTGTGTCTTTGGAAAAGTGTGGGGAATTCTAACTCTCATCTTGGCACTGGGATAAGAACCAGACAGTGGAAGGTGTGCTTGATCTGCATGCTGTGAGGACCAGAGTCCTGGACTAGATGGGCTATGGACATGCAAGTATTCCATTTGAGCCAGACGGTAACAGCCACTCCTTCTCCCTCCAGGACAACACTTCCTTTCTCATCCTGAGGCCAAGTGCTAGACTAAAGCCCCTAAAAGCCAGGCAATCACTTTGTGCCGCAGTTTTGAGTGTCATCTTGCAGAAAGGATTTAGGGAAAGGTGCAGTGACACACTTCCTCTCCCTTCTCTGGGGGAGGTAGGACAGGCCAAGGACTCCTACTTCCTGGCCTATAAAATGTCTGGTCCAGGCTGGATAGGTTGACTCCACAGGCAGACTTAATAAGGGAAGGAGGAACGATTGCTCCTTGTGATTCAGATGAAAGGGCTCATGTGGAGGGCGGGGTAGGGTGGGAAGTGGGCTGACCTGCACAGCACCCCCTCCTACTTTCAGAGTTGTCTCCATTTCCCCATTTGTGGCCTGGGTACCCCTGGCAACTCTGAGTAGCTAGCATTCCCTGGGTGAGCCTAGCCAGCAGGTGCACTCCCCAAAATGGTTCGACTGAGAGGCAGTTTATGGTTATCCTGGCCAGCAAATGGGGAGATAGTGTCCAGGCTCTGCACCCTGTTTCCCAGTTCAGACATTTCGAATGCCTCTCATGTCCTCCCCAGAGCAAGACAATGTGGCCAGCATCTTGGCCCCCAACCAGGAGTTGGAGGAACTGCAATCTGGTGGAGACATACCCCGAGCCAGCCTCTGTTCACCAACTGCTTACAAGGATGAGGACACTGGACCCTGCTACGAGTTCTATGCCAACTCCGTAGTCCTGGGATGGCTCCATACAGCTTGGTAAGACCCAGGCCCCACAGTGAACTCCTGAAGGTAGGATAACATCTGCCTGTGGGCTACCACCACCCTTCATGTAGCTCTGGGACTGCCCTCCAGGTCCATTAGCTGTCCTCCTGGTTGCAGACGCGCTGGCTAGCAAGGGGTCTTGGCATTTCAGTTATGTATGTGCTGTCCCAGCCAAGAAATAGTGCCACGTCCACCTCGAGAGGAAACCCACACCCAGCCACACTCCCAAGATGATCTGGAGAATTCTGGGGCCAAAATCGGCAAGGCCCCAGTGCACTTCAGCTGGGTCATAGGAGTCATGGTAATGGATTGGCGCTCATGGTTCCCTAAGTCTGGGGATCTAGGCAGGCGAGAACTCTTTGCTCCAGGGGAGTTTTTGGGAGGTACCTCTGAAGAAGGGGGCAAGGGGTGGGACTCACACTGGAGACTGCAACCCCTCCCTTACCACCCCGCTCCCCAGATTTGCTGTATGCTCAATATCTGGGGCATCATTCTCTACCTGCAGCTGCCTTGGATCGCTGCTCAGGCAGGCACAGGTATGAGCTCAGAGCTCTCCTGGGCAGTAGGAAGGGATGTGCATGTATGAATAAATTCCCATCCTCACCCCAGGGCTCACATGGCTCATCATCCTGTTCTTGGCCTCAGTCATACTGTCACTGGATTGTCTATCTCAGCCATCTCCAGCAACGGCAAAATCAAGGCTGGTGAGTCTGTAGTGACTCCCGCTCCTCCCTTCATGTTTCCCCATCCCTCATATCTGTTAATGAATTGTATGGTGTTCTTCGATGATCACATTTGGTCATTTCCTCACTCCCCCAACCCCTGCCACACAAACATTTTCATTTCCCCTTTTGGTACTGGTGGTACCTAGATAGCCCTACTGCTTTGGGATGGGGTTTTCTTCCCATGAAGAAATGTGTATCCTCAATCTCATTTCTAGGCTCCTGTATGATTCAACGTGCTTCCGAAAATAGGACTGACATGGGTGTGCAGAATGGGAGCCGCCTGGGCGCAAAGTGCCAGTATGGCTGGGATTTCAGCAGTTGTCGAGAGCAAGGGTCCTGCCTCTGTGGGCTCTCTAATCACTATGAGGTGAGTGAACCAGAGCGGAAGTGTAGAGAGAGAAACCTTGCCCATTGCCTGGCATAGCATAGATGTTTAAGTTGATTAATTTGGGGCAAAACCTTCAAAGATGCAGATAAATTTTAATAAGTCTGGGAAAACTAGGTGAAAATACGGGTGGAATGCATTACTTTGGAAAGGCATTGATTTTTGCCTCTGTCTGCCCTTTTCCTCAGACCATGAACATGGTGTCTGCCTTTAGCCCTCTGATGTCTGCTGGAATCTTGAGAGCCATTCTGTTCTGTACCCTTTCCTGCTTTGTTTCAGCCCCTAATATCTTCCAGGCTAGTTGAGATCTTAGCAAGAGGCTTGCAAGAGAAAGGAAAGAATGTTAGTAGACACGGTCATCCCAAGTGTATAATTTTTGAGGAGGGGCAAAAGACGGCTCAGTTCTCAGCAACTGGGAGTTAGAAGGTAACTTTGGGAGATGGAGATGACTGTGGCTGGCTAATGTTTAAAGAGATAATCCAAGCCCACATAGCAACATTCAAAGTCTGCCTGTAAATCAAGGGAAAGTATGGGGAAGGTGTCACTCTTTTTTTTTTTTTGAGACACAGTCTCACTTTGTCACCCAGGCTGGAGTGCAATGGCATGGTCTCGGCTCACTGCAACCTCCGCCTCCCAGGTTCAAGTGATTCTCTCGCCTCAGCCTCCCAAGTACAGGCACGTGCCACCACATCCAGTTAATTTTTATATTTTTAGTAGAGATGGGGTTTCACTATGTTGGCCAGGTTGTTCTCGAACTCCTGACCTTGTGATTCACCCGCCTTAGCCTTCCAAAGTGCTGGGATTACAGGCGTGAGCCCCCAGGCCTGGCCCGGTGTCACTCATCTATCTACCTCCCCACTCTCAGTTTTTCCCATCCCTCATTCCCAGGGATCTTACCACCCCCTACTCCCTCTACTCCTATCCTTTCTGCCTCTGACCCCTAAACTCCCTTGACTTCTGTCTATGCTTCCCACTCTCCTGCCTCTTTAGAGGGAGAGGGCTCTCATTCTCCTACTTCCTGGGACCCTCCCCTATTGATCACCAAGACCTCTTGCAGCAGCTGTGCCAGGATAAACCATACACAATCACTGGCTTTTTTGGGGGGAAAGGCCATGGCAAGAACCACGAGCCTCTGTGGGGCTATCTGCTCACCTTCCTCACTGCTGTAGGTTTCATCCTTATCGGTGACTACTCCCCACCCCACCCTCCACACTGGGCTCTATTAATCACCATTCCTCTCAGGCCCTTCCCAGCCCTACCTCTGGCTTCTAGGAGCTGATCCTAAAACCTCTTTTCTATCTCTCTTTTCCTGAAAGTGGACGAAAAATGTCTCCTAACCTTGCACTGCTAGGGGTGGTATGTGTGTGGGGGTGGAGTGAGGAGTAAGAAGGGAATAGAGAGAATGGAGAAAACCATAAAATGATGTCCTGGACTTCTAGACCTGCATCTTATGACACTAGTGTGGAGACTCACTCCTGACCTTTCATCTCCCCCAAAGCCGAGCTGAGTATCATTGCCCCCACCATCGCCAACTTCCTCCTCTGTTCCTGTGCCCTCAACTTTGGCTGTCTCTACGCCTCCCTTACCTGGTTGTCTGGTTAGTGTGGGCAGGTGTTCAGGTAAGCTCTAGGGCTGGAAAGACCTGGGGAGTTGGGAGAGCATCCTTGCGGTACATGAGTGGGTGGTGCTGGGGCTAAGACAAGGGCTTACATTTGCTGTCCCCTGCAGGCTGGCGCCTTTCCTTCTGCAGGTAAAGTCCCTGGGTCTCTCTCCTGGGCTCTCTGCTCTGCCTGCTCATCACATTCCTCCTCACATGGCGGGCAACACTGATTACTGTGTTGCTTACCCTTCTGCTGTTATATGATCTACAAAACCTGGTGAGTGAGTAGGCGGGTGTGCAGGGAGTCAGGAAGTGAGTTACAACAGGAGGCTGGCCCCTAGAAGAAGCCCAGAACTACGAACAGTGTTTCCTCTTCTACCTCACCATTGATGCACCACCCCTTTCTCTGCACAGTTGTGAACTGGGGCTCTTCAGCCCAGGCAGACACCTACCAAATGGCGCTGTCCTACTCAGTGAGCCTCACCAATGTGTAAGATCACATTAAGAACTTCCAGTCAGGAAGTCTGTAGATGAGAGATTGAAAACGGTGGCCTATGGACGGAATGTTGCCTGGAAATGAGTTTTTTGATTGCACAGCATTTACAATTTTTAAAATAAACTACCAACGTTTAAGATCCAGGCATCTGCTAATCCTGGGCCTCCAACCCACATGACACAGTTAGCTGGGGCTGAGTAGCTCCTGTCCCATGGGACAAGGCAGGTGCTCTCCAGTTTGCCACAGTTCCCACTTGGTCCACTTTATTCTTTAATACTACATGACTGGTTCTTGCAAACTTTTGGCTTTTTTGGGAAAGGCCATGGCAAGAACCATGAACCTCTGCAGGGTTATCTGCTCAGACACAGAAGGAAACTAGCTTCCTGAAATCTGGGCGGGGTAGTGGAGAAAAAGGAAGCCTTCTTGTCACCTCTCATCCAACATACCATATCCCCTTCTTTCCTCATTGCTTCTCCTTTCAGGTCTCATGTTTGAACCAACTGAAGTCCAATGTGCTGGTCTTGGGATATAAGCAAAATTGGGAGAAAGGGCCTGTATCTGCCATGGAGTACTACATAGGCATTCTAGTGCGAATGTGAGATAGAGAAGGGTAAGATGGACATAGAAATGGTCAGGAACTAGAAAGAAGAGGAAATATAATCGTGGTGAAGCCCTTGTTCCCAACAGCTGCCCAGCAGTGCCTGTGTCCCCAGGAAAGAGACCCCCACCCCTTCATCTCTTCCTCCTATATCTCTTTTTCTCTCCTCTCCATAAAGTGATGACTTTGACTACAACTATGGCATAGGCCTCATAAGGATGCCAGGAGGGTTAAGCCCGGCTACTCAACACCAAGCTCAAGGTGAGTGAAAAGAGGTGGGCCTAAGAGAAGGATGTGGTGTGGGAGGTATAGAAATTGGCTCTCAAAGACAGTCTGGGAGGCAAATGAACTCATCTAGAGTTACCAAGACCTAAGACTGAATAGAATTGGGTACCAGGATGCGAGAGAAATGAATTTTGCTTGAGCTTTAGTTCTCCTGAAATTTTCAGGGTGGGGGAAAACTTTAAAGGTATCTTCTAAATTCAGGTGGGAGAAATTTGGATCAAAAGATACAACATAGCAGGGTAAGCTGGAGTGTGGTCAGGAAGGGCTATGGCCCAATTCTAGAGAAGGGTTTCTGGCACTACCCCAATTCTAATAATATTACACATCTTATCAGTTAAATTTTGGGCATCCTTAGCAAAAAGATAACATTATTTTGTGTTATACCCCCACTTTTCCCAGTACACCCAGCATATTTGGATGTCATAGGGATGGATACTTAGCAGGCAGGAGACCAATTCTAAAACATGTCCTGTTTTTAGGAATAACAGAGTTGTAGAGCGGGTTAGAGAAGCAGACACCAAGGAAAATAAAAAGGAAATGCGGTTAGTCAATGCGGAGAGAAGCCACATGACGTTTCTCTAGGATAGCAATAATTCTCATAGGGGAGGAGAGGTATTATACTGAATTAGGAGCAACTGCTCAGCTGGAAAGGAGTTTGTCTCATTCTTTTCTTCTCTTTTCTCGGGCAGCATCCTTATTCCAGCAGCCTCAATGTTCCAATCCAAGCAAGGCCGGAGGGCAGTGGACGTGTACTGGCTCGGTGATGATGAAGGTAGGGACTCCATGGCTCCCCAGGAAGTCCCAAGTTCTCCAAGTTCCAGGGAGAATAGGAGAGGGAAGATAGTGACATATAAACCAGAAAGGACTAGAAAATGAACTCTGCATTTACCAAGTACCCAATACTCTCCTCCCACCTCAGAGGACAACTGTGGTGTTTAAAGGCCAACAGAAAAGCCCGTGTTGCTGGAGCAGCGCAAACAAGGAATTGAGTAGCAGATCAAAGTGGTAGGCAGGGAAGGGCAGAGTGGATCACAGAGGGTCTCACAGGCCTTTAAATAGACTGGCCAGCCGCCCTGTCCGGGAGGGAGGTGGGGGGCGCCTCTGCCTGGCCGCCCCTTCTGGGAAGTGAGGAGCCCCTCTGCCCGGCCGCCACCCGGTCTGGGAGGTGTACCCAACAGCTCATTGAGAACGGGCCATGATGACGATGGCGGTTTTGTCAAATAGAAAAGTGGGAAATGTGGGGAAAAGATAGAGAAATCGGATTGTTGCTGTGTCTGTGTAGAAAGAAGTAGACATGGGAGACTCCATTTTGTTCTGTACTAAGAAAAATTCTTCTGCCTTGGGATGCTGTTAATCTATAACCTTACCCCCAACCCCGTGCTCTCTGAAACATGTGCTGTGTCCACTCAGGGTTAAATGGATTAAGGGCGGTGCAAGATGTGTTTTGTTAAACAGATGCTTGAAGGCAGCATGCTGGTTAAGAGTCATCACCACTCCCTAATCTCAAGTACCCAGGGGCACAAACACTGCGGAAGGCGGCAGGGCCCTCTGCCTAGGAAAACCAGAGACCTTTGTTCACATGTTTATCTGCTGACCTTCCCTCCACTATTGTCCTATGACCCTGCCAAATCCCCCTCTCCGAGAAACACCCAAGAATGATCAATAAATACTAAAAAAAAATAAATAAAAAGACTCTGGTTTTTCTTTTGATGTAAGAAAGCACTGAAGGTTTTGAGCAGAAGAGTAACATGATCTGGCTTCCACGCTAACACTATTCACTCTGGCTGCTATGTGGAGAATTGACTCTAAGTTGGCAATGGGGAAAGGAGAAGGAGCAGCTACTGCAATAATCTTGAAGACACATAATTCTGGCTTGATCTACAGTGGCAGCAGTGGAAGTGAGGAGAAATGGAATTCTGGATGTATTTTGAAGGTAGAGCCAAGAGGATTTGATTAATTGGAGAAGAAAGAAAACTGACAAAGATACTTTGACATGAACAACTAGAATGGAGTTGTCGTTGACAGAAATAAGAAAGACTACAGGACTAAGTTGGGGAAAGAATAAGTGCAATTTTGAATATGTTAAATTTGAGACGCCTATTAAGCATCCAAGTGGAGGTGCCAATGAGCAGCTAGGTATTTGGGATAGAAGTCCAGGTTGGAACTATAACTGGGAGTAACCCCCATCAAAATGATTTTAATGTATACAACTAGATGAAGTCACTACAGGTGTATGTGTAAAGAGAGCAGTCTGAGGACTAAACTCTGTGGAGATGAGGAGAAACTAGCAAAGGAGATTAAGAAAGGGCAGTCAGTAAGCTAGGAGGCAGACCAGAGAATGCATCCTAAAGCCAAGTAAGGAAACTTTTCAAAGAGGGAGTGTCAAATGCTGCTGATAGCTTCTGAGGATGAAGAATACGCCATTAGATTTAGCTATGTGCAGGTCATCAGTGACTGTGATAAGAATAGTTTTGGTGGAGATTTAATAGGGAACTGGTGGAGAGAAATTGAAGACAAGTCTTTCTAAGTTTTGCTGTAAAGTGGAACAGAAAAATGGGAAGCAGCTGGAAGGGCAAATGGGGACAAGCAGGCATTATTTGTAAAATGAGGAAAACAGTGGCATATTTGTGGACGGCAGGATTCAGGAGAGAAGGAAATACTGACTCTCCAGGAAAAGAGGGAGAATTATCCCTTTTTTTGAGAAAGAGTCTTGCTCTGTCACTCAGGCTGGCATGCAGTGGCACAATCTTGGCTCACTGCAACCTCCGCCTCCTGGGTTCAAGCGATTCTCGTGCCCAAGTAGTTGGGATTACAGGCATGCAACATCATGCCAGCTGATTTTTTGTATTTTTAGTAGAGGGGTTTCACCATTGCTGGTCAGGCTGGTCTTGAACTCCTGGCCTCAAGTGATCCACCCGCCTTGGCCTCCCAGTGCTGGGATTACAGGGGTGAGCCACTGCAACCAGCCCTGACTTCTAATCAGTAAAATATCCTCCTATCGACGGTGACAATCCAGTGTCCTCTGAGAAGCAAAATCAGCTCTGGTTGAGAACCACTGGTTTATGGTAACAGGAGGAAGGCAGAGTACATGGGTACAGATACTGGAAGATGGTTAGTTTCAGGGGCAAAAGCTTGTAAATGTATACTGATTGTTTCTATTTTCTTACTGAAATAGGAACTAAGGTAAGAGTCAGAATAGGGGGAGATGTTAAGAGATTTGAGGGGTCAGAAGGTATGAAACAGTCACTAGAAAAGAGGGCAAGTGAAAGGACTAGAGAGATGGCATATTTCTGGGTGGCATAAAGGACCCATTTTAGTGTCATGGTCGTAAGTTTGAAGTAAGATCAGTCAGCATGGCTATTTTTTACTAGCCCTTTCAGCTGCATGGGTCTAAAGTAGGTGATGAGTTGAATATGACAAAAGCAAAAGAGGGGAAGGGAAATGAGGTGGATTATGGGAATTTAGCTGAAGGAGGGAAATAAAAATACGTGGGGGATAAAATCTGCAGAAAGGAAGTATGATCAATGGACCGTAGGTCCTGGTGAAGGGATGAACTGTTGGATTTAGCATACTAAAGAAAATGAACTGGAAGAACAGGAGGTGGTGGTAGTCGAGAGTGGGACGTCTGAAACTGAGATGTGGAGGATCTGCAGCTCCAGAACATGACCAAGGAAATAAGTGGCTGAAGCGGGTGTTAGTATGATCTACCTGAATACTGAAATAAGATTTATGACAAACGTGGTGTTCGTATGGTAGTTTCTTTCAAAGCAGAAGGGTACTAGGGATGAGGGATAATGGTCTGGAAACAGTATGAGGACACGTGCACCACCTCCAGGCCCAGTGGGACACTGGGTGTGGAAGGGAAAATGCCACCACTACTGAGGTGGTAGGAGAAGCAGAGTCCTCATAAGAAACCAAGTCTGAAGAGCATAAATGTGAAGGGAACGTTCAGAGAAGAGGTTGAGGACACAGAGAATTTGACAAATGACTGGCCATCAGTTCCAGAGGGCACAGTGGAAGAGCTTCTAGAGTTGGAAAAGGTAGGTAGATGGAGACAAAACAGAGTGGAGATACATGGTTATTAAGTGTAAAAGATGAGATGACTCAGTAGTTTAGGACTAATTGTGATGATTGATATCAACATCAATAAGATTAAGGGTATGAGATTCGTTCTGTTGTTTGTGGTACGGAGGGATGTGCATCTGCGGGCATTCCTCAAGCCTGCCGATGGATGTGCATGTAGGAGAAAGTATACGGAGTAGAGGCAGTTTTAGAGTTACAAGTTAGACCAATCTCCAGGCTGTTTGTTTGTTTGTTTTTAAGAGACAAGGTTTTGTTCTGTCACTCAGGCTGGAATGCAGTGGCTCAATCACAGCTCACTGCAACCTCAAACTCCTGGGCTCAAGCTATCTTCCCGCCTCAGCCTCCCTTGGAGCTGGGACTACAGATGTGCGCCACCATGCCCAGATAATTTTTACATTTTTCAAATAGATGGTGTCTTGCTATTTGCCCAGGCTGGGCTCAAACTCCTGGGCTCAAGGGATCCTCCTGACTTGGCCTCCCACAGCACTGGGATAACAGGTGTGAGCCTCCAGGCTATTTTGAGAGAAGTCTTGCACACCTACTTCAAAGAATTTAAATGAGAGAATGAATGTAAAGCAGTTAGCACGGGACCCGATGCTATAATAATAGTTATGATACTACTATTGTTGCCAGGCACAATGGCATCCTTACTCAGGAGGCTGAGGTGGTAAGACTGCTTGAGCCCAGTTCGAGACCAGCCTGGGAAACACAGCAAGATTCCGTTTCTTAAAAAAAAAAAAAAAGATACCTCATTCTTGGTTCCACAGCAGCAAGCTCCAACAAGAATTTATCCAGCACCAAATCTACATTGGTCCTGAACAACACAATCCAATCACCAACATACAAAACCAAAAAACCAAAAATATTTTATTGCTGAGTCATCCTGGGGTTCCATAAAGGACCCCAAGCCTTGCTTGGAGTCTATAGCTTTGCTAGGACTCCCATGACATCAGGATAGAGATTGAGGCACGGGGTCCTTTGGGTTCCGATTAAGGAACTATCTACTCTGATTCTGTTGATCTTATTAGTCCCTCCAGGTCACCTCTACTTCATCTGTCCGATACCTGTGGAAAAACAGAAGAAACATGGTGGAGAGCGAGCCCTTAACATCCTTCATTCTTCTCTGCCCTCATGTTCCTGGACTCTTCCCTGCTGTTTTTGTCTATGTCCCAATAATCTACCCTCACCAAGAGGTGAATCACTCACCTCTGTGTAACCCCAGAATCACTGAGTGGGGTCCTGTGTCCAGCCCGAAACATCTCCCAGCCAGCCTGGGCTATCATCGCTCCATTGTCAATACAGAATCTGGGATGCAAGAGAGATGAAAATTGGGATCTAAGGGTGGAAAATCACTATAACAGGAGAAGTAAAAAAGAAACCAAAGGGAAAGTGTCTTTACCTCTCATCTGTAGCAAAAAGCCGGGCTCCACGTTCCTGGCACATTGTTGCCATCATCTCCTGTAGCCTCACATTACCTACAAAGAGGCAGGGAACAGGATTAGCTTAGTTTTAGCCATCTCTTCATGGTCCAGCAGAACACGTCATGTGCACTCACTTAGAACAATGACATAGGGGATTAGGGGCAAGGATTGGGAAGCCTACTCCAAACGCTTAATGATTTAGAGTACCAGGAGGAAGACGCATAGTGTTAAGAATAGGAAAGAGGAACACTTTTCAATAATACATACACCCCACTCCTCCCACAATGAGGGCCTCCTGGGAGCCACAATGTGCCATGGCTCGCTCTGTGATCTCTACCAGCATTGCAAACACAGTTTCCTGTCAGGGACAGATAAGGAGAAAATATTAGAGGGGCATCCCAGATTAGTTCTGCTCTACAATATAAAACCTTCAGCCCCAACTTTCTGTCCCAGTTTTTTACTGCATTACCTGCAGGGAGAAACACAGATCCTCAGGAGTACACTCGCCTGTGGCCAGCATCCGATGGGCTACATCCTACAATTAAAGGGAAAAACAAAAGAATCAACAAATCATGGTTTTGGGATTACACGAGAGCAAAAATTAATGCATTCGGAGGGTCATCATGTTTCACCACAATTCAAGTTACCAGCACATCCTGTACCACATTCCCTTCACTGGCATCATGGCATAGAATGAGCAGCTTTCATTTAAGATGCAATCATTACTTTTTGAATACTTGTCCTGACATCTCTCACCCCTTACTTATCCTGCTTAATTTTTCACCTGTACTCATCATCATCTGGCACTTCATTATTTTCCTCTTTCTTATCTCCCCCGCCCCCCATTTAGAATCTAAGCTCCATGTAGACAGGGATTTTTGTTTTGCTCCATGCTGCATCTCTACTATCTAGAACAGCATGTGGCACACAGAGATATTCAATGAATACCTTCTAAATGAATTTACCCAGCACATGATATGGACCAGTACTGTGCTACATGAATATACTGAGCTATACGAAATATAATCGTAAGTAAAACAGATATGCTTCATTTAAAAAGCATGAAAGTGCCCGTCTCATCACCTCTCACACTCACCTCAATGAAAGACAGGATCCCTGAGAATGAGACGTCCATCCCCTTTACAGTGTATGGCAGCTCAACTAGCTTCTTGCCTCTATGTGGGAATAAGCGTACGAGGCACTAAGCCTACAGTCAGCTGGCTTCTCACCCTCCAAAGCCCGTCCCAAATTTTGTTAATATATACCGTATATGGGGAAATCCCTGAAGCCCCAGCAGCCAGCCTGCTTCCACCTTATGTCCCCTTACCGCTTTGCCATCTGTTCAATGTTGTATCCTGGACTTGGGTCGTTAGAAATCTAGCAGAAGAAAAAAATAAGGAAGGAGGGAATGGAAGAGGATGAAATCAGATATGCAGGAAGCATAAGAAGCTCATTTACTATTTCCTCCCTCCACCTCCATGGCTTCCCAAAAATTCACCCACATTTTATGTTCTCTGCAGCCCCACTGGCTTACCTTCAGCACTCGAGCAAAACGATCCAGACAATTACCCACTGCAATATCGATGGTTTCCCCAAAGATACGGTAACGATGTTCCGAGTATGCAATCACCTAAGGGTGATGAGGAAGTCCATGAAACCCCAAGTCTGTAAAGAGGATTATTTGGCTTTGGGAGAAAAACATAGCAGAGGATCAACATGACCACCAGGGCTTCCAATAAGAAGTGGAAGAAAGGTGTTTCCCAAATGGTGAATGGGTAGTTTTTACAGCTCTGATTTGAGAAGAAATCTGTATACCCTGAGGATTCCAGGAACAGATTCCTAGACAGTGTAGGTTCAGGCAGAAATAAATTGTCATTTCAAATACATTGGTTTTCCGGCTTAGAAGTTCCTAATATATCCCTTAAATGCAGTCTTGATAGTAGGTAACCGGCTTTTCTGCTTGGAGGCAGAGAACATGAATCCTTCTAAATTATGACACAGTGGCAGTGGTAATTTTTTTTTGAGACAGGGTCTCGCTCTGTCTCCCAGGCTGGAGTGGAGTGGTGTGATCATAGCTCACTGTAGCCTCCACCTCCTAGGCTCAAAGGATCCTCCCACCTCAGCTTCCTGAGTAGCTGGGCTACCATGTGTGGCTTATTTTTATATTTTTGTAGAGATGGGGGTCTCACTATGTTGCCCAGCCTGGTCTCAAACTCCTGGTCTCAAGCAATCTACCTGCCTCAGCCTCTCAAAGTGCTGGGATTATAGGTGTGAACCACCGTATGCAGCTGGGCAGTGGTATTTAGAACCAAGAAGCAGAGCTGAAGAACTCAAAAATCTCATATGGAGTCAGACTAATGGCCCAGCCAAGTCAGCAATGGCAATTCACTTAAGGCCATTTTTCTTTTCTTTTTTTTTTTTTTCTGAGACAGAGTCTTGTTCTGTCGCCTAGGCTGGAGTGCAATGGCGTGATCTCAGCTCACTGCAACCTCTGCCTCCCAGGTTCAAGCAATTCTCCTGCCTCAGCCTCCCAAGCAGCTGGAATTACAGGCACCCACCACCACTTTTTTGTATTAAGGCCGTTCTTCATATGTGACCAACTTTTAGCACAGAGAATATCTGTCCCTTACTGACACATATTCTGCAGACTTATAACACCGAGGGCTTCCTACGAACCTTAAGAAGTCCCTTTCCCTTCCCAGTGCTGTTAGGGATTTCTTCCCTTTCTGATACAGATCTTAATCTGCTGTCAAAAAGACAGTAACAAAGGCGAAGGAAAAATCCTGCCTTTCTGCTTCTGCTATCCACTCCTCTCCACCTAATCACCCTCCCTGTTTCTTACACCTAAGCAAACATTAAAAGAGAAGAGGAAGACAAAACCGTCACTGCTCCTTTCATCAACTCTTGTAGCCTCCATTATACTTTCCACAACCCAAGTCTCTGACCTTGTATGTCATCCTTCAGGCCTCAACCAACTACTTGCCCTCTACCTGCTGAAGTTTCTGCATCATTTTCATGGGAAACATGTGCCTCATCTTCTCGACACAACCCTTTCATGAGCTGGGGACAATGCTGAACTATTTCTAATGATAATCAAGTGTTCTGTTGGAAAAGAATCCAATCCCAACCTTAAAAAGGTCATATAAGGTAACCCAAACAACTTTAGCTTCACCTATAAATTTAAAATACCTTCTGGCCGGGCATGGTGGCTCACGCCTGTAATCCCAGCACTTAGGGAGGCCGAGGCAGGTGGATCACCTGAGGTCAGGAGTTCAAGACCAGCCTGACCAACAGGGTGAAATCCCGTCTCTACTAAAAACACAAAAAATTAGCCAGGTATGGTGGCGGGTGCCTGTAATCCCAGCTACTCGGGAGTAGAGAAGAATAGTTTGGACCCGGGAGGCAGAGGTTGCAATGAGCCAAGGTTGCATCATTGCACTCCAACCTGGACAATAAGAGCGAAACTCCATCTCAAATAAATAAATAAATAAATAAGATAAAATAAAATACCTTCTATAATTTACAAAGTATTTTTTAAAGTTATTTATATTTCTAAACTCTTAGAATAACAAAGTCTACATAATCATTCCCAGTAATATAAAAACAAAACATGTACTTGCCCCAAAATAATAAATCAGGTAGTGTCCTTTAGTTGTTTTTTTTTGTTTTTTGTTTGTTTGTTTGTTTGAGACGGAGTTTTGCTCTTGTTGCCCAGGCTGGAATGCAATGGTGCGATCTCGGTTCACCGCAACTTCCGCCTCCTGGGTTCAAGTGATTCTCCTGCCCAGCCTCCGGAGTTGCTAGGATTACAGGCACCTGCCACCACATCAAATTAATTTTTGTTATTTTTAGTACAGATGGGGTTTTGCCACGTTGGCCAGGCTGGGCTCAAACTCCTGACCTCAGATGATCCACCCGCCTCGACCTCCCAAAGTGCTGGAATTACAGGCATGAGTTGCCATACCCAGCAACTGTTAGTTTCAATTGCTAAGATTTATAGAAAAAATAAGCTTCAAAATAATGCAAGAGCTTTCAGATATTCATTATTTTGAAGATTTCAATCCTTTTCAATCCCATTCATTCCTTTCCTGAAGTAGAAATTCCTAATCTTTATAATCAGATATAAAGTCTGATAATGATAAGCCATCTAATGTTCTGATCATGCTGCCAAAATTTGCAATGTTACAAACTCTGTTGGGGGTTTTCTGGTCTACAGTATTTTAGGTTCAGATAAGTCCATCTTTGTTCCTGACATTCCCATGACTCAGATAGAACAAAGAAAATACTGGTTCAGTGCCTCAGAAATTGAGATGGAGTGGGTAGAGCCCTCTAAATACCTGCGTATTTCCTCCACTCACATACAACACGGTTGGGCTGGTGGCTCCAGTGATGAGGCGGCCCATCTCAATGTGGCCTATACAGTGGTTCACACCCACCAATGGCTTATTCCACAGTTGGGCCACAGTACGGGCCACAACAGCCACAGAAACCAGTGGGGCACCCATGCCAGGGCCTAGGGAGATAGAAATGGAAGTTATAATCCTAGAGATTGGAAAAAAACAATAGTGGGGGACATAAGGGATGTGAGGTGGGGTAGGGGTAGTGATGGTGGCAGAGGTAAGGTGTTGGCTATTTTGACCTAGCCAGGTTGCAGGTATATTCCTCCATCGTTGACCACTCTCCCAGCCATACCCTTGGTGTATGCAATGCAGTCGATATCCTGGGAGGTTAATCCAGACTCTGTTAGTGCCTCCTGCAGCAGGTCTAGGATAACAGCTCGGTGATGCCTGGCTGTATCACCTGGAAGGAATCCTAGAAAATGAACATAGGTCAGAGATCACAGGGATTTTCTGTAGCAAAGGTAGGTAGGAAGTTAAAGAAAGCAACAGGAGTTTTAGTGATGTAGTAAGAGTCCTTTCACTTTCCCCAAGCATCCTATCTTCCACATTTTCACATCTACTCTTTCCGGCTTCTATATAGGCTATTCAACTTTCAGAAATGCTCTTCTTCTTACCCTACTCAGCCTTCAGGTCTCAATGCAAGTAGTATCTACCTCATACCCTTTCGTGATCTTTTTTTTTTTTTTTTCTTTTGAGACAGTCTCAGCTCTGTCACCCAGGCTGGAGTGCAGTGGCACGATCTCGGCTCACTGCAACCTCCACCTCCTGAGTTCAAGAGATTCTTCTGCCTCAGCCTCCTGAGTAGCTGGGACTACAGGCGACACCACCACGCTCAGCTAACTTTTGTATTTTTAGTAGAGACGGGGTTTCACCATATTGGCCAGGCTGGTCTCGAACTCCTGACCTCGTGATCCGTCTGCCTCGGCCTCCCAAAGTGCTGGGATTACAGGCCTGAGCCACCGTGCCTGGCCTTTGGTGATCTTCTTTCTCTGTGACCCTACAGAACTCTATGCATGATGATGTCATTTATTTAACATAACAATTACAGCATTATAATTTTCTGTGGTTTGCTCAGCTTAATCATGAATATCTCAAAGCATTGAGTATTTTATTTATCTTTGTATTCCCAGTGCCCAAGTGCCCAGAGGAGTGAATGCTAAACATACATATATATTTCTAGTGAGTATCTGTCACAACATCACCTGTTCAGGGAGGCTTTTCAGATACATGCAAGTCAGCTGCCCTCTCCTATGTATGCAAGTGTTTGAGGGGAGAGTAGCAAGATATAATAGCTTATTTAAAATATCAATTAAAAGTTGTAATGTGTTTTGTACTTTTTTTTTTTTTGAGACAGAGTTTCACTCTTGATGCCCAGGCTGGAGTGCAATGGCACCATCTCGGCTCACTGCAACCTCTGTCTCCCGGGTTCACGCAATTCTCCTGCCTCAGCCTCCCAAGTAGCTGGGTTTACAGGCATGCGCCACCACGCCCAGTTAATTTTTTGTATTTTTTAGTGGAAACATGGTTTCTCCATGTTGGTCAGGCTGGTCTCGAACCCCGACCTCAGGTGATCTGCCTGCCTTGGCCTCCCAAAGTGCTGGGATTACAGGCGTGAGCCACCACGCCCAGCCGTGTTTGGTACTTTCATCTAATCTTCAAGACCTAATGATACAGGTATTATTCCCATTTTAAAAACAAAGACCAGGCCCGAGCGGTGGCTCATGCCTGTAATTTCCACACTTTGGGAGGCTGGGGTGGGCGGATCATCTGAGGTCAGGAGTTCGAGACCAGCTTGGCCTGGTGGAAACCCCGACTCTACTAAAAATACAAAATTTAGCTGGATGTGGTGGCGCACACCTATAGTCCTAGCTACTTGGGAGGCTGGGGTAGAAGAATCGCTTGAACCTGGAAGGCAGAGATTGCAGTGAGCCGAGATCGTGCCACTGCATTCCAGCCTGGGCGACAGAGCAAGACTCTGTCTCAAAAAAATAAAATAAAATAAAAAATAAAGACCAAATGTCCAAAACAAAAATATTTAATATGAATATAGCAAAGCCAGCCAGTTCTGTCTGACATGTAAGCCGGGAGTCTTTCCACTCTCATCTCTCTACTCATCCTAGAATATTTCAAAAAATAATTTTTTTTTAAAAAGGGAGTGTATATTCAGGGCAACTGGAATCTATACTCCTGCTAAGCGTTTTTTAAACAGAATATTTCGAGTCCATCTCTATTATACTGTTTATCATGCTGTAGTATAAACATCTATTTATATGTCTGACTCCACAGCAGTATAACATCTATTTCTGAATACTTAGCACATAAAATGCGCTCAGTAAAAGGTAAATGAACTCATCAGATCCACGTCCAAGTGCCTGTAACTCTTCTAGTCATCAGCCTTGTGACGTTAATAATGTCACATAATTTCAATGAGACTCGGATCGAAAGCTGCACCTCACTAGTATTTAGGAAGATGGAAGGCTGATTCTGTGCGGGGAAGTGCGCGGAAAACTCTTAAGTCCCCTACTCACCAACCTGTGCCAGGAGGCGTGACGTAAGTCCGCCGCGGGTTCGCCAGCACCTTGCCATCCCGCACCACGCCCACGCCAATCTTATTGGCGCTGCCTTCAAAACCCAGCACCGCCGGCATGGCGGAGGCTGGGAGAAAACGCCGACAGGACTCCTGGCAATGTCAGGAGCTGTGGAGGTCCTCACTAGTCCGCGCTGGGCCGCAGCTTTCCGGAGCGCAGAGGAAGCTGGCCAGCCTGCAGATAGCACTGGGAAAGACACCGCGGAACTCCCGCGAGCGGAGACCCGCCAAGGCCCCTCCAGGGACCTGTCTTCCTAACTGCCAGGGACGCCGAGCCAACTCTGTGCCTTACATTCGTATCCGTTTTCCTATCTCTTTCCCGTGGTCCAGCCCAGCCTTCTCCACTGTTTTTTTCCCTCTTGCACATAGTTAGAATCTTAAGTCAGTGTCACACAATGTGCTGTGCATCTGGCACAACGATAAACAGCCCGAGGGAGGGTTGGGGACCTAAGTGTCCTAGAGAATTAGAGGAGGGAGGCGAGGCTAAGCGTCTCCGTCACGTGGTGTCAGACAGACCAATCACGCGCATTCTTCGGCCACGACAAGCGCGCCTCTGATCACGTGACCAGGTCCGCTACCCACGTGGGGGCTCAGCGTGCACCCTTCTTTGTGCTCGGGTTAGGAGGAGCTAGGCTGCCATCGGGCCGGTGCAGATACGGGGTTGCTCTTTTGCTCATAAGAGGGGCTTCGCTGGCAGTCTGAACGGCAAGCTTGAGTCAGGACCCTTAATTAAGATCCTCAATTGGCTGGAGGGCAGATCTCGCGAGTAGGGTACAAGGCACTATGAAATGATCTAGTTTCGTGGGTGAGGGGCTGAAGGGCCTATGATGCACGGAGGCGGGGAAAGGATTTAGAGATAACGTGGTTTGAAAGGCGGGACCTGGTGCGGGGACGCTCTTGGGAGGAGTCTTCTCCCCAGCCTTAGCTGGTTTCATGATTTCTTTGCGTCTGTAGGCAACGCGGTAAAAATATTGCTTCGGTGGGTGACGCGGTACAGCTGCCCAAGGGCGTTCGTAACGGGAATGCCGAAGCGTGGGAAAAAGGGAGCGGTGGCGGAAGACGGGGATGAGCTCAGGACAGGTAAGGGAATGAAATCAGCCCTTCTTCCTAGAAGCTGCGGCGGGGGTGTTTGTCATTCCCTTGATGTACGGTAAGTACGGGCCGACTCATTTTTGCAGGGGTTTGTGAAGAAGTCGCAGGAACCGTAGGCTTTCGTTGGGTCTATAGTTAACGCCGGATCGCAGTTGGAAACCACCAGCTTTTTGTCAGTATATATTACTCATTTTATAGAGCCAGAGGCCAAGAAGAGTAAGACGGCCGCAAAGAAAAATGACAAAGAGGCAGCAGGAGAGGGCCCAGCCCTGTATGAGGACCCCCCAGATCAGAAAACCTCACCCAGTGGCAAACCTGCCACACTCAAGATCTGCTCTTGGAATGTGGATGGGCTTCGAGCCTGGATTAAGAAGAAAGGATTAGATGTGAGTGGAATTTGAGGGAAAGAGACATTTTTTAGTATTGAATGGTCTTAGGGTTTAGTCACCCCTTTTCTCCGTTTAGCCTTCAGGCTGTTTTATTTTTCTCCTGCCCGTAGTTTTCTGTGGGGCTTCCCCAGTCTTGCCAGTTGTATTTCCTAAATGTCTGTTCCTTCACTTCCATTGCCATTTTCTTTTTTAGTGTTCTCTCCTCTTCCCAGAATGTTGCAAAAACCTCTTCACTATACTTCCTCCATTTTATCTTCCTGCATTGCATTCCATATGAAGCATGTCCTCCATTCCATTAACCATAGCTTAAAAATCTTAGCTTGCTATCCACTGCCTATAGAAAAAACACATCTCCTTGGCATAGCATGTAAGACTTTCTTACCTCTCTATATTTGTTTTCATTTATCTAGCTTAGAATTGTTTGAATATTGTGCTGCTTGACTCGAACTCCTTAGGCCAAGAGACTGTTTAACCCGTGCGTATCTATGACTTAGCATATAGATTATTCAATAAATGTTCTGCTGAATTGATAATACGTTTTCCACCTTTCTTTTCACTTACAGTGGGTAAAGGAAGAAGCCCCAGATATACTGTGCCTTCAAGAGACCAAATGTTCAGAGAACAAACTACCAGCTGAACTTCAGGAGCTGCCTGGACTCTCTCATCAATACTGGTCAGCTCCTTCGGACAAGGAAGGGTACAGTGGCGTGGGCCTGCTTTCCCGCCAGTGCCCACTCAAAGTTTCTTACGGCATAGGTGAGACCCTATTGATGCCTAATGCCTGAACTCTTCAAAACCAATTGCTAATTCTCTATCTCTGCCCCACCTCTTGATTGCTTTCCCTTTTCTTATAGTTTTTTATGCTAATTCTGTTTCATTTCTATAGGCGATGAGGAGCATGATCAGGAAGGCCGGGTGATTGTGGCTGAATTTGACTCGTTTGTGCTGGTAACAGCATATGTACCTAATGCAGGCCGAGGTCTGGTACGACTGGAGTACCGGCAGCGCTGGGATGAAGCCTTTCGCAAGTTCCTGAAGGGCCTGGCTTCCCGAAAGCCCCTTGTGCTGTGTGGAGACCTCAATGTGGCACATGAAGAAATTGACCTTCGCAACCCCAAGGGGAACAAAAAGAATGCTGGCTTCACGCCACAAGAGCGCCAAGGCTTCGGGGAATTACTGCAGGCTGTGCCACTGGCTGACAGCTTTAGGCACCTCTACCCCAACACACCCTATGCCTACACCTTTTGGACTTATATGATGAATGCTCGATCCAAGAATGTTGGTTGGCGCCTTGATTACTTTTTGTTGTCCCACTCTCTGTTACCTGCATTGTGTGACAGCAAGATCCGTTCCAAGGCCCTCGGCAGTGATCACTGTCCTATCACCCTATACCTAGCACTGTGACACCACCCCTAAATCACTTTGAGCCTGGGAAATAAGCCCCCTCAACTACCATTCCTTCTTTAAACACTCTTCAGAGAAATCTGCATTCTATTTCTCATGTATAAAACTAGGAATCCTCCAACCAGGCTCCTGTGATAGAGTTCTTTTAAGCCCAAGATTTTTTATTTGAGGGTTTTTTGTTTTTTAAAAAAAAATTGAACAAAGACTACTAATGACTTTGTTTGAATTATCCACATGAAAATAAAGAGCCATAGTTTCAGCCTTGCTGTCTTCGTGTCTTACCCCTTCGTGGGGCTACACATTCTCTTCCTCATATTTTCATGCACACAAGTTAACAACTGAAAAAGCGTAGAGTCATGACCTTATTTATTTACAAGCACAGGATAAGTCCCTAACCTCCCCCAAAGACTGAGCAACCCTACCCAGCCCAGTTAAATACTGCAACTGGGGGGGTAAAAAAGGTCGGGAGGAGGAATTAAGGGAAATACAGGAATAGGGGAACATATCCCACATTAAATAGTTATATACACATCAGTTCCTGTGGTTCTGTACAGAGCAGCGGCTGACCCCACCCCCACAGGACACAATGTGGGGAGAGGAGACTGAGGGTACTGAGGCCAGAGCCAACCTCTGGTGAAGTGCAATAGCAGCAGCAAAGTCCTAATGGTGCACAAGAGGGAGGGGAACCCCCAGGGCTACCCACCCCCACCCTGCCCTGGAATGTGTAAGGGACAGGAATGGCTCTCAGGGAGCACACAGGAAGGACAAGGCTGGAACCGTCTTCAGGGCCCAGTTTTAAGGGCAACGTTTTGCCTACTTCACCCTAGACACAGCAACCCTTGGAGGAAAGCAGATGGTCAGCAGTGCTCTTATCTGCCCCTCCAAACCTAAGTGAGGGCCTGGTTCCTTCCTACCTCTCCCCAGGGAAAAGGAAGGCAGCTGCTTGGCTTCCTTCTAGAAGCCCCGGGAGCCTTTAACTACCCCAGCTCCCTTCGTAGTGTCACTGTCCCCACCAGGGAGGGGCCAGGCACAGTCTGTGGGTCATCAGGCTCAGGAGAAGTTCTGGACAGGGTGGCTGACCTTCATACAGGCCCAATAAAGAGCCCGGCCCAAACACAGCACAGCCAACAGGATGACAAATGCCCAGGCTGCATAGATGCCTCCATATCGCCGTGCATGCTTCCATGTGCCAAACTGATGAAGATAAGGAGGGAGAAGAAAAGAAAGATGGGGTTAATGTTGGTCTCCACTACCTCCTATTAGTTCTAAGAACAGTAATAACTCACGCTTCAGTCCTTGTTCCTTATCCACATGTAGCCACCCTCAGGGACCTTCTTAAAGGCAGAGCTGATCAGCTTCCTTCCCTTAGGCGTAACATACTCATCCCATCCCACACTGTATCTCAGTTTTTCTTAATATCTGACAACTGAGCCAGGTTTGAAAAATAGCAACTCTTAAATTAAGAATTTCACTGTCCTATCCTCATCCTACAGAGAAAGGAAGGCTGTTTTTCACTCTTGTAGTAGTAATAAAGTCTGTTTGATCAGCCACTTTGCACTTTAGCTCATCCATATCTTAAAACAAAACAAACTAGTCCCCCAAGTTTCTTCCACTTTTTTTTAGGGTAGCAGTTTCCCAAATCTTAGCCTATGGAGATGAGGCTGCAGAATGAAAGAGGTTGGGGCAAGGGTACTCACGGCAAGGCCAGTGGCAGTGACTGCCAAAAGCAAGCCAAGCAAGAAGCAGCAGATACATCTCTTACGTGGGTATCTGCGCCCAATAGATGACCTGTGGGGAGGCAAATAGAAATGGATGCTTTCTATGGCCTTGTAGTTTTTACTCCATACATCAATTACCAGCTCAATCCCTAATCACTTACACTTTCCTGCAGTGAGGACAACGTGCCAAAGTGCGGTCTGTGAACTCTGTCCACTATGGAGAAAGAAAACAAAAATAATAGCACAAGCAGGGTCTCCCTCAATGAGAACCTTGGGGTGGGGATGCAGAACATGTTCCCATAGGACAGACCTTTCAGGGGTCATTACCATTACTCTAAGAAATATACTCGAAATGACTCTTAGTCTCCTTTCCCCTCCCCTTCCCAATACCCCTTCCTCACCAGAAAAGTATTCTTGCAATGTCCACAGATAACCCTGACACCCATGGGTTGGGGTTCTGGACTCAGAGGTCCGGGATGCACAGGCCCCAGGTTGATGATTCTTTTGCTATACAAAAGAAAAAGACTTGTATTTTCAAACTTGTGTTTGAAAAATTTTTAATCCTAAAAATCTTCACAGTCCCTGTTCCACATCCCCCACTCCCTGTCTATTAAGTCACTCGACTTCTCTGTACTTAAGATACTCTGTCCCCCAACTGTATACCCTCAAGAATCCTTGAGAAAGAAAGAGCACTGTTTAAACTTCAGGTCCCCAATTCCCCTCCGACCTCAGGATAACACACCCAGTCCCCAAGGCTCTCTATTCTCCGAAACGACATCATTTCATCTCAATATTTTTATTGAGAAACGAGAAAGACAGCTATAACATTCCTGAGGCACATGCTTCAAAGCCTTTTCTCCTAAATAAACACTAGGCTCTCTCACCTTTACATTCTCTGTATACGCTCATCCTTTTTTGACTTTCCAGTTCCCCACTTAGGCCCTTCCCCACCTTATGCCTCTTACCAGTAGGGCCGAGGGCATGCAATCCGTTGGGATGTCACTTTGCAGATAAGGAGACAGTTACAGGGGCATCGAACATATTTTTTCCCTGGGGGTGCATTCTTGATTGGCTAGAGAATAATAGGGTCATCAGCAAGCAAACCTCTAATCCCAATCCCCTCCACTTCCCTCCAAAAACACTTTATGAGATCAGAAAAATAAGGTGCTAACCAGGAAGGAGAAATAAAAGAAAGACTATATCATGAGATTTGCAAATAGGAACTAGGCTAGGTGTAAAAGTGAGAGAAAGTGAACATTAGCTTTGGTGAGTGGCTTCTGGGGAAATGGCTGTGTGAGACACCTGGAACTGAAACCTGGGTATCATCAAAAGCACTTGGCTAATAGCCGGAAGGTCAGGGTCTAGAACCAAGACATCAGAAAGAGGATCCAGGAAACAGGGCCCATTTCATAGATATGTGTAACTCACGGTGGCTTCATTGCAGACACCACATTTGACTACATGCTGATGCATCTTGCCTTCCACGTTGATGAGAGATTGGCAGACTCGGCAGGTGATCATAGGGGCACTCCCACTGTCCGGGCTAGTTAAGGGTGAATAGGGGGGTGGGTCCTCCCCAGGCAACACGGCTGGATGCCCCTCGGGAAACGGGGGAAATGCTGGAGAGGAAGCAAATAGAAGGGCTGGGATCACTTACACCCCCACTGATGCTCCACGGTGGTAGGGAAGTCCTTCTGATCTTCAACCCTCTGACCAAGCTCGGAGGGCTTCTCATAATTGGCACTTCTATCAGGTTGCTCAGAACCCCCTTCCGTCCCTAGGCTGTGGTCGCGATTACGGAGGGAAGGAAGCCTCGCCCAGTCACAGGTGCAGCAGTCCCGCACCTGGCGACTGGGACCCGCCTCCGCCCTCGGTCCCGCCCCCTCCCCGGCTTTCAGAGTACCCCGGGGAGCACCTCGGACCCGCCCCGGCTTACCCTGGGGCGGGGCATGTTTACCGGCTCCGTACGGTGGTGCGGAGGGGGTCAGGCCTCCCCCGGGCCCAGCCCCACTCCCGCCGGGCCCCACTAAACCGTTGCCGCCCGCGCCACCGTCGATGGGCTCAGACAGCAGCGGGGAACGCTCTCCATCTGCCGCCATGGCCGCCACCGCCGCCTCCCGCTCAGGTCGGCGATCCGGCTCCCTTCGCCTCTGCCGTCGCCGCAGCCACCGCCACCGCCGCCACCGCCACCGCCGCTACCGGGTCCCCAGGGCGCCTGCGCGCCGCGCGCCCAGCTCACTCCGCAACCAGTGGCCTGCCCCGCCCCGTTCCGTCTAGCAGCACGTGATAGGCTATCCCCGCCCGGGTCATGCTATTATTCGCGTAGATAAACCAATTCCTGGTCCTGTGAAGGCAGCTCTCCTTTTCCATTGGGGAGCGACGCACAAACGTCAACTGTCACATGACCTGCCAGATGCTGCTGGGCTTGCAAAACCTGCACGTGACTAGAGGTTCTGCAAGCTATTGGGAGCGACGCCCATCGCGCTACCTCCAGACCAGGAGGTAGGGCTAGGCTGCGTCTGCTCAACTGGTCACGTGTTTCTGGAAGCTGCACGGTCCCTGTTGCTCTGCTCCTCATTGGTTCAAAGACACCACTAAAACACTTTTCTCCGGCTTTGCGTTGTAGCTGGTTTCCTATTGGCTGGTGACTTTACTTCTTTCGTCCTGTGATCCTAGCGGCGCAACTGCATTGGCCCGAACTTAGCGCCAGAACATGGGGGGCGTGGCTTATGCATTTTAAAGGAGGCTGGGCGGGTGCAATAAAGGAGTGCGGAAGCTTGGGATCTTCTGAGCGGGGAGAAAATGGACGGTGGGGAACAGTAGACAAAGTTAGCTGTTCTACTCAAAGAAGTACCTTTAAAAAGTCAGAGTAATGAGGTACCAGAAGGAAATGGATTAAAAAGTTAAGATTATCACTCCAGCCTTTGTCGCTAGAGTCACTTTCAGGACAGGACACAAGACTGGGTTTTCCTGGAAGCTGTCCTTACAGAGCCCCGTCTTTCCCCATTGCTGATCAAATTGTTAAATTATCTTTTCATTAGTGTCTCCACTACTAGAAGATTTCATCGTTTTACTAAAAAAAAAAAAAAAAAAATTCAATAGAGATGGGGTCTTGCCTATGCTGGACTCAAACTCCTGAGTTTGATCTCCTGCCTAAGCCTTCCCAGTAGCTGGGACTACAGGGACAAGCCACCGTGCCTTTACTCAGTTTTATGACCACCAACCTTTAACATACGCACAAGTTTGTAGATTGGATTAATCAAATACAAGGTTATTTTCGTCACCTTATTTGACAGATGGGACAGTCTTTAGGCCTGTCTCAACTTTGCTTCCAGCAAAGGGGCAGTGCCTCCTCCCCTACCTGAAGTCTCGTGTGGTCTTTATGGGCGCCTGAACCACACCTGGATTTTTTCCCAAGTCATAGCCCAAACTGGGACTGCTTTAAATATGGGAAGCAACAAGGAATTGATAAAAACAATAAACCCCGAGGAGGTCCATTATCAGTTTGGCTAGCAGACTCTCCACTAAGAAAGGAAGTGCATCAAAGAAAGTACAGCCAGCCCCAAATATGTAATAACAAAGGAACTGCAGATGTCCCAGCACTTGGCTGCTACAGGGGCTGGAGACTTCACCTAGGTCCTGATTTTTTTAGACAGGGTTTTCTCAGGCCAACTTCTACTTGGAAGCTAGTAACCTTCGACCAGTTAGATAAGAGCCCCTAACAGACACTTAAAGAACTAAGGAAGCTCCAGATACAAAATAGGGAAGAGGTTGTAGCTCCATAGAGGGAGGCCAGTCTGCTGCTTTTTCTGCTGTTTGTGGCACACAGATGCTCAAGCATTGTCTGGGGTTGGAGTAGGATCCATTATTTGCGCCCTAGTTACACATATATTCCAAAAACTGTCCTAAAAATATTTTTTAAATATCTACACTTTGTGAAAGACACTCCTTAAAAAAGCTTACACTCTGGGTAGGGAGACAGAATAGTGTAAACATTGACAGTATAACATATCAGGTCAGGAGTGGTGGCTCATGCCTGTAATCCCGGTGTTTTGGGAGGCTGAGGTGGAGGATTGCTTGAGCCCAGGAGTTCAAGGTTACAATGAGCCATGATCTAAACCTGGGCAACAGAGCAAGATCGTGTCTCAAAAAAAAAAAAAAAAAAAAGAAAATCAGCACTAGTATTTTATTACATGGAAAAATATCAATACTAGAAATTCATGATACAGCACATGCTTCATAATAAAAGAATTAAACAATGTAATTCAAGTTCAAGAAAAGAAGAGATCACTTCTAGCTAGAGCAGCCAGAGAAAACTTCTAAAACATAAAGAAAAATGAGTATTGTGCATGGATAACTAGGATCTGAGCTCTGTGTTGTTGAGTAGATCAATAGGCAGAAAAATGCAAAAAGTAATCATAATATTTGGAACTTGCTCACAGTTAATAAAGCATTTTTTTTTTTGAGACAGAGTCTCACTCTGTCGCCAGGCTGGAGTGCAGTGGTGTGATCTCTGCCCACCTCCCGGGATCAAGCGATTCTCCTGCCTCAGCCTCCCGAGTAGTTGGGATTACAAGTGTGTGCCACCACACCCAGCTAATTTTTGTATTTTTAGTAGAGATGGGGTTTCACCATGTTGGCCAGGATGGTCTCAATCACTTGAACTCGTGATTCACCCGCCTCGGCCTCCCAAAGTGCTGGGATTACAGGCGTGAGCCACTGTGCCCGGCCAATAAAGCACATTCATAGTTATATTCATTTTATTTCAGAACCCACTGTGATGTGGACAGGGAAGGCAAGACTATATCTTTATTTTACAGATGTGGAAACTGAGGCTGTGTAAACTGGAGTCATTTAAGCTAAGTGACAGATTGAAATGGAGCTCTAAATCCCCGTCTTCTGACTTATGATCTAATATTTTACATTCAAATAATTTGATAGGTAGATTGAAAGGGACAGAAGCACAGAAGTGGCAGAGAGAAGGTGCTTGGGATGAGCCCCCTTTTATGCTAAATGCCTGGAACATAGAAGCTGCTTGATAGATGGCTCTCTAATTAATTAATGAAGTAACTTAAGCCCCATCTTGGGATAAATTTGCTGGGTACTGAACAATATTGTTAGCTGCAGTTGCAAGCAGGGAGGATATTCAGCTGGGGCACTACAGGGTGGCTGGCATTGGTTGTTTATGGCGCCATTGGTTCTGATTGGTTGGTACCTGTATTTTACAGATAAGCCATTTTAATATTATCTCTGGTAAATATTGAGTGTCTCAGGTATTGCCTGATTTTTACCTATGGGGTGGGATCTTCTCACTTAGATTGAGAACAGTTAGGCTATTGAGGTGTATTAATTTGCTAGGACATAAAAAACACTATAGATAGCATAAACGACAAACATTTATTTTCTCACAGCTCTGGAGTCTGGAAGCCCAAGATCAAGATATTGGCAGGTTTGCTTTCTCCTGAGGCTTCTCTCCTTAGCTTACAGATGGCCACCTTCTCACTGTGGCATAAATGGCCTTTTCTCTACACACATTTTTGCTTTCTCTTCCTCTTTCTCTTCTTTTTCCGTGCTTTTAGAGACAGGGTCTCACTCTGTCACCCAGGCAGGAGTGCAGTGGTGCAGTCATAGTCTGTGGCGGCCTTGAACTCCTGGGCACAAGCAGTCCTGCCACCTCAGTCTCCCAAGTAGCTGGGATGACAGGTGCATGCCACCATGCCTAGCTAATATTTTAATTTTTTGTAGAGACAGGGTCTCACTATGTTGCCCAGGCTGGTCATTGGTCTCTAACTCCTGGGCTCAAGTGATCCTCTTGCTTTGGTGTCCAAATGCTGGGATTACAGGTGAGCACCACCCTGCCTGGCCTCTCTTCTTCTTATGAGAACAACAGTCTTATTGGATTGTGGCCCCACCATTATGACCTCATTTAAACTTAATTACCTTTTTAAAGGACTTATCTCCAAATATAGTCACAATGAGGATTAGAGCGTCAATATAAGAATTTGGGGGAACACACTTCATTGTGTTATATAATAGAATAGATTTCAAAGCATTTTTTTCTTTAGATTTCCAACAAAGTGATAACTAGTACAGTGTGTACATGGCCAGAGGATGGGGTGGAAAACATCTGCTTGGCTTCTATGACCCAAAGTGTCCCAATCTGATTTCTTTTTTTTCACATATTCCACATGCCCTATTTCTTTTTTCCTCTTTCCTGAAGTGGTAATTTACCACCTGTGTGAAAACAACACAATCCCTTACTGCATTTCAAAGGCACAGAAAGTTTCTGGTAATGTGCAGAGTGAGTTAACTAAGACGAGGGGTAGTTTGCCGGGGGTTGGGTGGGATTGGGTAGGGTGTGACCTGGTTTTAAAGAATTAATTTACGTTAATTACATTGGGACTTTGCTCCCTTGTGCTCCTTGCTCTTCCTGGGCCTCAGTTCTTTGCTCTTTCCTTTAGGGAATTCCTGGCTTCCCTTTCTAGGAGCCAAGGTCTTTGGAATAGAGGGTGGTAGGCCAGTCCTTTATCTCTGCTCTGTTCTTCCTGCCACTGAGTGAGGCACAGATGGAAGTCTCACTCTTAGAAAAGAGAAATAAAAGTGATCCCTATAACAGAAAGAGAAGGGCTGGATGTGCTGGTTCATGCCCATAATCCCAGTACTTTGGGAGGCTGAGGTGGGAGGATCACTTGAGCCCAGGAGTTTGAGACCAGCCTGGGCAACATGAAGATACCCCATCTCTAAAAAAATAAAAATAAAAAATAGGCGAATGCGGTGGTGCGTGCCTGTAGTCCTAGCTACTTGGGAGGCAGAGGAAAGAGGATCGCTTGAGCCTAGGAGATTGAGGCTGCAGTGAGCTGAGATTGAGCCACTACACTCCAGCCTGGGTGGCAGAGCGAGACCCTATCTAAAAACAAACAAACAAACAACAACAAAAAAAAAACAGGGAAAAACCCTAAAATGTTTTAATTTCAGTAATTGGAGAAAATGGAAGACCAAAGATTATGGTGATAAGGGGAGTAGATATTTTATTTTATTTTTTGAGATAGGGTCTCACTCTGTCACTCAGACTGGAGTGCAGTGGCTCCATCACAGCTCACTGCAGCCTTGACTTCCTGGGCTCAGGTGATTCTCCTGCCTCAGCCTCCCTAGTAGCTGGGACCACAGATGCCACCACACCTGGCTAATTTTTGTATTTTTTGTAGAGATGAGACTTCACCATGTTGCTCAGGCTGGTCTCAAACTCCTGGGCTCAAGTAATCCTCCTGTCTTGGCTTCCCAAAGTGCTGGGATTACAGGTCTGAGGCACTGTGCCTGGCCAGGGATAGATATTTTTAAAACCGCATATTTAGCTTGTGATCTAGAGAGAATAAGAGATCTCAGTTGAGAGGGCAGGAATAAAATACGTTCCACAAGGCAATACTGAGTGACTTAGAACCTATTCCTGCCACTTTTTTTTAGTTTCCTTGATCTTGCGGGTGGAGGGTAAGTGTGTTACTAAGTATGTTCCTGGACAAGGAGTCCCTCTGAAGATAGAAGTGATGAGAAGATAGAAGAAAAGGTAATAAGGCATTAATGAACTCTAATCACACTAAGATTGATGATCGTCTGGTTCCTGTCTATAGGAATGCTACAGGAACTCTTTTACCCTAAAAGTAAATAATAAAGCACAGTTCCAGTTTCTTTTATGTGGATACAAGGTGGCAGTGACTAGAAAAGATAAGAACAGTGCTGTGCTCTAGCATAAAAACGTAATTATGCTATGCAATATGGTAGCCACTAACCACATGTGACTATCGAGAAGTTACAATGTAATTAGTATGATTAGGTAACTGAATTATTTTTATTATATTTCATCTTAATTAATTTTATTACTTTTAAATAGCCACACATGGCTAGTGCCTTCTGTTTTGAACAGTGTGGGATTCATTGGTATTGATAGGCTGGATATACCTCTAGTTTTTATTTTGATTCAATTTATGGTTAGGTGAGTCTAGAAAGAACAAAAGAGAAAGAGACAATGGAGATTAATCATAATAGCCAGCATTTAATGTGTGCTTATTATATATCCAGGCATTTACCTAAACATGTAAAAGGTATTCTGTATAATCCTTGCAAAAATACTAAGATTATTGCTATTTTACAGATGAAAAAATTGAAGCATAATAAGAATTTTACTTGCCTAGAATCACACGAGTAAATAAGGGGTGAAGATGGCATTCATACACAGGTAGTTTTATTAGAGCCCATTCATTTACACTACATAGATTCAGGAATGAGGTGGCATGGAGTGACTGGGGCCATGGTTCCCAAACTGTGCCAAAGTACAAGCTCACAAGGGTATTGTGGAATATTTTTAATTTTCAGAGGAAACACAGCAATATTTTATATTTCTTAAACACTGTGTGACCTATTAACTTGAGGTGATTCACAGTTGGAACATTAGATTGTGCTACATTCCTTTTGATGACAATATATCTGGCCAGGTGTGGTAGCTCATGCCTATACTCTCAGCACTTTGAGAGGCCGAGGTGGGCAGATCAGTTGAAGTCAGGAGTTCAAGGCCAGCTTGGCCAATATGGCAAAACCCCGTCTCTACTAAAAATACAAAAATTAGCCAGGCATGGTGGCAGGCACCTGTAATCCCAGCTACTCGGGAGGCTGAGGCAAAAGAATGGCTCAAACCCAGGCAGCAGAGATTGCAGTGAGGCAAGATCGTGCTACTGTACTCCAGCCTGGGTTACAGAGTGAAACCCTGTCTCAAAAATATATATATATATAAAGACAACATATCTTTACAAAAGATGGTTTTAGAAGGTCCCTCTGATAAAAATTAAGTATTAAGTAAAAAAAAAAAGTACTGTGTAAAAATCAGCATGGAACAGAAAATGAGGGTGGCAGCATTGGATTCCTGCATGTGAGAAGTTGAGTAGTGCCAAACAGATGTACATATCCCGTAAGTAACTGTTTGTGGTTATTTAAGAACGAAATTTTTTTTTCAATTTGTGTGCATTGTTATTTTCAAAGTGCTAGTAAGTTCTCAGGAACCAGCTACTCACTCTGTTGCCCAGGCTGGAGTGCAATGGTGTGATCTCAGGTCACTGCAACCTCCACCTCCCGGGTTCAAGCCATTCTCCCTGCCTCAGCCTCCCAAGTAGCTGGGATTACAGGCGCCTGCCACCACGCCCAGCTAATTTTTTGTATTTTTAGTACAGATGGGGTTTTGCCTTGTTGGCCAGGCTGGTCTCCGACACCTGACCTCAGGTGATCCACCCACCTCGGCCTCCCAAAGTGCTGGGATTACCGGCGTGAGCCACCGCGCCTGGCCTTTATATATAAATTTTTTTTTAATTTTTTAAATTAAAAATTAAATGTAAATTTAATGTAAAAATGTAAATTAAATGTAAAAATTAAATTGTAAATGTGGGCAGAAGTAATAGTTGTATTCTACCAAAGACACGCTATTTATGTTATATTCTGGTACCCGTGTATTCCGATAACAGAATTTTCTTCGTGGGAGGAGTCCTCTAGTTACCTGAATTGCTTGGATCAATATTGCGCAGATCAAGGGATTATCTGTGTCCCTACCCACCAAATCCATCCTTATCCTTTCTGTCGGCATCTAGGACCCCGGAATTCTTGCCTGAGAACTTTTTCTTCTCCCGGTCTGGGCCTGGATGTGCTCTCCTAAACCCTGTATCCTCCAAGTTAGCACTGTTGCCGGGGGCGACCCAGCTTCCCTTGTCCAGGGAGCAACTCAGACACAGTCTCGCTTCATTTTTATTCTGGGGTTGTACAATCTAAGGTATGAAATTTTTCCTTTTTGAATCTCTCACGGTTTGCTATTGACACAGCTGGAATGAGGTTGCAAGGAGAGGGCTGGGGGCTCTCCTCCCTACTTCTAGCCCTATTTCCGCATAGGCCTTCTTGCTGGGAACTCCTGCCCTGCGGACTGGAATGGGTACCGAGATGAAATGCTGGGTGCGCTCCGGCTCCCCCCGCCCGCCCCGGGGCAGAAGGTTTAGGGCTGGGAAGAACTCTGATTAGGTTTACAGCCCAGGTTCAGCCGATTGAATTAGGGTGTGTCACCATGGAGACAGGGCCGGCCCGCGTGCTCGCTTGCCATTGGCTGGGGACTCCAGGGCAAGGGATATAAGCCAGAGCCTAGACCAGTGAGCCAACTGTGCGAACCAGACCCGGCAGCCTTGCTCAGTTCAGCATAGCGGAGCGGATCCGATCGGATCGGAGCGGATCGGAGCACACCGGAGCAGGCTCATCGAGAAGGCGTCTGCGAGACCATGGAGAACGGGTGAGGAGGGCACCAGGCCCGCAGGACCCTTGGGGAGGGGCAGGTGCTGTGACCCGGGAACCTGGCACACTGGGCCCAGAGGGAGCTGGCGGAGGGAGCGAGCGCCCAGGGGATGCAGAGAGGCCTGGCACTGAGCCTAGTGTCGGGAGCAAGGCGGCAGAGTCATGCGGCAGCCAGCGCGGGCAGGGACGCACGCGGGAATCGAGCTGGGGTGGCGCCACCGGAGCAGGAAGGGGACAGGTCGGTGCGGTCTAAGCTACTCCGTAAAAGCAGCCGTTGTGTGTCTCCGTGTGTGTGTTAGGGGAACAAGTGGAGAGTGAGTATATGTATATATCCCTCACTCCATACCAGGAGGAGGTCTCCTCACCCCCTGCGCTCTTCATAAATTCCCATGCTAGGGTCTGGGTAAAGCTGCGAGGTACTTTTGGTGCTCAAATTCGGAGTTCCTCCTTTAGAGGCAAGATTACTCACCTCCTTTGCCAGTTGCACTCCTCCCTTCCTTCCAGACTGGCAGTATGATTAACTCGGTGGGAAGTGACTGCTAAGTGGAGACGGAAATCAGTCACCGAACTGAGCAACAGTCCTGTGCTCACTTCCCCCACCCCACGCCTTTGAAAACTCTTCTCTCGGCTTGGGTCCTGGATATCCCAGTCCAAGTGACCTGCATTAGGCATCACAGTTGCTTTTGGATGCCCAGGGAGCCAGGGTGTTCTTGAGGGGACTGATAGCCAATGAGGAAGTGCTGTGAGATGTGGCTAGACATGCCATGTGGCGGCAGCTTCACACATTCATTTCCTTTGCACCTTTTGGGGATGCCATTTGATTAACATTTTACCAGCTTAATTGCTTCTCTCCATTGTCCTGTGGCTCCGTTGACCAGCCCCCAACCTACCTGATCCAACTGCTTCCCTGAGGGTAGCCTGGTGTATTGTGCAATCATGTCTGGTTTCCCGGGCTCTGCTTTCCAAGTAAAAAATTTCCTGTGAAAGCTTGGTTAGTTGTGTTCAGCTCTGTCACACCTCATTGCCACCTCTGAAAGCAACGTTTGGTCTTCCCAGATGGATGTGAGAGAACTGGACTTGGAACTGGGAGAAAAGTAACACGGGTTGATTCTTGCTAGTGTAGGGGTTCTGGGTAAGTGCCCTGAGGTTTCTGAAGAGCAAAGATCCTCGGTGGAGAGAAAGGAAACTGGGAGGAGGCAGGGAGGGGGAAGGACAGGAAGAAGACCACAGGCAGGTGGAAAGCAGGAGAAAGATTCAAATACTTTGTGTAACAGAGCCATAGGTCTTTGGAAGTTGTTAGCAAGTATTCAATTCATTTTCAGATTGAGCCTATAAGATAGATGGGGCCAATTTACATCCCTTGTTTATACCTGAGAAAATAATTTAAAGCACAAATTACATGCCTAAAAAGACAATATTGGGACTAGAATCTAGGTCGAATTCTGCTTCCCTCCAGACCAGCAATTCCTAAACCTGGTTTTATTTTATTTTATTTTTATTTATTTATTTTGGAGTCGGAGTCTCGCTCTGTCTCCCAGGCTGGAGTTCAGTGGAGCGATCTTGGCTCACTGCAACCTCTGCCTCCCGGGTTCACACCATTCTACTGCCTCAGCCTCCCGTGTAGCTAGGACTACAGGGGCCCGCCACCACGCCCGGCTAATTTTTTTTTTTTTTTTTTTTTTTTTGTATTTTTAGTAGAGACGGGGTTTCAACATGTTAGCCAGGATGGTCTCGATCTCCTGACCTCGTGATCCGCCCACCTCGGCCTCCCAAAGTGCTGGGGTTACAGGCATGAGCCACCGCGCCCAGCCCCTAAACCTGGTTTTAAAATCAAAATTACATGGGCTTCAGAATCTGTTTTTTGTGGGGGTTTTGTGTGTGTGTGTGTGTGTGTTTTTTATAGGGTCTCACTCTGTCACCAGGCTGGAGTGCCAGAATCTGTTTTTCTAACAAGCTTCTGCTGAGAATTTGTGTAGTCAGTCCTGGTTTAACCTTTGACAACCAGTACTGTGGACTGGGTCTGCTTTTTTGTACAGCAGTTTATCTAGTTTTTTGTCTGGAATTAACCCCCTTGTGATCCAGGGAGCTAAGAATGGCACGTAGACCTCTACCAGGGGTGGTCCCATTGTGTTTTATTGGTTAAAACAAAAAAGAAATGTAGCCCTTAAGTCTTTGGCTGAGGAAGGAACTGGAGGAATGAGGGTTCAAAAGGAAATTTGAGTTTATCTCTGCCTTCATAGTAGTTGGTCTTAATTACATTTTGAATGTCTTTGGGGAACAGGTAAGGTAATAAGGGGGATTTTACTAGGTGGGCACCACCCTCAGGAAGGGCTTAATCCCATTTTGAGTACTCTTCTTGGGCTCCCTCCTGGCCAAGCCCTTTTACCCTCCCTAATTTGATTATTTCCTTGCACTTCCCCGTACACTCTGGCCCCTTCCTCTCTAAACCTTTGTCATAAGGATAAGTATGCAGCTTGCCAGTGTTCAGTGGATCCAACACTGGAGTTGGGCCTGTTAGTAGAAACAGGCTTTATTAACTTTTGCCAGGCTCTAGAATGGAGGTAGTTTCATATCAGACTTGTAGTGGGCTTGATTCAGAAAGAAGGGTGGCTGAGTAGATGGAAGAGCATAGTATGGCCTTTCCCTCTGTGCCAGCTTCTCCGTCCCTGCTGCCTCAGTATACCTGCCAGCCTTTTTGCACCGAAGGTCATTTGTCTGTGATGCCCTTGGAATGGGAGCAGAATTCACCTTGATATTTTTTCTCCCCCAGATACACCTATGAAGATTATAAGAACACTGCAGAATGGCTTCTGTCTCACACTAAGCACCGACCTCAAGTTGCAATAATCTGTGGTTCTGGATTAGGAGGTCTGACTGATAAATTAACTCAGGCCCAGATCTTTGACTACGGTGAAATCCCCAACTTTCCCCGAAGTACAGGTACTGGCAAGGGAAAGTGGGGAATGGGACTGAGGGATGTTCTTGGAATTCTGTGGAACACAACCAAGGAGGCCAATGTTTCTACTCCTTGACCTAGCATTTCACTGAAGACAAATGTTGTAAGAGAGGAGAAAAGCCCACCATGAGTCAGAGTGACTTTAGGAGATGCCTCTAGCAGACATCCCATAAGAGACAGGACATGTGTGTGTCAGTGGACTGAGGCTAAGACTCAGAAGAGGGCCAGGTGACAGGGGCCAAGTAAAGGGCAAGGGTTGTTTATTTGGTTTACGTAATTTCTCAAATAACTAACTTCTGTTGGTTTATTTATTAATTTTTAAGATTTCTATCTTCTTTTCCCTGGAGAGTTAAGAATTTTTTTTTAAGACCTGTCAGCAGGAAAAGACCTTTAATAGCTATTTTTTTAAACTCTTTAACACAAGACTGGAAGAGCAGAGGGAGAAGGTGAGGGAAATATTAACAGAGGGTGTGTGAAGGGCATACTTCTCTAAGGGAGATAGTAGTGACGCTGGCTCCACTGGCCACTCCTACCCCCAGTGAGAAGGGCACTGCATTAAATGATAAGTGGGTTAGTTTTTTTAAGCTTATCAACATGTTTATTTTTTATACTCCACTTGGGTTTCCTTTGTCAACTTTATTACTGTTTTTGTTTTGTTTTTTTGCATAAGCTCCTCTATCTTTGAGAATTTCTCAGCTCTTCCTCTTGGTTCTAGTCCCTCTCCCATTCCCTAAGGGATAGGTTGGCCGTCTATTAGAAGTGACTGCCAGATAAAAGAAATGGTAATAATGGCTGTTATGTCTGTGGGGAGTTATCTTTGCACTCCCACGCACCCCTCCGTGGGCATGTGTTCCCATAGGACTGTTCCGTGGGTCATAAGGAAAGAGACACTTGCATGCGTTCAAATTCTTTCCCCCTTGTTCAGTAGCCTCTTCTTTAAGAAGCCAGAGTAAGTATACTATGAGCTTGCTTGCTGGACTGAGGAGGCAGGTAATTAAGTTAGGGCAATAGATAAGAATACATGTTTTGAGAACTTTGAAAAATTTGAAGAGGTCTATAATTACTGCATTCACTGTACTCACTTTATTTTGAAACAGAGTCTCGCTCTGTCACCCAGGCTCGAGTGTAGTGTTGTGATCTCGGCTCACTGCAACCTCCACCTCCCAAGTTCAAGAGATTCTCCCACCTCAGCCTCCCGAGTAGCTGGGATTACAGGCATGTGCCACCACACCTGGCTAATTTTTGTATTTTTAGTAGAGATGAGGTTTCACCATGTTGGCCAGGGTGGTCTTGAACTCCTGGCCTGTTGATCCGCCTGTCTTGGGCTCCCGAAGTGCTGGGACTACAGGTGTGAGACACCGCACCTGGCCTATTTTTAATTTTAATTTTTATAGATTTACAGGGGTACAATGCAGTTTTGTTATATGGATATACTGCGTGGTGGTGACGTCTGTGCTTTAGTGTAACCATCACCTGAGCAGTGAACATTGTACTTATTAGGTAATTTCTCATCCCTCATCCCCATCCCACTTTCTCACCTTTCCGAGTCCCCAGTGTCTATTATTTCACTCTGTAGGTCCATATGTACACATTTGGTTCCCACTTATAAGTGAGAACATGTAGTATTTAATCTTCCATTTCTGAGTATCTACTTTTTTTGCTCACTTTTTACTCTCTGGCAGTATGGCTTGTATTATCTTGAAATTTCTTTAAAAAGCCCTTCCTTCTTTGTGTGTTCATGCTGAACATGCTGAACGCACCCCATATCTCTAATCTTGGGTTGTATTTGTATAATTATTAGTAATGCCTGGCTCTCTCACCAGACTTAAACTTTCTGAAAGCAGAGATAATAATGAGTCTTTTACTTAATTACAACCTAACATTTTGAGCAGAGCGAGTAACTCACAGTAGGTGCTTAATGGATATGTGTTGCATGAAAATATAATCCCATTCATTTCTCTTTCTGTTTTGTATACAGTGCCAGGTCATGCTGGCCGACTGGTGTTTGGGTTCCTGAATGGCAGGGCCTGTGTGATGATGCAGGGCAGGTTCCACATGTATGAAGGGTACCCACTCTGGAAGGTAAGTCAGAGGGATAGGTCCGGTTGGATCTGGAAGAGGCAGGAGAGAACTATCTAGCCTCTTTCACTACCTAGCTATCTGGGCTAGGTGGATTTTTGGTCCTCTCCTTCCTTTTCTTTCACGATGTATGTCATGCATTTCAGTGTAGCTGAATTAATGAAATTTTGTAAATTTTTTTCGGATTGTTTGCTTCGAAGGTGACATTCCCAGTGAGGGTTTTCCACCTTCTGGGTGTGGACACCCTGGTAGTCACCAATGCAGCAGGAGGGCTGAACCCCAAGTTTGAGGTTGGAGATATCATGCTGATCCGTGACCATATCAACCTACCTGGTTTCAGTGGTCAGAACCCTCTCAGAGGGCCCAATGATGAAAGGTATGTATGTTACTCCGTTTTTTTTAGGTGGGTAGGATTTAAAGACTTCTCTAGGAGCTGTGGGAGAATTTTTAAAATTCCGTTTATGTGAGATAATTCAACCTGTGTCCTAGGTTTGGAGATCGTTTCCCTGCCATGTCTGATGCCTACGACCGGACTATGAGGCAGAGGGCTCTCAGTACCTGGAAACAAATGGGGGAGCAACGTGAGCTACAGGAAGGCACCTATGTGATGGTGGCAGGCCCCAGCTTTGAGACTGTGGCAGAATGTCGTGTGCTGCAGAAGCTGGGAGCAGACGCTGTTGGTGAGAAGGGGAATTTGGCTGGAAGCTTGAAGAGGGAGGGGTTTAGCAAAATGGGAAGGGGAAGGAGTAGGAAATAACAGGCCTCATTGGACTGAGAGGATCTGATTTCAGGGAAGGGTGAATTAAACTGACTTATTGAAATACAAACTGGTGAGATTTGGTGTAGCATCAAATCTCCCTACGAAGCACCAAGGGGTTAACAGCTGCAGTGCTAATGAATGATCTATCCATGATTTGATGACTGTTTTTTGAGACGGAATGTCGCTGTGTTGCCCAGGCTGGAGTGCAGTGGCATGATCTCGGCTCACTGCAACCTCCGCCTCCCGGGTTCAAGCAATTCTCATGCCTCAGCCTTCCGAGTAGCTGGGATTACAGACGTGTGCCACCACGCCCGGTTAATTTTTGTATTTTTAGTAGAGACAAGGTTTCACCATGTTGGCCAGGCTGGTCCTTGAACTCGCGACCTCAGGTAATCCGCCCATCTTGGCCTCCTAAAGTGCTGGCATTACAGGCGCGACGCACTGTGCCTGGCCAATGTGATGACTGTTTCTAAGAATTCTAAAAAATTCACTATAGCCACCTTCTGTACCTCTAGCTGGAAGATGGAACTCTATCATTAGGATTGAGTTCAAAATTGCCACAAATATAGAAATGAAGGATTGTATTGGTAATTTTAAGAAATGTGTATTTATTTTAGGCAATACAGAAGATAATTTAGCTGCTTCTTTGGATTTGTTTTAGGTGGGGCCTTGCTCTGTTGCCAAGGTTGGAGTGCAGTGGCACCATCTCTAGCTCACTACAGTTCTGACTGCCTGGGCTCAAACAATCCTCCCACCTCAGCCTCCTGAGTAACGGGGACCACAGGCGTACACTACCACACCTGGCTAATTTTATTTATTTTTTGAGCCGAGGTCTCTTTATGTTGCCCAGGCTGGTCTCAAACTCCCGGGCTCAAGACATCCTCCTGCCTTGGCCTCCCAATGTACTGGGATTACAGGTGTGAACCACTGCACCCGGCCATCTTTGGATGTTTTTTGAGATTTTTAATTCTTGTTGAAAGCGAGGCTAAAGGGCAAGGAAAAGAGTTATTTGAGGATCCTGACAGTTGGTTTCCATCTTTCTCACTATCAGGCATGAGTACAGTACCAGAAGTTATCGTTGCACGGCACTGTGGACTTCGAGTCTTTGGCTTCTCACTCATCACTAACAAGGTCATCATGGATTATGAAAGCCTGGAGAAGGCCAACCATGAAGAAGTCTTAGCAGCTGGCAAACAAGCTGCACAGAAATTGGAACAGTTTGTCTCCATTCTTATGGCCAGCATTCCACTCCCTGACAAAGCCAGTTGACCTGCCTTGGAGTCGTCTGGCATCTCCCACACAAGACCCAAGTAGCTGCTACCTTCTTTGGCCCCTTGCTGGAGTCATGTGCCTCTGTCCTTAGGTTGTAGCAGAAAGGAAAAGATTCCTGTCCTTCACCTTTCCCACTTTCTTCTACCAGACCCTTCTGGTGCCAGATCCTCTTCTCAAAGCTGGGATTACAGGTGTGAGCATAGTGAGACCTTGGCGCTACAAAATAAAGCTGTTCTCATTCCTGTTCTTTCTTACACAAGAGCTGGAGCCCGTGCCCTACCACACATCTGTGGAGATGCCCAGGATTTGACTCGGGCCTTAGAACTTTGCATAGCAGCTGCTACTAGCTCTTTGAGATAATACATTCCGAGGGGCTCAGTTCTGCCTTATCTAAATCACCAGAGACCAAACAAGGACTAATCCAATACCTCTTGGATTTTATTTAATGTCATAATGTTGTCAGAATAAAGAGAAAGATGAAATAATTTCATTTTTTTGTGTAACTTGGTATGGGGCTGGGGCACAGACCAAGATTGACATGAAAGGATGTGAGATCGCATGTCTTGTGTGACTATCTGCTTCTCAGACAAGCAGTTAGGAACTGAGATGAGATAGTATGTGAGGGCAGCAAAGGATGAAGAAGGGCAAAATGATGAAAGGTGAGGTGGAAAGAGGTTATGAGATGGTAAAGAAAAGTTAACTTCTGGCACTTGATTGCCACTTCTGTCAGGCTGGTCCTGCCTCTCTCCCTTGCCTTCTGATTGTTTCATTTCCTGTTTATTTGATCATATCTGAATTAGTTCACTGGTTAGCCTCTTCCTTAGTTCCCACTTCCTTACCAAAGCCCTAATTATATTTCCTCTTGTTTGCCTTTTCTCTCCTACTCTTCTCTAACATCTGCAGCCACACTCTCCATTCACTCCATGCTGACAAGGCAGTGGCAAACACTTTTCTCTGCTGCCAGCCACTCCACTGTTGACTGGATTGCTGCCAGCCCCAGGCAAACCTGTGAAGTTGTTTCATACTCTGCTTCTCTTTGAGTGCCTCCTTCTCTCCTTCCTCTTCCTTTCTGGGCTCCAGTCTTTCTCTTCACTTGTGCTTGTCAGAACCTCCCTGTGATACTGCCTCCAGGCATTTCCCCCATGTTGGCTCACCGCACTATTATCTTTGCTTATCAACTTGCATTCAGCTGGCTGGCATGTTTCAAAACCACACTGCCCTCCCAGGCCTGTGTGCCTTTTGAGAAAGACCAGTGCTGGATGAGCCTCTAGTAATGACAACATTTTAGTTGTTAGTGGTATAATACGGAAGAGATATTTTGCACAGGCTGCTTTGGAGAACTTTCAAATTATCCTTTGTTTGGTAACTGACCTACTTAACTGCCCAATACAAAGAAAAAGCATCTTGGAGTGGCTCTGTCTCCTTTTTTTTTTTTTTTTTTTTTTTTGATACAGGGTCTCACTGTCACCCAGGCTGCAGTGCAGTGCTGTGATCTCAGTTCACTGCAACCTCCGTCTCTCAGGCTAAAGTGATCCTCTCACCTCAGCCTCCAGAGTAGCTGGGACCACAGGTGTATGCAACCACACCTGGCTAATTTTTGTATTTTTTAGTAGAAATGGAGTTTCATCATGTTACTGAGGCTGGTCTCGAACTCCTGGCTTCAAGCAATCCTCCTGCTTCAGCCTACCAAGGTGCTAGGATTACAGGAGTAAGCCATCGTGCCTGGCCTTGCCCTACAATCTTAAGATTCATTTACAAAGCCACTGTTGTATAAAGCTTGTACAAAATGAGTACAAGTCACACGTGGGAGCTCAAAGGAGGGATTGATTGTATACACCGAACAGTGTGAATTGGGTAGATTAGGGAAAGCTTTTTTTCCTTTTTTTCTTTTGCTTAAAGTGATGGATACTTAATATTAGGTAAAGTTTTATAGAAAACTTTGAGCCTAGTCTTGAAGGATGAAGCAGGGGAAGAGGATTTCACATCAGGATGAGGCAAAGCAGAGCTGCAAAAAGTACTAGGCATGTTCGTGAGTCGTTGTCACAACTGGTGGGACTAGATCAGGACATGGAAGGCTCCGGTGAGACAGGCAGAAAGGTAATTGGTTTGAGGAGGGCTGCATTTGGCACTTGGCTTTCCTACCCCCAGTCTCCCTCTTGGTCAGATTGACCAGGAATCACAATGGGGCCATCTGAAAAATATGTCCTAGAGATACTTGAGTGGAATATTTAAGAGTGGAATATGTAAGCTTTTTAGACTTAGTAAGTAGATTTACTAAATTCATATTTATTTATATGAAGACATAATGTCTTCAGTTTCTTTTTTAAAAAACAGCTGTATTGAGATAAAATTTACGTACCATAGAATTCACCCATTTAAGGTGTGTGATTCAATGGTCTTTAGTGTATTCACAAATAAGTGCAATTATTGCCAGTTAATCTGAGATCATTTCATCACTTCAAAGGGAAACGTTATCTGCTCCCCCATAGCCCCAAACAGCCATTTATCTACCTTCTGTGCCTATAGATTTAACTATGTTGGACTTTCACACAAATGGAATTGGACTTTTGTGGCTGGCTTCTTTCACTTAGCATAATGTTTTCAAGATGCATCCAAGTTGTAGCATGTATCAGTACTTAATTCTTTTTTGAGGCCAAATAATATTCTATTGCATGGATACACCACATTTTGTTGATCGAGTGTCTGATTTTAAAAAGCCAACCAGTCCAGCCAAAACCGAACGTATCAGTTTAGGATTGTAGGATACGAGCACAAAGTGAAGGGAAGTAGGTGTGGGAGGGCTTTCCAGAGAAAAGACATTCTTGAAAAAAACTGGCGATGATACCATTCATTTCTGGAGGGGCCTGCAGAATGCCTGCAAAATAGATTGATTTTACTGAGTCTCATGGTAGGTGTCCAAACACATTGAAGTCAGGCTTGCTTTCTTGACCCTATCATGACCATCTTTATTAGCATCAATAAATATTCATTAATCATGTATTATGTAGAGAACATTGTCCTAAAAACCAAAATGTAAGTTGGTATAAGATGAAGTGTCTACAGTCTAGATGTGAGACAAGATGTATGCATAAAAAGAAATAACTAGGCTGAGTTATTTGAGCCCTTTATAGCTGCTAAAGACTTTTACTAATCTCTTCATATGTTATATTGTCATTGTTTAGAATCAGCTTTTTCGACTGAACTGAGGAAGAGGGCCTAATTTTTTACAAAAGGAGTACAGTAATGTGTGAAAAGTAGCGTATGCTAAGTGTCAATGATGGTATGTGCTACAGGAATTGAGAGAAGAGGACCATCACCGGAGCTGGGGAGTAGGAAAGGATTGATGAGACATTATTTAGGCCTTACAGAAATGCCAGGCACAGTGGCTCATGCCTATAATCACACATACTAGGTGGGAGATTCACTTGAACGCAGGAGTTTGAAGCTGCAGTGGGCTTTATGATTGCGGAACTGCACTCTAGCCTAAGTGAGAGAGTAAGACTCCATCTTTGAAAAAAAAAAAAGATAGGTGAAGAGGACATGGCAGAAGCCATTACATACAGATGAATCCAGGAATGTTTAATCATTGAACAAACTGAAATGCTTAAAGTGAAGAAATAAATGGGAAGATGGGCAGCAAGCTGGAGAGGAGCTCTGATTCCAGGCTCAAGAGTAGGACCTTAGGGCCAGGTGCGGTGGCTCACGCCTATATCCCAGCACTTTGGGAGGCCAAGGTGGGCGGATCACTTGAGCCCAGGAGTTCAAGACCAAGTTCGAGACCAGCCTGGGCAATATGGGGAAACCTCGTCTCTACAAAAATTACAAAAATTATCTGAGCATGATGGTGGTTGCCTGTGGTCCCAGCTACTTGGGAGGCTGAGGTGGGAGGATTGCTTGAGTCGGGGAGGCTGAGCCTTCAGTGAGCCATGATGGAGCCACTGCGCTCCAGCCTGAGCAACAGAGTGAGACCCTGTCTCTCAAAAGCAAAACAAAATGAAAGAGTAAGACCTTATTTTCTAGGCAAGATGGCCAGCCATTGACAGTTTTTAAACGAAGGACTGGTAGATAAAAATTGCACTGTAGTATTTTGGTGGCTAGAAGCCTGACTAAAAGAGAGGCTTGTTTTGATAGTAGAATTACTTTCACCCAAAATTAACTGTACAGAATAGCACAATGGTTGGTGTTAAGTATTTAATTTTTAGTCAGGTTGGGGTCTTCTGTAGTGTTTTAAAGAATAAATTAGCCGGGCACAGTGGCTCATGCCTGTAATCCCGGCACTTTGGGAGGCCAAGACAGGAGGACTGCTTGAGTTCAGGAGTTTGAGACCAGCCTAGGCAACATAGTGAGACCTTGTTTCTACAAAAAATTTAAAAATTAGCTGGGCATGGTGGTGCACACCTGTAGTCCCAGCTATTCGGGAGGCTGAGGTGGGAGGCTGGCTCAAGCCTGGGAGATCGAGGCTGTAGTGACCCATGATCATACCACTGCACTCCAGCCTAGGTGACAGAGCAAGACTCTGTCACACACACACACACACACACACACACACAAAAGGAATAAGCTGTTATAAAATAGAATGTAGAGGCAAAAGTGCAAACAACTTAGAGATGAAAATATACACTTAAGTCAATAGTTTCCCCTTCTTTTTAATATAAAATTGTGAATAGGTATATAATCACATAGTTCAAAAATTAAGCAACATAAAATGTGTATAGTGAGAACTCTCACCCCTATCCTGTCCTCATATGCCCTTCCTTCCCCACCCACTGGTGACCACTGTTATTAGTTTCTTTTGCATTCTTCCAGGATCTATACAAATATAAACAAATACAAATTCTATTTTTCTTCTCTTATTATAAACAGCAGTTAGTATGTTATATATACTTTCTGTATCTTGCTATTTTATTTTAACATATCTTGGAGATCTTTTCACATCAATGAATTAGTGTGCCTTCTTGATGACTTACATCAATGCTGCCAAGGATATATGTCTGTCACCTCCAGTTTTTTAGAAGCAAAGGGAGAATATGGTCTTAATTTTTTTTGCCACTTCTCAGTTCGTTTGTTGATTACTAATAGGAATAGACACAAAGAGGTAATGCCACCTGCTGCTCCTTTAAAGCAAGAAGTTGGGAAGAAGAGAGCTATTCATTCTGTGCTGTGCCTTCTGCCTAATTCAATTTGGCTTAGATTTGTGTTGCCTTTTTTTTCTTGTAAATAGGCCCCTGATTTTCATAATAATGTTTTGTTTCTCAGGGATGCCTTCGAACAAACACTGGTTATCTGCTTGGTTTTTCTGTTACTGTAAATTTGGATTTTAATAAAAATAAAATTTTCCTGTCTTTAATCATTTTGTCTAATTTTTAGTTTTGGCTTAAATTAGATGTGATATTCTTTTGGATTAATCTGAATTTGCTCTGTTGTTTTCGGGTCAAAGAACCCCTACCCCTCCATCGGGCTTTTACTTTCACGTCCATTCTGAGTTTGTTTGTTCATTGTAGAAAGCTTTTACTTTGTCTCACTTGCCAATCTTTTTTTTTTTCTTGTTCTCTTCTTCTTTTTGCTGTTACTCTTTTTAAAACACCATTTCACTTGTTAGCTACTTGACTTTGGCCTTGGTTTTCCCTTTTCCTCTTTATTTTGAACTGTTTCTATCTGAGCTCCTGTTGTAATTTATAATAAAAAGTTAGTAGAATATAGTACTTCTCTTGTGTAGCCTGACCTGATCTAGTTCTATCAACTGTTCTTTTACCAATCAGAGGTTGTTTAAGATCAATTCCAGTTCACAGTATTAATCTTTATTATTACCTGCTTGTGTCGTCTCCCCCAAAATAATAATACATAGCTACCACCATTGTCACTGTTCCACTAATGTCATCAAAGTATGAAAATTATTTAATTGCAGTAAGGGATAAGTAGTTGTTTTTCATACGGTTGTTTTCGCAGTGGGAAAGCTCTCACTCTGGACATCATAGATAAGATGTTACGGAGTCAGTAAAGTCCCTGAAAAGCAAAACTGAGTCATGCCTGAAATTTTTTAGGCAGGTGATGGACATTAGATTTCCTTGGATGCTTACTTTGCCAATTTCCTCTCCCCGTCACAAATAGAAACTACTAGTATTAAAAAAGACAGAATTATGGTAAGAGTAATTTTGGATATTTTCTGTCACTCTGCCATTCTTTATGGCTGTGCAGCTTCTTAACTATTTTTTATCTACTGACTCTTCACTTCAGGATACACCCTATGGCTGTTAGCTGGTCTGTCAAAGATCCAGGAAACTGATCCCTGCTTCAGTTCCACAATACCGAGTTCAGGAATGTTCTCAGACCAGGATATACTGTCTGAGAGAGATGCCTTAGAGAACCAAACTGTTCTCTAAGACCGGGCAATAGTGCTGTCATTATATAACCCTTACACACATGAGATACCTCTGCCCAAGGAGGGGCTCTAGGCAGATTCACACTTGTTTATGAGCACAGATAGGCTGGACCAAGAGAGACTAAATTTCTGCAGAGTCTTCTCACCCATTTAGGAGTTTTCAGTAATAACGCACACACTTTTAGTGAAGATGTTGGAGTGAAGATATGCTTCTGTCTGAATTGGAAAATGTGTTCACTTTTTTGACTGAGCTGAATTTATGCTGTGCTCTTTGGATAAATAACCTTGTTTGATTTATTCAAGTGACATTGTGTCAGGTCTTGCTATCAATCTGCACCTAGTATTGACATTTGTAAATGTAATGGCCATTCAGTTTCTAGATAACCATAACATTTACTTGACAACTCTGTATTGCGCTTACGCTCATTCATTTTTTTTTCTGCATTTGCTTTGAACTTTGTCCTTTTGATAATCAGATGTATTAAGCCTCATATAGAAATGCCAGGATGTGTGTGTGTGTGTGTGTGTGCATATACATCTGCAAACATATGTGTACATATATACATGTATGCAAAATCCAAAATTGACAACTTATAAACTGTCATCTGCCCATGCAAACTTGAAGAAGCTGAGCTTTTCAGCTTTTCAATATCCCAGACAGGGCACCTATCAAGTGTATCTTTCTAGGCTGCTGAACAAGAAGAGATGAACACATGAGAAGGATATGTTTATTTACTTACTCAACAAACGTTCTAGGGGTTAGGGATATGGAGAAGAACAAGACAATGTTTCTGCCTTCATGGTATTTACATTAAATTAGGGGAGTGCGACAACCAATAAACAGAAATGTTTTTAAAAACCTAAGGTAATAATAAGTGTTAAGAAAAAAATAAAGAGGATAGAAGGTAATAGAGGAAGGAAAGGCAAATTAAAACTACAATGAGATACCACTTCACACTCACTAAAATGACTATAATAAATAAGACACACATTAACAAATGTTGGTAAGGACGCAGAAAAACAAGAATCTTTTTAAATTGTGGAATTTCCACTTTCTGGTGGAAATGTAAAATAGTGTAGCCAGTTGGAAAACAGTTTGTCAGTTTCTCAGAAGGCAAAGCACAAAACTACCATATGACCCATCATTTCTACTTGTAGCTGTTTACCTAAGAGAATTAAGATCATAACCACACAAACACACACAAATGTCCACAGCAACTTTTAAAATAATAAGGACTGGAAACATCCCAAATGCCCATCAACTGGTAAATGGATTGTTTAAAAAATGTATATCTAGGCTGGGTGTGGTGGCTTGTGCCTGTTATCCCAGCACTTTGGGAGGCTGGGGCGGGTGGATGACTTGAGGCCAGGAGTACAAGACCAGCCTGGCCAACATAGCAAAACCCTGTCTCTACTAAAAATAAAAAATTAGCCAGGCATGGTGGCATGCACCTGTAATCCCAGCTACTCTGGGGCCGAAGCATGAGAATCACTTGAACCAGGGAGATGGAGGCTGCAGTGAGCTGAGATCATGCCACTGCACTCCAGCCTGGGCAATAGAACGAGACTCCTGTCTTAAAAAAAAAAAGAGAGAAAGAAAAAATGTAAATCTATACAATGGTATACTATTCATTAATAAAAAAGAACAAACTACTGACACATGCTATGTCATGGGTGAACCTCAAAAACATGCTAAATAAAATAATCCAGATACAAATCTGTATTATGTGATTCTATTTATATGAAATATCCAGAAAAATTTCTAGAGACAGAAAGTAGATTAATGGTTTTCTGGGGCTTAGTGTTGAGATGGGGATTAATATAATGGGCATAGAGATCTTATTTAAGGGATAAAAATGTTCCAAAACTGATCTACGTGATTGTTGCAACACTAAATAAAATGATAACAATCATTGAATTTTGCACTTGAAACGAGTGAGTTTTATGATACGTGAAATACAGCTCACTAAGGCTGTTCTGTTTGTTTGTTTGGTTGGTTGGTTGGTTTTTTTTTGAGATGGAATTTTGCTTTCGTTGCCCAGGCCGGAGTGCAATGGCGCTATCTCTGCTCACCGCAACCTCCGCCTCCTGGGTTTGAGCGGTTCTCCTGCCTCAGCCTCCCAAGTAGCTGGGATTACAAGCATGCACCACCATGCCTGGCTAATTTTGTAGTTTTAGTAGAGACAGGGTTTCTCCGTGTTGGTCAGGCTGGTGTTCAACTCCCGACCTTAGGTGATACACCCCCTTGGCCTCCCAAAGTGCTGGGATTACAGGCGTGAGCCACTGCGCCCAGCCAAGGCAGTTTTTTTTAAAAAAAAAGTGATAAAAGGGTGAGTGATTTCAAATAGGTTGGTTCAGGGAAGGCCTCTCCAAGGAGCTGTCAGTTGAGCAGAGACCTGAGTAAATGAGGGCGTGAATGATGCAGTGATTAGAGATGAGTGTGCAAGCAAACATACAAGTTCTTAGGGAACTTAACAATTTAGCAGTAACAGAAGGCCAGTGCTATTAGAGTAGACTGAACAAGGGGAATGGTGATGGTAGATAAGGCTGGAGATGAAGGCAGGTGTTGTAGGTCATGATAAGTTTAGGTTTTATTTTGAGCATGAAAGAAGGTCACTGAAATGATTTTTAACCAATTTACTTTTTTTTAAAAAAAAAAAAAAAAAAACCTCACTGGCTGCTTTGTAGAAAATCAGTAGTATTAAGCAAAAATAGGGTGATTGGTTAGGAGACCTCAGAGGTAGATTAGGGTAAAAGGTGGTTTAGGCTGGAACCAGTGGTGGTAATGGAGGTGCTAACGATACAGGAACTAGAAGAAATTATTAGGTAGATGATGAGGGCAAGAGTCCTTAGCAAGGTTTCCCTTTTTAACTAAAAGCAGCCCCCGAGTCATTTCTTTTCTAACAAAGAGTGGCCTGAAAAATCGAGCTGCAGACAGAGATAAGCAAGCTGGAAGTTTGCACAGGTGAATGCCGGCCGCTGTGCCAACAGAAAAGGGCTGCCTGAGGGCCAGGCATGTTCAACATGGAGGCTCCATCTTCCCTTTTCTTAGTCACCACGTGCACAGTAAAGAACCAGGCAATATGGCAATGGCCAAGTAAAAAACCCATCCGCATAATAAAAGATTAGGGTGGGGCAGCCAGCTTCTTTGAGTGCTATGCAAATGGCATACCTGGTCCAACCAATCTTTCGAGCCCTGTGTAAATCAGACACCGCCTCCTCAAGCTTATCTATAAAACTTCCTGCATTTCACTGTGGAAGTGGCAATCCATTTTCCCCAGGACCCCTCTCTGCACAGAGAGCTCTTCTCTTTCTTTCGCCTATTAAACCTCCGCTTTTAACCTTACTTCTTGTGTGTCCACATCCTTGATTTCCTTGGCATGAGGCAGCAAACCTCAGGTATTACCTTAGATGAATGATGCTGCTTCAGTAAGAAGAGGTTGGATTCTGGAGATATTTGAAGGTAGAGCAGATAGGACTTACCTATATTTACATAGATATAAGGAAATATATATATATAGAGAGAGATATATATATAGAAATATATATATTTCTATATATCTACATATAGAAAAAAATATATATTTCTATATATCTATATATATATTTCTATATATCTATATATAAAAAATATATATTTCTATATATCTATATATATAGAATAAGACTTACCTTATTTCTATAGATATATAGAAAATAAAATATGAGTAAAAAATAGGAATTTAGAAAGGTTCCTAAGTTTTCAGCTTGACCTGCTGGGTGAATGGAGTTGCCATCTACCAAGACACCGCTAACAGAGGAGCAGTTTTGGCATGGTAATCAAAAGTTTCTTTTAAGGCTGTCACGTTTGAAAAGCTAGACCTCCAGATGGACATGTGGATTACACAGTTGGGTATATGAGTTTGGAGTCCAAGGGAAGAGGTTTAAGCTAGATAAATACATTTGGAAGTCATTAGCACATAGGTGGTGTTTAAACCAAATTATCTGGACGATATCACTTGGGGACAGAAGTCAGGAGAAGGAGAAGGATCTAGCAAATGTGTTTGAGGAGACATTAATGAGGTAGAAGGAAAACCAAGAAGTAGGATGCCTTGGAGGGCAAGTGAAGAAAGCGTTTTAACACAAGAGACTGATCGAGGTCACTGCTCACCTTGACGAGCAGTCTCAGCGGGGTAACAAAGATGATATCTTTATTAGAGCGGACACCAGAAAGAATGAGAGGTGAGGAAATAGAGGCAGCAAGTGCAAACCATGAAATTTTGCTATAAAGGGAAGTGGTAGCTGGGGGAAAGGATGTGGGTTCAGGAGAAGGTTTTTTCCTTTTTTTTTAAATGATGGGAGGCATTTTGAACTGGAAAGAAGCCAACTGGGACTTGGGTGTGATCTGAAGAAGAGAAGATGGCCTGTACCATAGTCTGAGAGTTAAATGGCACCTTTATTGATTATTGATATAATACCCTATGGCTTGCTTATAGTACAGTTACACCTGTGTTGTGTGATAGGGAGCCTTGCCAGTGGAAGCAAATTGGTCTAAGATAGAAGCTTGGTTTTGACTTGATAGCTGCCCATAAGAGGGCAGCAGAGCAGAGCTAGGAAATTAAAAACAACAACAACAATAATAACAACAACAAAGAAAAACTCTGCAAGGTGATCCCTGCAGGGTAAAGACTTTTTAGCAAACTCTTTAAAGATATTAAAGAAAGTTCAGCCCTTCCTCCCCAGAGCCTCAGTGCTAGATTCTTGCTTAGAGACCCCAAAGGCTCCAGACTTGGGAATACAACTGGTAACATGGCAGACTATGAGCCCTGCAGGGGAGGGAGCAACTGTAAAGCTGATTGAGTGTAAAAGAATGGCTAGTACAGAAGGAAGATGTAGCTGTTATATCGAAGCATTAAAAACAAACAAACAACAAACTAGGCCAGGTGGGGGCCGGGCACAGTGGCTCACGCCTGTAATCCCAGCACTTTGGGAGGCTGAGGTGGGAGGATCACTTGAGGCCAGGAGTTTGAGACCGACCTGAGCAACATAGCAAGACCCTGTTTCTAAAAAAAAAAAAAAAAAAAAAAAAAAATTTACAAGCTGATTGTGATGGCACACACCTGTAGTCTCAGCTACTTGGGAGTCTGAGGCAGGAGGATCACTTGAGCCCAGGAACTCCAGGTTACAGTGAGCAATGATCATGCCACTGCTCTCCAGCTTGGGTGATAAAGCGAGACCCTATCCCTCTCTAAAAAACAAGACAAAACAATAACAATAAAACAAATTAGTCTGGACCATTGTCATTATGAACAGACTATTTTTTCAAAGTAATCACTGCAATTTACTATCATTCCATAAAAGCCATTGATGCTGAATTCCAATGTGTGTGGCTAAATTTTACCAAAAAAACCTAGTATAGAAGGACTTAATTTATGCTGGGAGGAAGGGAGACACTCATGCTGAGATTGGACCTTTAATGTGAATATTCACAGCAGGTAATATGTACATAGTGCTTTATAGTTTACAAAATATTTTACATTTTTTGGTCCTTTTTAGTTGTGATAATTACTGAGACCCTTGAGCAAGTATCATTGATATTTTTCTCATTTTCATTTTTCTGATTTAAAAAGGCTTAGAGAAAGGTTATCTGACTTTTCCAATACCACACAGCAAAGGAATAGCTAAGCTATTCCTTCAGGCTCAGAACTTTTGTCACCATAGCATTAGATCTACATAAAGAGATGGGGATGGAGAATGTGTAAAAAGGCATCACGTTTAGGTTGAATGAAAAGCCAGAGAGTAGTTAAGTTTGGTGGTAAACAGAAGATGAAAGGAGGTAGTGAAGAACTGTCTTCTATTAATATTATTATTATGATTTTTTTAAGAGATAGAATCTTGATCTGTTACCCAGGCTCTGTGGAATGCACTAGTATGATCATAGCTCTCTGCATCCTTGAACTCCAAGGCTCAAGCAATCCTCTTGCCTCAAACTCCTGAGTAGCTGGGACTACAGGCACATATCACCACACCCAGCTGATTAAAAAAAATTTTTTTTGTAGAAACAAAGTCTTGCTATGTTGCCCAGGCTGGTCTCGAATTCCTGGCCTCAAGTGATCCTAGCACCTCGGCCTCCTAAAGTATTGGGATTACAGGCATGAGCCAACGTACCTGGCCTTATATTATTTTTAAACTTATTTATATAGAAGAATCAAATTTACTCTGTGCAACTTTGGAGAGTTGACTAGGACAGGAGAGCCCACTCAATATTAGAAAAAGAGCTCTACAAAAAAGACATTGTTACGTTACATTCCTGAAATGTTGAAATAGGGGCTAGAGGAATATTTGACAAAGCTGTAGAGAGAAATAGTTGACCTTATGACCTCTAAAATTCTTTTCAAGATATTTTATCTGCAAAAACCTGAATAGCAACAACTATAGTTCCACAACACTCTAGTTCTACAGAAGGAGGGTGGGATGTTACACTGTGCTTTCATGTTTCAATAATTATATATCTATCCATGCATGTCCACTTCTGCTTGATGCCACTGAAGTGGGACCTGAGGAGCTGGGGTGCTAGGGCAGAAAGAGTAAGGTCTGTGCCCGATCCTAGACAAAAGTGGAAGCAATTCACTGCTTCATCCATCACGGAAGGGCAACTCTTTAGCTTAGCAAACTGAGAAATTTTCAGGCTCAACACCAGCAGGAATTCAATTTGCAGCAAGATAGACCTCAGGGGATTGAGGCAATGATTCAGAGAGGATGGGTGGGGTAGGGTTACACAGGAACTTTAGAGAAAGAATCGTTTGTGGGTGGAAGCCTTGGGCAGAGGTGCACTCAGTAGAGAAGAAAGCCATTTGTTCCAGAACAGCAGTTTGAAAGGGGTGTGTTTTGTGTGGGCAATGGTGTATGAGGAAAGGGTTTGTGGGGAAGAAGCGTGTGGGGCTACTAACAGGCACAGAAACACTTGTTGAGAAATGTTGTTCATAGGGGGATTGCTTTGCTGGGGCCCAGGAGCAGGTGGTTTGGTGCAGTGAAAGAGGCCAGAGGGGCAGAAAGAAGGGTCCTAGCTGTGGCCTTAAACACACACATACACACACACACACACACACACACCAAAAAGCAAGGAAGAACCCCTTATCCTCTCAGCCAAGATAAGCAAGCGCTGTTACCAGCTAGGTGTGCTTACTATGGATTTTATACATTTTAGAGAAAATTTCTAATGCCCATTTGTCCTGAACTTTTTACTTGGAATATCGTTAAGTTTACGGAAAAGTAGAAAGGATCATGTAATGAACACTAGTGTACCTCTCACCTAAACCATCAATAGTCAATAATCTGCTACATACATTTGTTTTCTCCTGAGCCATTTGAAAGTAAATTGCTGCAGACAATTTGCCTATCAGTCCATTTTTGAATATATTGGCACGCATCTCTAAGAATAAGGACATTCTCTTACATAATAGCATTGCCATTATGAAGATCTTACCTATGAAGATCCACATTAATTCATAAGATCTGCATGTGTGTTACTTATCAGTACGTCTTATAATGGATTCTGAATGCTTTCCCTTTTCTTATTTCTCTAGCTGTCATCTTTGAAGGTAAAACCTCGACTGCATATCTGGCCAGCCAGGCCAGGCCAAAGTACCTGTATACTGGGTGAGGGGATAAGAAAGACTCTCTCAAAGAGCACAGGAACCTGGAAGCCTGTCAGAGGTCACCTCTCACGGAAGCCCAGGACGCTTCCTTCCTGCTGAGCTAATCTTAACTGCTGACCTCCACGCATTGCTCAGGGCTCCCTCCCTCCCTTCTTCCCTATTTCCTTCCTTCCCTTTCCTCTCCTTTCCTGTCTCTTTCACCAAACCTTAACGGACAACTCTTCTGTGCTAACTTCTGTGCCAGTGTATTAGTCCGTTTTCATGTTGCTGATAAAGACATATCAGAGACTGGGAAGAAAAGGTGGTTTAATTTGACTTACAGTTCCACATGGCTGGGGAGGTCTCACAATCATGGCAGAGGGTGAAAGGCACTTCTTACTTGGAGGAGGCAAGAGGGAATGAGGAAGATGCAAAAGTGGAAACCCCTGATAAAACCATCAGATCTCGTGAGACTTATTCACTACCACGACCAAACCATATCAGCCAGTATCTGCCATCCCAAGTGAACTTAGTCTGTGAACTCAAAATAGTGCTGGCCAGGCATGGTGGCTCACGTCTGTAATCCCAGCGCTTTGGGCGGCCAAGGCGGGGGGATCATGAGGTCAGGAGATCGAGACCATCCTGGCTGACATGGCGAAACCCTGTCTCCACTAAAATACAAAAAAATTAGCAGGGCATGGTGGCACATGCCTGTAGTCCCAGCTACTAAGGAGGTTGAGGCAGAAGAATGGAAGAATGGCTTGAACCCAAGAGGCAGAGGTTGCAGTGAGCCGAGATCGCGCCACTGCCCTCCATCCTGGCAACAGAGTGAGACTCTGTCTCAAAAAAAAAAAAAAAAGTTCAGAAAAGGCAGAGTTTCTTCTGGCGAGTCATTCCTTTCTTTGGCTCTGTGACCCGCCCTTTAGGAGCATCGTGCAGATGGACTGGCTTGTCCACCTGGTGGCCCTATCAGGGTATATGGGCTTGGCATGGAAAAAGCCTCTGCTCCTTGGATCACTAATATTACCTTGATCATCATCATTACCTGACCAGAGTACTAGACACAGTTTCATGAAGAGAAAGCAAACCCTTTCATCCTGAAATTTTAACTTAGTTGCTCCTCCCATGGGGTGATTCTTGGTGCAGGGGAGATATCTATTTGCAAATTGAGGGGCATTTGTGTCTACCTTCTTGACTTAGGTGGTTTCTGTTTTGTTTCTCGTTATGGTTGTTGGCTGTCCTTTCAAGATTATTTCTACGCGTCAAAAAGTCTGTGAGCTAATTTTAACATGTCAGGCATCTTACTGGAAACCACACATTTACTCCGAATAAAGCTACAACATGCTAACTAAAACTAAGTTTGTTTGAACTATTCAAACCATTGTGGTCATCTCATTCTTACTAAAAACCTTTTCTGGTAAGTTTCATTTATTTATTTATTTTTATTAGTACAAATGGGAAAATAAAGTGGTGATTCATAGGTATAAATATTATATGGCAAAATTTCTTCAACACTTGAAATTATTAGTACCACCTGAGAATTACATCAGGTCAAATCAGCATTTGGTAAATAGTAGTCACCATTTGTAGAATTAAACCATCCAAACTTCTAATCTATCACCTAGGGCTAAGGACTCACACACTTCAGCTCTGGGGACCAAAATGCTGGCTTCAGGAAGCATAATGATTTTAGCCTCGATACAGTGATGGCATAATCAATCAAGTTGTATCCTGCCTCTTTTCTCTCACCTAAATTTGATTTGTGTGATTATTTATTGCAGACAGTTTTGCAAGCTGACTTTAATCCTATCTTGGAATGAGGTGGAGTATAAAAGAATACAAATCAACAAACATGCTAATGTATTTTAAGAAGGAGATAGGAGAGTTTGGAAATTGGAAAGGGAAATTCTAAATTTTGAGAATTGCTTTCTACTAAACCATCATTGTCCAGGAGTAACACACTAGCTCACTTCTTAATTTCAAGTCAGAAACATTTTCCCAAGCTTATCCTGGCCCGAAGGAACTGTGACGCTGCTGACCACTGATGCTCACCAAGCAATCATCTCTTTGAGGTTTGGTCTCCCACTTGAGTCAGGGAGAGAATGTATGGGGCAGGTTTATTTTCACTGCACATATTTTTCAATGTAGATCTTGTTCATAGTTTTAACTGGGGATTGGTTGGTGTGAGTAACTCGCATGAAACTGAAAAATGCGCTGGACACAGTGGTTCATGCCTGTAATCCCAGCACTTTGGGAGGCTGAGGCAGGCAGATCACCTGAGGTCAGGAGTTCAAGATGACCCTGGCCAAAATGGTGAAACCCCATGTCTACTAAAAATACAAAAATTAGCCAGGTGTGGTGGCGGGTGCCTGTAATCCCAGCTACTTGGGAGGCTGAGGCAGGAGAAGCTTGAACTCGGGAGGTGGTGGTTGCAGTGAGCCGAGATCACGCCACTGCACTCCAGCCTGGGCGACAAGAGTGAGACTCCATCTCAAAAAAAAAGAAACTGAAAAACTCAGATAAGATCAAGTTTGCACCTGTAAGTTGTGGATAGGATCCAATGTATCTTGGATAATTGTGCAGCCTCCACCTCCTGAAACCCTTTCTGGGTGTCCATCTGGTTTTTTTGGACATGGTCCCCCAGATACATTTGCTAAGTTACAACTATATCTTAACAAATATTTATAGGGACCTATGGGGGCTGGGAATAATAAAAAGGGTCTAATAGGTTGGGCAACCCCATCTCTACATCTCTACAAAAAATTAAAACATTAGCTGGATATGGTGGTGCCCACCTGTACTCCCAGCTACCTGGGAAGGAATTTTTAAAATTTTATTTAAAAAAAGGAAAGAAAAAAGAACCCATGATGATCAAAAGATTAGAAGCTACCAGTTTAGCTGGTACATCTTCTTCAGACTTTAGTGGTTTTGTCATTTGGATTGAACGCAGTTCCCACTGAAACTTATTTGGCCACTATCTGAAGTTGAAATATCACACAGTGACAATTGTTTGAAAATTTCAGCTCCCCTTCTCCTGCCTCCTCTTCATCTCTAAGTATTTTCACTCCCATCTACTCATGGCAGTATCTGGCCACTGCCCATTCTCAGACCAGAAAGGGATCAGGAAAAGGCCAGTGTGTGGGGTGAGGCTGACTTCCAACAGTTGAGCTAGTACAGAGCCACTGAGCATTTCCCTCCCTAGGGCTCACTCTTCCTCAAAACTGCTAGTGTCTTGCAGATCCTCTCTCAAAACAAAAGAGGAAGTCAGAGGTGGAGCAGGGAGTGGTTTGAACTACTGGTTTTACTGGAAAAGGATTCCTGTTCCAAACCTCAAGAGCAAGTTCTTCGATCTTGAGCAGGAAAGAATTAAGGACAGGGCGCAGAGTACAGTATAGTTAAAACAGTTCATTAGAAACTACTCTATTACAGAGTAGGGCATCCTCAGAGAGCAAGAGGAGGAATGCCCCTACTTTAAATGTAATGCTTGCTTATACAGGATATTAAGGTTAAGAATAGTTTACTTTGGGAGTCCGAGGTGGGTGGATCACGAGGTCAGGAGATCAAGACCATCCTGGCTAACACGGTGAAACCCCATCTCCACTAAAAATACAAAAAATTAGCCGGGCATGGTGGTGGGCACCTGTAGTCCCAGCTACTCGGGAGGCTAAGGCAGGAGAATGGCATGAATCCGGGTGGCGGAGCTTGCAGTGAACCGAGATTGCGCCACTGCACTTCAGTCTGGGCAACAGAGCCAGACTCCATCTCAAAAAAAAAAAAAAAAAAAAAAAAAAGAATAGTTTACTTTATTATAAAGGCTTGTGATCAAGTTGTGACAGGCTATTAGTATTGTTATTCTCCGGTGTAACTATTGATTTCAGCAATAATTTATGAGTGTAGTATTATCTTTAAAGTGAAACCCATGTTTATTTTTATGTGTTTATTTGCTTACACCTTCACCACCACAAGAAACCCTCCCACCCACCTTTTTTTTTAAGACAGAATTTCACTCTTGTCGCCCAGGCTGGAGTGCAGTGGTGCGATCTTGGCTCACTGTAGCCTCCACCTCCTTGACTCGATCCTCTTTGATCCTCTGGATTCTCTCACCTCAGTCTCCATGCCCAGCTAATTTTTATTTTTATTTTTTTATAGAGATAGGATTCTACCATGTTGCCTGTCACGTGTGTCCGTGTGAAGAGACCACCAACGGGCTTTGTGTGAGCAATAAAGCTTTTTAATTACCTGGGTGCAGGCGGACTGAGTCCAAAAAAGGAGTCAGCAAAGGGAGATGGGGTGGGGCTGTTTTATAGGATTTGGGTAGGTAGTGGAAAATTACAGTCAAAGGGGATTGTTCTCTGGCGGGCAGGGGTGGGGGTCACAAGGTGCTCAGTAGGGGAGCTTCTGAGCCAGGAGAAGGAATTTCACAAGGTAATGTCATCAGTTAAGGAAGGAATCGACTGTTTTCACTTCTTTTGTGATTCTTCAGTTGCTTCAGGCCATCCGGATACTTACACGTGCAAGCTTGGGCTCAGACGCCTGACATTGCCCATGGCTGGTTTGAACTCCTGAGATCAAGCAATCTAACTGCCTTGGCCTCCTGAAGTGCTGGGATTACAGGTGTGAGCCACCATGCCATCCAAGAAACCCATTTTTAAACTAAGAATGCCTTTTTCCATCAACTCATTTCCTCAACCATAAACATTTTGTGATTAACAGTGCCCAATTTCCTGGGAAAGTAACCCAGCAGGTTTGGCTTCATCTGGCCTTTATTCAAGATGAGTCACTCTGATTGGGACACCTCGAATACTGGTGCAAATACCCAAAATGAAACAAAACTGCCTGAACTTACTCATTACCCCCTTCCTTACAAAGCCAGCAGACTTCCTTTTTGTAATTTCCTTCCCCTTCAAGTTTCCTTTCCTTTCCTGTTCTTTCTTTTTTTTCATTCCTTTTTCCTTTCCTTTCTCCTTTCCTCTTTCCTGTCCTTTCCCCTTTCCTTTCTTTTTCTTTTCTTCTTTTCTTTTCTTTCCTTTCTCCCTTCCCTTCCTTCCCCTCCGCTCCCCTCCCCGCTTCTCCCTTTTCCCTCCCTTCCCCTCCCTTTCCCTTGCCCTTTCCTCCCCTCCTCTTCCTTCCTCTCCCTGCTCTCCCCTCCCTTCCTTTCCCTTCCTTTTCCTTTCCTTTACCTTTCCCTTCCTTTTCCTTTCCTTTCTTCTCCTTTCCATTATGGAAATTTTTAAACATGCACTGAAATTAGAAAGAAGCATATGATTTAATCCCCAAGTGCCCATTACATGCAGCTTCAACAGTAATCAACATTTTGCTCATCTTGTTTCATCTCTTCTCCTTATTTTGTTATTTTTACTTATTTGTTTATTGCTGCAGTATTTTAAAGTTAATTGTGAGTTTATTTTTAATGGAGTCTCTGTCTCCCCATGGTACAACTTGAGGCTGGGCAGAGGAAACCAAGCTTGATGAGTTCAGTGCCTCTGCCTGCCTCCCTGGCTCTCCATTGCCGCCTCACAGTTGGAATCAGGTGCGAAAGCTATTTCACAACCTGATATTTATTCTTCTCATAAATGTTGTTGACTACCTTCATTGTTCCACACACTTTGCTTGGCACTGAGGACAAGAAGAGAGATGGCATAGGAAGCTCTCAGCTCAGTGTGCTGGAAGATAAGTAAAAGGGCAATCCTGACGGTTTGGCCTGATTATTTCCACAGGTGGAAGAGTTTTATTTACCATATAGGCCTTCTTAAGTTTGCTTCGTAAATCTAGAGCCATATACTATTCACAAGGCCACAGAATGAACTTCTTTCTAGAAGTTTCCTTAAGAAATCTCAGACTGACTTTTAAAAGCCTCTATTATTTGCTGTTGTGAGGTTAGAAAAACCAAGCTCAAGAATCTCTTTCCACTAGATTTTTACCCACAGTACCTATACATTTGGATGAATTTCTTTCTTCTCAAGTTTCTCATATTTTCTTGAAGTTTCTTACCTGCCAAGAAGGTAAGGAACCAAGAACTAGGAAGTGACCTTCCTCACCTCCTGCAAGACTGGGACTCTGTAAGCCAGATCCCAGGTGGGTTTTTCTGAGAGGATTTTGTAGGCATTGGCTCATCAAAGCTGATTAAAGGAGCACCATTCTCAAAAGTGACATTCTGGCCCACACCTTGGTTGTGTAACTGTTTTTCTGTTATATCCTGGCAAAAAAGAGAAAAGATTCTTGCTGAACCTATTCAGATAACTATACTGTTATAAAAAGTAAGAAAGGAGGTAAGAGTTTCTGAATTCTTAGTTGGAGTATGTGGGTCAGTAAGAATCAGATATCATTTAAAAATGTTTATTTTTGATAAATATTTTAATTTTCAAAAGCTCCTAACTTATGAATTAGAGAGATTTTAAGAAGAAAGGAAAAAACCTTGTTTATATGTTCAGAATAGAACATTAAAACAACATCAACATTAAAGCAGAACTTTAAAACAATATTCCAAACAAATAACTACAACGTTTCTTTATAAGTTCATTCAGCTTTACATAATTAATTCTTATTCTGTTGAAACTTGAGTTAACTGTCATGAAGAGGTTTTTTTTTTAAATAAAAAAACTAAAATGAGTTTTGGAAATCTGGAGTCAGTCTACAGGTTTGATATAAAAAAAATTTTTTTTTTTTTTGAGATGGAGACTGGCTTTGTCACCTAGGCTTGACTGCAGTGGTGCGATCTCTATTCTCTGCAACCTCCACCTCCCAAGTTCAAGTGATTCTCCTGCCTCAGCCTCCCAAGTAGCTGGGATTACAGGCCCCCCGCCACCACTCCCGGCTAATTTTTTTTGTATTTTTAGTATAGACAGGGCTTTGTCATGTTGGCCAGGCTGATCTCAAACTCCTGATCTCAGGTGATCCACCCGCCTTGGCCTCCCAGAGTGCTGGGATTACAGGCGTGAGCCACTGCACCCAGCCTGATCTAAAAATTGTCTAAATGATGTTACATCAAAAGCCTATATCCAAGTATATGCTTTGAAGTATTAATAGTTTGAAATATCTGGTACAATCGTTTTTCATGAGGCTTTGAGACTGTCCTTCTTTATTGAAGACACAAATTGTGGCCTGTAATTTATAGCAGAGTCTTTAGGCAAACATTAGAGTAGAGCAAAAACTATCTGTAGGTGACAGAGCTTTAAAATGACTGTGGTTAGTTTATTACCAATAATTTTCAAATGTGAAAGGTTATGCAGGCTCATGATAAGAATAATGCAACTTACAGGCCGGGCGCGGTGGCTCACGCCTGTAATCCCAGCACTTTGGGAAGCCGAGGCGGGCGGATCACGAGGTCAGGAGATCAAGACCATCCTGGCTAACATGGTGAAACCCTGTCTCTACTAAAAATACAAAAAAATTAGCCGGGCATGGTAGCGGGTGCCTGTAGTCCCAGTTACTCGGGAGGCTGAGGCAGGAGAATGGGGTGAACCCAGGGGGCGGAGCCTGCAGTGAGCCGAGATCGCACCACTGCAATCCAGCCTGGGCGACAGCGAGACTCCGTCTCAAAAAAAAAAAAAAAAAAAAAAAAAAAGCAACTTACAAAGAAATTTGGTTATTTCTTCAACATATACAACCAGATAATAAAGTCATCTCCAATAATTTTTAGATGAAATATCTCTAAAGATAATGATTAAGCCTATTTCAAAGAAGAGAGTGAATATTACTTACACTGATAAAAATGTTTGAATTTTTTTTTTCTTTTGAGACATTCTGTTGCCCAGGCCGGAGTACAGCAGTGTGATATCGGCTCACTGCAGCCTCAACACTCTGGGCTCAGGTGATCTTCCCACCTCAGCCTCCAAAGTAGCTGGGACTACAGGCACGCACCACCACACCCAGCTAGTTTTTGTATTTTTAGTAGAAACAGGGCCTTTCCATGTTGCCTAGGCTGGTCTCAAACTCCTGTGCTCAAGTGATCCACCTGCCTCAGCTTCCCAAAGTGCTGGGATTACAGGCTGAATGAGCCACTGCACCCGGCCTGAGCATGATTTTTATCGAGGATGACACCCAGAATATCAGAGAGCTGGCATCTTTTCTAGCAGAGGTATAGGCTGTAAAAAAACAAAGAACTTCTTGGCAGGAGTGATTCATAAATTAGATGTGATTTTGGGGAGCTCCTTTTGTAGACTGTTGGTTCTGGAAGTTTCTGTTGCACCAGAGTGGTTGTGGTTTGTTTAACGGTTCATATGTTATTAGCAAAACTCTTCCAAGATTGCAGAAGCTGCCCAAATCACTCAGTTAGAAAGAACAAGACATAATGTGGTAACTCCCCCAGAGATCAATCCATGGACTGAACCCATGGCTATGCAGGGCCTGAACAGGTAGAAATCTAGATCAGAGAACTACAATGATTAGAGAGGGGGAACAAGGATCATAAGAATAAAGTAGCAGGCAGACTAAGAAGGGTTGGGTTCTATAGATTGTGAGCAGGTTTGTGTAGTTCATTTTACAAATGTGAATTGTGATTCTTAATAATAACTAAAAATACCTATCTTATATATTCAAGATTGTTTTCGGAATCACTGGTAACCAATTGTTCTCTAGGTCCATGAGGAAATGATTTCACCTGGAACACATTATCAGGGTCTAGGCAGATGCTAAAAAAGAAAAAACAATGGGTGGAAGTCAGCAGATCGGGGCCTCATTCCTGTTCTGCCACTCGCCACCTATGTGGCCTCAGGCGAGTCACTTAACAGCTTGAGGCCTCAGTTTTATTGTAAAACCAAAGAAGTAATTTGAGACCTTCTTACTTGGTGGGGAAGTTGTGAGGATCACATGAGGTTACTTATGTGAAAATGAACTAAAATGTAGCACCATCTGTTTAGGTCCCCAGAAAGCCCAAACAGCACTTTTATATGAATGAGAAGAAAGGCTCTTCCTCCTGGTGAAGTCAACTCAGCGCTAGTTTGTACAGTTTGTTTACAGAGTATAGGTTAGGTTTTCATTTCTATTTACCCCCTTTGCTGGCTACCCTTAAGCAAACCATAATCTTCAGAAATGTTTCTGTAAGAAGAATTATACTACATAATATCATAAGAAAGCCTTTTCTAGGAAGATGTTTAATAGGCTAGGTCCCTCTGTGTTTGGTGGGTAGACTGACGCTATGATCTGCACACAATTGAGCACTCTGGGATCCTGATGGAAGACCGTGCTTAGATATTGGGTCATCTCAAATAACATGGCAGTTTCTGAAAAAGTGCCCCCTCTCCCACCACAGACTTTGTTTATCTGGTGGGCATGTGAACGACAAAAACCGTAGGAAAAAAGATAATGGCTTCTTTGGGACCCACAAGAAAAGCATTGTTCAGTATTCCTTCCCTTCTGCTGTTCCCATGTCTCGCATCCCAAGAGAGACCTCATACCTGGAAAGCCTCCATCCCACAGCTGAGCTGGATTCTTATATCCAGTCAACTGGAGCAGCTGCAATTGCAGAATTAAGGAAAAACTCATGTGTGCACAGTGTAGCGAGACACTAACCATTACTGATTGTTTCAAACCGCTGGTTCTCAACCACGTCACCAGATCCAACCTTTCATAGCAAACATGTTGTTTCCCTTTTACTATCCTGAAGTGTAATTCATAGATAACATAACACATTTACACACATAAACCTAGGTGATCTATTCTCAGTCTTAGCACTCAAACTATTGCTCTAACAAATATTTTCTTTCACTCCTGCATTACGCTTTTCCTCTCTACTGTGTCTTTACTATCAACAAACAAGCTATTATTTCCCCCATCTTAAAAACAAACAAAACAAAGTTAAAAAAGAATCTCTGGACACTGTCATCCAGTCTCATGTCTTTAGATACATAACCATATGCCTTTATGTCTCTTTATGTCTCAAATTTATATTTCCAGACTAGACTCTTCAGAACTCCAGATTGCTGTATCCACTATGTCCAACTACCACTTGACATTTCAGCTTGCAGGTTTTTTTCTTTTCTTTTCTTTTCTTTTTGAGATGGAGTGGAGTTTTGCTTTTCTTGCCCAGGCTGGAGTGCAATGGTACGGTCTCGGCTCACTGCAACCTCCATCTCCCGGGTTCAAGCGATTCTCCTGTCTCAGCCTCCAAGTAGCTGGGATTACAGGTGCCCTCCACCAAGCCAGCTAATTTTTGTATTTTTAGTAGAGACGGGGTTTCACCATGTTGGCCAGGCAGGTCTTGAACTCCTGATCTCAGGTGATCTGCCTGCCTTGGCCTCCCAAAGTGTTGGGATTACAGGCCTGAGCCACCATGCCCGGCCAACTTGTAGTTTCTATAGACATGTTAAACTTAACGTCAACATGGGGTTGAGTTGGGTGGAGGAAGATTGCAAAGATACACACCAACGTGTAAATAACAGTAGGATGAGGGTCTTGTGTGTGTATTTGTGTGTTTCTATATACTATTACATAAAACTTCTATAATGAGCATTAACATTTTGAAAAACTTTTTATTTTGAAATAATTATAGATTCACAGAAAGTTGCAAAGATGGTACAGAGAGTCCCCATGTACCTGTCAACAGTTTTCCCCAGTGGTTATATCTCACTTAAAGAGTACAATATCAAAACCAGGAAATAAACATTAGTGTGGTGTGTGTGTGTGTGTGTGTGTGTGTGTGTGTAGTTACAAGTCATTTTATTGTGTGTTTATTCCTGTAACCACCACTGCAATCAAGATACAGAACTATTCCATCACCACAAGGATCTCCCTGGTGATACCTCTTTGTAGTCACGCGTATATCCCTATCCCCATGATCCTTGACCCTGCAACTATGAATCTGTTCTCCATGTTATGTAAATGGAATCATACAGTACATGGCTGCTTGATGATACATTTTTTTCATTTAGCATAATGCCCTTGAGATGTATCTAATTTATTGTGTGTATCAATAGTTCATTCCTTTTTACTGCTGAGTCATATTCCATGGTACATGTACCATGGTTTGCTTAATGCATCACCCATTGAAGAACATTTGGATGGTTTCCAGGTTTTGAATATTATGAAGAAAACTGCTATTTTATTTCTGTACAGGTTTTTATGTGAACATATGTTTTCATTTCTCTGGGTTAAATGCCAAGGAGTGCAATTGCTGGGTTGTATGGTAAGCATACACAGTTAGACAGAAGGAATAAGTTACAGTGTTCAATAGCACAGCAGGATGACCATAGTTATCAATAATTTATTGTATATTTCAAAATGATTAGAAGATTTGGAATGTTCTCAACACAAAGACATGATAAATGCTTGAGGTAATGGATATCCCAATTACTCTGACTTGATTATCGAACATTGTATGAATGTATCAAAACCCCACAAATATGTACAACTATTATGTATCAGTAAAAAAAGGAATCTGACAAACTGTTTTACAGAGTGGCCATAACATTTATATTTTCACCATTAATGTATGCGTGTACCCAGTTTCTCTGCCTCCTTGCCGGCAGTTGGTATTTGCGCTATTTATTCTTTTAGCCATTCTGATGGATGTGCAGTGACATCTTGTCACTCCAGATCTCTGAAGTTCTGTCTGCAATTCTGTCCTCTCTGGTACTGTGCTCTGTGAACTCCAGTTGCCTTGGCTTCCTTGGACCCCCAGTTTTATCTCCTCAGCTCAGGAAGACTGGCGGACTCTGCCTGGGTCTCCCTCTCTGTGCCACAGCCTGAAAACTCTTTCTAGGAAATAAGCTGGGAGAATTGTAGGGTTCAGTTTTAACATCAATCTTTTCTACCCCTATCTCTTTACACCTATCTATCTGTCTGTCTATCTATCTACCTATCATTTATCCACCATCTATTTATTTATCATAAATTTTTCTTAACTACAAGCCAAGGGTTTTAGTATCAGAACTGCTATTAGTTATCTGTAGCATTTGGGACATTAACTTACTTGAGCCACTTCTTTGTTGGTGAAATGAGGGTCATCTTATATCAGCCTTCTCATAATTCCTTCTGAGAGATTCCAGGATACTGGTTGACTCTTCTAGAAGATACAGTGAGCAGTGTTGGTAGCTACGGTCCTTAGTATGTGCTATTTCTAAACAGGAAAATGATATTGATTGGGTGGGTAATGAGCATGTGTTGGTAATTGCTATGTAAGAGCAATAACAACAACAACTAATACATTTAGCCTTTTACATGCAGTGTCTTATATAATATTTACAACAGCCCTGTAAAGTAAGTGCTACTATTATCCAAATTTATTCATTTTTTATTTAAAAAATTTTTTTAGTATTATAAACCACTTTATGTCCAAGAACGATTCAAATTTAGAAGACGAGAAAACTGTAGCCTAGAAAAAGAAATAAAAATGAAAATTAAAAACCTGTCCAGTCTAAAGGTTATACTTACACAGACTTAGGTTCTTTCTTTGTATTTAATTAAAGGTTAATTTCAAATGATCTCTAGTAGTAACAAAACTCTTTAGTTATAAAGAAGCAGGTGATGCATGGTTGTTGAATACATTACCCCTGCTGACCTTAGACTGCTGCTGGGCTCAGCAGATAATTCTTGATTTTCTCTTCACATTGCAAATAGACCTCACCAGAATAAATGGGCAGAATAGACACCAAAGAGGGATAGCGCAAGCAAATGTGAGGGTGAAATGCAGTCAGTGCCTTGCAAAAGGAAGTGCTCAATACTGGTAGTCGGTGTCATTGCTCTTACTGCAAATTATAAACACCAGCACTGCAAAAGTCAGCCCAGTAGACTTTGTAAATCACAGAAGTGGCTCCTAGACCACCATTTGAAAAATTCTGCCTGAAGGACTAAGGAAAACATCTTCTTTTATTTTTATTTTATTTTTTTATACCACAGTTTAGGAAAACATCTTCTTAAAAGATCGTGTTTATGTCTACAGATGATTTTTATAGTGCCTTAACAGTCTCCAGAGTGGTTTTAAAAATATTATCTCAGAATGTCAATTTCAGCTAAAGAAGTGAACCTTAGGATCAACATTGTAACCCTCCTGGTTTTATTCACCCAGAGTATAGGGACTGATAATGATAATGCTGCTTTGGATAGTCTCCTATCTAGGGCTAAATGATCAGATTTGCAAAATCCAGATATTCTTATGGGAATGTGGTTATTGGCTAGGGGAATGGAAAGAGGGAGTAGAGAGTGGAAAACTGGATAAAGTTATAGGTAAAGATATGTGAAAACTCATGATTGTCTCAAATACTCTAAATCTTGTCATAATACACTTGTAAAGTAATAATCATGTTGGAGAGATGGCCAAATAAAGGCCAAAGATCTTGACACTGCAGAAATTATAGGAGAGGATTAAAGGAAGTACATGTGGCAGATATAAGAAAAGACTAAACTTGAGATTCATGCACAAGGTCAGGCTGCATAAACCACAGGATAGCGGGTGTAACTCAGGAGCAGAACAATTGATCCATGAAACAAAACTGTCTGCAGTTTCCCAGGCTGGAGAGATTTCCCGTCTTGGATGTCTGGATCTGTCTCAGTGCCCAGATAGCCTCACTTCAAAGTGTTTGTGGGAACAGAAAGAATTGGCTGAGTGTGTTTGTTCAGTGCTAGGCGGAGGAAGTGAAACGGGGAGTGGGTTTAGGAAGTAAGTGTGTGTTTAAGAGCACGTGGACCACCAGAAGATAACCATTTTTCTTCAGACTAGCAGCCAGGGCACTGCTCACGAAGAAGGAAACCCTGGGAGGGAAGAACTTGGGGAACGAGAGGACACAAGAATCTCTGCAGCTGCTTATGCATGTACGTAAGTCACAGAGGTGTTGGGTGCCTCAAGGAACAACATGGAAGTCCTCTCTCTTTTTTAAAATAAATAATTTTTTAATAAATTTTCGAGCACTTTGGGAGGCCGAGGCGGGCGGGTCACGAGGTCGGGAGATCGAGACCATTCTGGCTAACACGGTGAAACCCCGTCTCTACTAAAAAATACAAAAAATTAGCCGGGCGCGGTGGCGGGCGCCTGTAGTCCCAGCTACTTGGGAGGCTGAGGCAGGAGAATGGCGTGAACCTGGGAGGCGGAGCTTGCAGTGAGCCGAGATCGCGCCACCGCACTCCAGCCTGGGCGACAGAGAGAGACTCCGTCTCAAAAAAAAAAAAAAAAAAAGGAATCTGTCATTACAACCTTCTCTCACAAAGAACTCCAGGCGCAGACAGCATCACCACAGCATTCTACCAACCATTTACAGGGAAAGTAATGCACGTCCACAAAACTCTTCCAGAAAGACAAGGGAGCACTCACCAGCTCCTGAGGCCAACGTAGCCTCAGTCCCTAACCCAGCAAGGACAGCAGCGGAGAGGAGCTCACAGGCCAGCCCCCGCCACACGTACACACCACTGCGAGGCTCCAAAGCTCAAGCAGCGTGTATCCAGCGAATACAACAAGAATAATGAAAAAGCGTTATCTGATCAATTGCTAGAGGAGCAGAAGTAACTCTGGCAAACCTCACTGAATGTGAATCCTGAAAGTGCCTTGATCTGCGGTTCTACAAGTTATGGTGCTGGAGGTCTCAGCCAATGCTGTAGGGTAGGACAAAGAAAGAGCTCCAGTGCCAGACAAGAAAAAGTAAAACTCTGATTGATTCACCCATGAAACAGTGTCTGTGTTTAGAAACCCCAAAAGAATATATAGACAAATCATAAGGATGAAAAAGTGAGTTTGCTCCCTCTCCCTCTCCCTCTCCCTCTCCCTCTCCCTCTCCCTCTCCCTCTCCCTCTCCCTCTCCCTCCACGGTCTCCTTCCACGGTCTCCCTCTGATGCCGAGCCAAAGCTGGACGGTACTGCTGCCATCTCGGCTCACTGCAACCTCCCTGCCTGATTCTCCTGCCTCAGCCTGCCGAGGGCCTGCGATTGCAGGCGCGCGCCACCACGCCTGACTGGTTTTCGTACTTTTTTGGTGGAGACGGGGTTTCACTGTGTTGGCCGGGCTGGTCTCCAGCTCCTAACCGCGAGTGATCCGCCAGCCTTGGCCTCCCAAGGTGCCGGGATTGCAGACGGAGTCTGGTTCACTCAGTGCTCAATGGTGCCCAGGCTGGAGTGCAGTGGCGTGATCTCAGCTCGCTACAACCTCCATCTCCCAGCCGCCTGCCTTGGCCTCCCAAAGTGCCGAGATTGCAGCCTCTGCCTGGCCGCCACCCCGTCTGGGAAGTGAGGAGCGTCTCTGCCTGGCCGCCCATCGTCTGGGATACGAGGAGCCTCTCTGCCTGGCTGCCCAGTCTGGAAAGTGAGGAGCGTCTCTGCCCGGCCGCCATCCCATCTAGGAAGCGAGGAGCGCCTCTTCCCCGCCGCCATCCCATCTAGGAAGTGAGGAGCGTCTCTGCCCGGCCGCCCATCGTCTGAGATGTGGGGAGCACCTCTGCCCCGCCGCCCTGTCTGGGATGTGAGGAGCGCCTCTGCTGGGCCGCAACCCTGTCTGGGAGGTGAGGAGCGTCTCTGCCCGGCCGCCCCGTCTGAGAAGTGAGGAAACCCTCTGCCTGGCAACCGCCCCGTCTGAGAAGTGAGGAGCCCCTCCGTCCGGCAGCCACCCCGTCTGGGAAGTGAGGAGCGTCTCCGCCCGGCAGCCACCCCGTCCGGGAGGGAGGTGGGGGGGGGTCAGCCCCCCGCCCGGCCAGCCGCCCCGTCCGGGAGGTGAGGGGCTCCTCTGCCCGGCCGCCCCTACTGGGAAGTGAGGAGCCCATCTGCCCGGCCAGCCGCCCCGTCCGGGAGGGAGGTGGGGGGGGTCAGCCCCCCGCCCGGCCAGCCGCCCAGTCCGGGAGGTGAGGGGCGCCTCTGCCCGGCCGCCCCTACTGGGAAGTGAGGAGCCCCTCTGCCCGGCCAGCCGTCCCGTCCGGGAGGGGGGAGGGGGGGTCAGCCCCCTGCCCGGCCAGCCGCCCCGTCCGGGAGGGAGGTGGTGGGGGTCAGCCCCCCGCCCGGCCAGCCGCCCTATCCAGGAGGTGAGGGGCGCCTCTGCCCGGCCGCCCCTACTGGGAAGTGAGGAGCCCCTCTGCCCGGCCAGCCGCCCAGTCCGGGAGGGAGGTGGGGGGATCAGCCCCCCGCCTGGCCAGCCGCCCAGTCCAGGAGGGAGGTGGGGGGTCAGCCCCCCGCCCGGCCAGCCGCCCCGTCCGGGAGGGAGGTGGGGGGGTCAGCCCCCCGCCCGGCCAGCCGCCCCGTCCGGGAGGGAGGTGGGGGGGGTCAGCCCCCCGCCCGGCCAGCCGCCCCGTCCGGGAGGGAGGTGGGGGGATCAGCCCCCCGCCTGGCCAGCCGCCCCGTCCGGGAGGTGAGGGGCGCCTCTGCCCGGCCGCCCCTACTGGGAAGTGAGGAGCCCCTCTGCCTGGCCAGCCGCCCCGTCCGGGAGGGGGGAGGGGGGGTCAGCCCCCCGCCCGGCCAGCCGCCCCGTCCGGGAGGGAGGTGGTGGGGGTCAGCCCCCCGCCCGGCCAGCCGCCCTGTCCGGGAGGTGAGGGGCGCCTCTGCCCGGCCGCCCCTACTGGGAAGTGAGGAGCCCCTCTGCCCGGCCAGGACCCCGTCTGGGAGGTGTGCCCAGCGGCTCATTGGGGATGGGCCATGATGACAATGGCGGTTTTGTGGAATAGAAAGGCGGGAAGGGTGGGGAAAAAATTGAGAAATCGGATGGTTGCCGGGTCTGTGTGGATAGAAGTAGACATGGGAGACTTTTCATTTTGTTCTGTACTAAGAAAAATTCTTCTGCCTTGGGATCCTGTTGATCTGTGACCTTATCCCCAACCCTGTGCTCTCTGAAACATGTGCTGTGTCCACTCAGGGTTAAATGGATTAAGGGCGGTGCAAGATGTGCTTTGTTAAACAGATGCTTGAAGGCAGCATGCTCGTTAAGAGTCATCACCACTCCCTAATCTTAAGTACCCAGGGACACAAACACTGCGGAAGGCTGCAGGGTCCTCTGCCTAGGAAAACCAGAGACCTTTGTTCACTTGTTTATCTGCTGACCTTCCCTCCACTATTGTCCTATGACCCTGCCAAATCCCCCTCTGCGAGAAACACCCAAGAATGATCAATTAAAAAAATAAATAAATAAATAAATAAAATTTTCAACTTTACAAACAAATGTGATAATAATTCATGGAACTCATGAATATTCTTTATCCAGGTACATTATTTTTTTAAACTTCCCTTATTTATTTATTTATTTATTTATTTATTTATTTATTTAGAGATAGATTCTCACTCCGGTTGCCCAGGCTGGGGTGTAGCAGTTGGATCATGGCTCACTGCAGCCTCAACTTCCTGGGCTCCAACCATCCTCCCACCTCAGCCTGCCTGGTAGCTGGAACTGAAGACACACGCCACCAAGCCAGGCTAATTTTTTCATATTTTTTGTAGAGATGGGGTTTCACCATGTTGCCCAGGCTGGTCTCAAACTCCGGGACTCAAGTGATCCACCTGCCTCGGTCTCCCAAAGCACTGGAATTGCAGGCATGAGCCACTGCGCCCAGGCCCCCTATTTATTTTTTATCATTTTCTCTCTCTCTCTGTAAACACACACATGTATACATATCCATATATCTATATTCCGAAGCATTTGAGAGTATATTGCATATGTTGTGCTCTTTTCCTGCTTAATATTTCAGTGTGCATCTCCTAAGAAGAAGGATATTTTCTTAAACAATCAGGGTACAGTTTTACATTCAGTATATCAAATACATATATACAGTGATTCTCCCTACCCAAAGTTTCAGTTACCCATGGTCAACGACGGTCTGAAACTATTAAATGGCAAATTCCAGAAATAAACAATTCATAATTTAATGTTGCATGCTGTTCTGAGTAATGTGATGAAATCTCTCACCGTCTCACTCCATCCTGCCTGGGATGTGAACCATCCCTTTGTCCAGCGTGTCCATGTTGTAGACACCACCCACCCATTAGCTACTTAGTGGCCAATATCAGATGCACCGTCACAGTATCTCAGCGCCTGTGTTCACATAACCCTTATTTTACCTAGTAATAGCCGCAAAGTGCAAGAATGATGATGCTGGCAATTCAGACACGTCAAAAAGAACCCGTAAAGTGCTCCGTTTGAGTGAAAAGGTGAAAGTGTCTCAACTTAATAAGGAAAGGGGGGAAAAACATGCTGCAATTGGTAAAATCTACAGTAAGAAAGAATCTTTTATCTGCAAATTTTGAACAGTATATTGTTATAATTATTCTATTTTATTAGTTGTTGTTAATATATATTACTAATTTATAAATTAAACTTATGTAGATATGTATGTATAGGAAGAGAACAGTACATATAGGGCCTTAGACATTCACTGGGGTCTTGGAACATATTCCCTGTGGATAAGGGGGACTGCCATAATACTCTTATCTACTACAGAGATCATACTTTTATCAATTGCCTCAATAATGTTCTTCATAGCAATTTTTTTTTTTTCTGGCAGGGAATGTGTCTCTTTGTTAAGGGGATGAGACTGGCCTAGCAAGACAAAGATGCATGCTCAGCTCTCCTTAGGATCTTCTTTTTTTGAGACAGAATCTCACTCCGTCACACAGGCTGTAGTGCAGTGGCACCATCTTGGCCTTCTCACGGGTTCAAGCAATTCTCGTGTCTCAGCTTCCCCAGTGGCTGGGACTACTGGTGCGTGGCACCATGCCGGCTAATTTTTGTATTTTTAGTAGAGATGGGGTTTCACCATGTTGGCCAGGCTGATCTTGAACTCCTACCTCAGGTGATCCACCTGCCTTGGCCTCCCAAAGTGCTGGGATTATAGGCAGAAGCCACCAAGCCTGGCCTCCTTAGAATCTTTATGAGTAGGGGAACCCCCAGCAGGTCAATTGTTTGATTTTCTTTGGTTTCATTCTTATTCCATTTCTTCCCTGAGAGTATAAACCTAATCAGCAAGACTACTCAGATGTTAAGAGATCTTTAATAGTAGAAGGAATCTGGCTTAACAAGATGTAGCTTTAGCAGGGGCCTGAGATGTAAAGTTGGACATCTTCCCTCCAGCCTCAGCTTAGGAGTAAGAATGGACTGTGGTACTTTTTCTATTCCTTTTTATCTTTTGTGGGGAAGGTGGGTAACAAGAAGAGTAATAGATATTTGAATAAGCAAAAGCAAATTTGGGTTAAAAATAAAGAGATGGTCTTCTGTGGTAAATCTAGTCCTATATTGACAATAAGGCTTTCTACAAGAATTTCCCTAAAGGAGAGTGTGACACTGTACACGCTTGTCTTCTCAATCATTCTCTGGTTATTTGGCACAAATTTCTGTTTAAGAATCAATTGATGTCAGGGGCATGGTGGCTCACACTTGTAATCCCAGCACTTTGGCCAAAGTGGGATGATTAATTGACCGCAGGAGTTTGAGACCAGCCTGGGCAACATAGCGAGACTCGTCTCAAAAAAAAAAAAAAAAAGAGCTGGGCATGGTAGTGTGTGCCTGTGATCCCAGCTACTTGGGAGGCTGAAGCAGAAGGATCACTTGACCCTGGGAGATTGAGGCTTCAGTGAGCTATGATGGTGCCACTGTACTCCAATCTGGGTGACAGAGCAAGATCCTGTCTCAAAAGGAAAAAAAAAAAAAAAAGAATCAATTGATGTCAACTTTCCTCACTGATTTCCCATATGTAAATTACCTCAGAACTGCTTCCCTTGGTCATCTCCCTACTCTTCAAGAGAAGAAACATGAGGAAACTTCCACATTTTATTACACAGCAACAGGGAATGTGGTAGGGAGGAACAAGAGAAATGGGAATGGAAAGAGAAATCGCTGCCTTGAAGAGGGTAGAGTAATGTGCAGAAGACACAGGAGACCCCAGATACAATGCTGTAGGGCTTAGTGAGATTACAGTCTCTACTAGAGCCAATTTTGATCTCAAAGTCACGTTCTTCCATTTCCCGCTTCCTCTCCAGGCAAAATGAAGCTGAATCTGGTGCAGATCTTTTTCATGTTGCTGATGCTGCTGCTGGGCCTGGGGATGGGCCTGGGGTTGGGACTTCATATGGCTACAGCAGTCTTGGAGGAGAGTGATCAACCGCTCAATGAATTTTGGTCCAGTGACTCACAGGACAAAGCTGAGGCCACTGAGGAGGGAGACGGCACCCAAACCACAGAAACGCTGGTGCTTAGCAACAAAGAAGTGGTGCAACCTGGCTGGCCAGAAGATCCCATCCTCGGTGAAGATGAGGTTGGGGGTAACAAGATGCTCAGAGCCTCAGCTCTCTTTCAGAGCAACAAAGACTATCTTAGGCTTGACCAGACAGATAGAGAATGCAATGATATGATGGCACACAAGATGAAGGAGCCCAGTCAGAGTTGCATAGCCCAGTATGCATTCATCCATGAGGATCTAAACACAGTCAAAGCTGTCTGTAACAGTCCTGTCATTGCCTGTGAGCTCAAGGGGGGAAAATGTCACAAAAGCTCCCGACCTTTTGATTTGACATTGTGCGAGCTGTCCCAACCAGACCAGGTCACTCCTAACTGCAATTACCTAACTTCTGTTATAAAAAAGCACATTATTATAACCTGTAATGACATGAAGCGCCAGTTACCAACTGGACAATGAAGCAACTCATCATCTTTTTTCTCTTCACCTTCTCCTGTTCCTCTTCCTTTTTTACTTCTTCTTTCTCATATAGTTCTCCTGATCTTAGGTATCATGCAGATGGAATTCTTCCTTGCCCTATGGGTCACCCAACTTGCATTTTGTTCCTAGGATTAGAGATGGTAGGATAAGGTGATGATGCCTAGTTTCTCTAAGCTCTCTGCCTCTCCTTTCCCTTACCCTGGAAAGGAGTAAGTGAAGAGCTGCTGTAGTCCGTACTGTAGTCCTGGCCATCCATTTGTTTCCTGCTCTGCTCTGAGTTTGTCTCTGGATGTGGACTGGAAGAGTTTAGTGTATCCTTTACCCATGTTCTTCCCTGCTGCCCACCCTGAGCCTCTACAACAATCACATAAGACTCTTGGGTTTTGCACAACTGCACTTCTCTATTGCGGATGAAGTTAAAGTGATTCTATCTGTAATGGCTTCTGGAGGACCATGTGGAACAGGCTTCCTTTTCCGAGCTTGGAAAAATTTAGGGCCTAGGTATGGGGGTCTGCTGGGGAGGTGGTGTGGTGCTGTAGAGCAAGATAGAAGATGGGCTGGAGCAAGAATAGAACTCTTTTTTCTTGACCCTTCACTGCCCTTTTCTCTTTCTTCCCACCTTTTACTAGCAGCCTCCTTGCTTGGCTTCTTGTTTTCATCTCTTACCTTTGCTTTTGTCCTTTGCTTCTTTTTCTCCTTACTTTCTCTGTTCTCCTTTTCCTCTTCTTTTTCTTTTTGGGCCCGCTCTTCTCTTTATCTGGATCCTTTTAGAGATTCAGTCAGCCGATACTGATCACTTATGCTATGTTGGTCCTATAGTCAGTCATGCAAGCAGATGTTCGTCCTATAGTCAGAGTCTGGCACAGGGAGTTAGAGGGGGGTGGGTCAAGAGAATGAGAAAAAGAGAGAGGAAAAGAGAGAAAGAGAAAGAGAGAGTGAGAAATCTTTTTTGAATTATGTCCAGAAGCAGAATAGTGCTCATATGAGGTGCCCAGTAGATGTGGGATGAATGGGATGGGAGACAGTCTTTTTCTCATTTAGCATCGTTTCCGCTTTATTGCTCTAAAGAACAAGAAAGTTAGTGAAAGAATAATTTCAGCAGAGAAGGTATCAAACTTAATCAAGGAGAAGAGAAGCTGTGTGGCTGGATACACAGAAGATGCAAGTGGCTGCCCTCAGCCTATTTCCTCTAAATTCAAATGAGAAATAGTGTAGTTAGTCATGCATAGGGAGAAGAGGAATCTGAGAACATAGCTGTAAGGATTCACCGTGTGACTGAATTTTGAGATTTCCTTCCCCTAGAGTTTTTCTCTGCTTCACATTCCTAGACTATTATAGACCCAAGTCAGGGACATACATAAATGGGAGACTGAAGGGAAGAACGGTTTGCTTTACTCTGACCTGGCTTGCATTTTCCTGTTCTTTCTGTCTTTATTCTCTTTATCCTTCCTGTTTTCACAGACAGGCAACCACTTTAGTATCCTCCTAGACGTCCCTGATTCAATATATCCCTTATACCTCTGACTCACTTCCAGCAATAACCTCTTAGGAACAGTGTTGTCTCCCAGGGAATTCTAATAATAGTGGACAGGAGGTATGTCTCCATCTGTGGGCTGGCCTGATGTTTTAGAGGTGGTAATGAAGTGGTGAAAGGTGATGACCCAGCCAAGGCAGATTCCTATGCTTCCTGAGGGCGAATCCCTCTCCGGGGAAAGAGACAAAAGATTATCTAAGGTAAGGGGGAAAAAATGAGAAATAGGATGGGAAGAGGGGAAAGAAGAATAGGTGTCAGAGAAAATCGGCCACGTTAGCAATCTGTCTGGTAGGTAAACCAAGGATTTAGGAATGAAATGTGAAAGATCTCCATTGTATGGAGTGAATTATTAAGAGAATGGAATTAGCCAGGGATTAAAGCCTATATTCTCTAGTATTCAGATGTGGCTCCATCCTCTTCAGCTTCCGTCCAGCTTCTCTCCCTAAGCGTTCCGGCACTGTTTGATGGGCATACTCATCTCCTCCGGGTCTTCACTTTGGGCAAATCTCAGTGGGTCATGTTTTTCTTTTGTTTTGTTTTGTTTTGTTTTTGTTTTTTTTGTTTAATCTGACCACGTAGACTATCGCAGGAAAGCAATTTACAAAATACTCCACAGGCGCCTAGTGGCTCAAGCAGGAAAATATAGCTTCCATGGCTGATAACAGGGTGACAAGGCATTGTGGGGACCTCACCTCCCAGGGGCAGAAAATTAACTCACTGTAGCTCAAATTCTGCCTCATTCACAAGACTTTCACCGAGTCTTCTAATTCCAATGTAGCTTCCTCTCTACACTTCCAGGATCTGTGTTGAGCCCATATGACAGATCCCAGTCCCTTATCTACAGTACCCAAATCTCTGAAGCTCTGAAAATGGAAAGTTTTTTTCAAAGTGGCCCCAAAACTCATTTAGATATGACACCTGACTAGATTGACAATGTGAGGCTATTTATCTTGTTTATTTATGCTATGTGACCATTACATATTTCACTGTGGAAATATCACTGTGTTTTGTTATGAGTAGGTCCTTCTAAGAGTGTGTTAGTCATATATGATATAAACATACACACATTAACATACAATAGTGCTTTTTAAAATCTGAAAATGTTGGCCAAAATGCATTGGCCCCAAAAGTTTCAAGTAAGAAATTGTGGGATCTATATATACTATTTAATTAGCCTTAATTAATTTGAGTATACTGGATATGATCCTAGTTAGGCCACTAGCACCTTTGTGGAAGGATCTGTATTATAAGTTTCTTCTATATTCTTCATTGACACATTTATTAATCAATGACTATCTACCTATGGGCCAAGGGATGTCTCCTCTACTGTTTGGAAGACACTCAAATATTGTCTTCAAAACACTCTGTACAAGTTTTTGGCCAGGTGTGGTGGCTTATGCCTGTAATCCTAACACTTTGGGAGGCTGAGGTGGGAAGAACACTAGAGCCCAGGAGTTCAAGACCAGCCTGGGCAACGTAGGGAGACCTCATCTCTACAAAAAATAGAAAAATTAGCCAGGCGTGGTGGCACATGCCTGTAATCCTAGCTATTTGGGTTAGGCTAAGGTGTGAGGATTGCATGAGCCCCAGAGATTAAGGATGTAGTGAGCTATGATTGCACCACTGCACTCCAGCCTAGGTGACAGAGTGAGACCCTGTCTCAAAAAAAAATTTTTTTTAAGTTGTTCTGAGCTTTGCTGCTTATTAACATTACTGTCCAGGAATGGTGGCTCACGCCTGTAATCCCAGTACTTTGGGAGGCTGAGGCAGGTGGATCACCTGAGGTCAAGAGTTCAAGACTAGCCTGGCCAACATGGCAAAACCCCATCTCTACCAAAAATACAAAAATTAGCCCGGCATGGTGGTGCAAGCCTATAGTCCCAACTACTTGGGAAGCTGAGAAAGGAGAATCACTTGAACCTGGGAGGTGGAGGTTGCAGTGAGCCAAGATCATGCCATTACACTCCAGCCTGGGCGACAGAGCAAGACTCTGTCTCAAAACAAGCAAACAAACAAACAACAACAACAAAACATTACCTTGGGGAGTTTAAAAATTTTTTAATTAAAAAAAAGTTACAGGGCCCTCTTCTAGCAATATTGGTTTAATTAGTCTGAGTTGGAGCCTAGACATCAGGTGGGGTCCAGCATCTTGGAGCCTACCAGTTTTCCTGTGAATTAATGTTTCAAAACTGTTAATAAAGATGTTGAACTGCTCAGGTTATTAACTAATATGATGTGGTGTGATGTAGGAGAAAAGAACCAATTCTTGGGATAAACGTGAGAATATCTCAGCTCTGCCATTCAAAAAAAAAGCAGCTGTGACTATGGGAATTGCCCTCAGCTCTCAGAATCTGAGGTTTCTTATCAGTAAAATGAGAAAATGATCATACCTACTTTATAGGGTGGCAGTGAGGATTAGATGAGATTGAACAGCCCATGGTAGGGTTCAATGAATGGCAGCTGCATTTGGTGGTGATGCTGCAGGGCTCACTGCCCACGGAGAACACATAATATTTTGACGGAGTCCTTCTGGAAGCAGCACTATGACACGAAGTGCAATACCATCAGCACAGGTTTGAGTTTCAGGTGTGTTGGCAGTATGTGGACATGTGGGATCTTATAGGATTTTTAAAATTTCATTCCTTGGATGGCCACAAAATTTATATTCTAGGGCCAGTAGAGTCCTTAGACTTGAGCGAGCAGGGCCACTGCCCTCAAGGGTCCCTTTGGAGTGCCTTCCATACAGGAAGTTACCCCACTACAGTATCTGGGACTGGCTGAGGCCAGCAGTGCCATGTGGGTAGGGTGCTCTGAGCTTAGACTAGGACTGGTGTGGGCCCGGGTCCCATTTCTCCCCTTTGGAGCACTGTCTCCCCACTGCCATGTGTGGGGTCAACTAGGTGCTGCAAAAGAGTTCTGGGACTTGGTCAGGCGTGGTGGCTTATGCCTGTAATCCCAACACTTTGGGAGGCCGAGGCAGGTGGATCACCTGAGGTCAGAAGTTCGAGACCAGGCTGGCTAACATGGTGAAACCCTATCTCTACTAAAAATACAAAAAAAAAAAAAAAAAAAAAAAAAGCTGGGCATGGTGGCAGGCACATGTAATCCCAGCTACTTGGGAGGCTGAGGCAGGAGATTTGCTTGGACCTGGGAGAGGGAGGTTACAGTGAGCAGAGATTACAGGCATGAGCCACCGCTCCTAGCCCCAATGGGGCATTTCCTGTCAATGTTCTCTCTTGCCTCCAACTGGTGGGTGATAACATGCTTTCTTGGGTTGGTCTTAATCTGTGCAAGATGAAGGATAATCACTCCTTGCATGAACAGGATGCTTTTTTCACTCTGCCCACGGGTCTCTTGCTAGTAGCAATGTGTGGAAGGTAGGAATGTGGTTAGTTGTAAAAGAGGTCACGTTCTAGGAATGCAGTAATTACGGCTTAAAGAGTTCAAGAGAAAATATGATTGGAAGATATGTTTTATGTTTATACTACAAAACTCCAAATGGCAAATTCTACATGGCCTGAAAATTAATTATCATTCTCATTTTCTGGCATATTCTGGATAAGACTTGCATTTGTGATCATCACCAACAACATAAAGTAATAAAGTAACCTTTGAGAGAGTCATTGGAAGTTGGTATTTAGGCCATAAACTGGATAATTCCCTGTCATGAGTAACACTATAACTGACATTAAATGGCATTAGGAAACTACAGAGGCAAGAAGATACAAATTGTTTCAATTTAAATAGGTTTCGAAGAGCTGTAGCAGTGTGATACCCTTTTTTCTTGTGGTTGGAGACATGAAATATTCAAGAATGGTGCATTTGACAGTAAGGAGTGTGAAGAAATGATTCCTAGATCTAACAGGAAGAGATGATATCTGGACAGTCCGAAGAATCTCCATATACATTGATGGGACAATAAAGAAATATATAGTATCTCTTTCTTTTCTCATTATTCTAAAACTTCATTGACAAATCATGATACTTCACTTGGGCTCATAAATTTTGTAATATATTTAAACATGAAACTGTTTATATAGATAGGGCCCTCTTCCTCACCCTTACCCCCCAAAAAATTTAGCCAGGGCCACACACAGTAGAGGCAGCTCTGGTTGTGGCTGTATCCAAGGTAATGTCTCATGTGTTATGTCCTTATTAGGCTCTCGACAAGAAGTCATCTCCTCGCCTTCCTCAAGTGCTCAGTCTACCAAGCAGGGTAGCCTCAGTTGGTTCTTTTCAAGCCTCTCTTTCCCATGAAATGAAGTTACGTTATCCAGCAGAGATTCATTGCTGGTGGGGTCAAAAGGAACTCCAGGGCACAGAGTTTCTGTCATTTTCAGCAATGCTTTGATTTAGCGTGGAATTTGTTGATGTTCCTGCCTCCATTTCCTGTATCCTACGCAGAGACCTGCCTTTCTCTCCTCTTCACATTTTTGCAATGGGCTCCAGTTTGTTTTCAGAAAGTGATTCACATCCCAGAGACGTCACTTCCAGGAGCAGCTGGGCTGATTCTTTATAAGAATTATGATTCAGAAACCCAGTTAAGTTTGGATTTAGGGGAAAGGTAAGGGGAAGAGGAAAATGGTAATATTAAGGCCAAGCAACAGAGGCAATGAGGGAAATGTGAGTCTCATGTTGAGACATAATAGTCCATTACCTATGGAAATAGGATTTCAGGAGGTACTGGGATGCCCCAGTGTTTGAAAATGTCAGCTCTCCAGCACTAGCATGAGGTTAGTGTTTGGAATTATATCCTTATAAACTTATTGCATATCCCTATACACAAGTATATAAAATTATTAACTTCAAAAAATGGGATCTTCGGCACATTTATAAGGTGACAACAAGAAAAGAAAAAAGCAAAATAGGCCTTATTCTATGAATGCTTTTGCATGCGTTTGGCACTGTGCTACCTACTTACTGGGTATACAGTCATTAAAACAAAACAAAACAAAACAAAAGAAACAGGCTTTGCAACATATCCACAAATGAGATCCAGAGGGGATAATTGTGATAGGAAGAAGGAAGGTGATGTGATTAGAGCCAGCCCTGGGCACTGCTCTGGAAAGCTGGTCTTGCTAAGGACCAAACATACAGCAAGCAACTGTATTAGAAGACTGGGGTTAAAATAATATATTTGTAAGGTTGAGAACAGTTGATACATATAGACCTCCCTTACCAGGGAGGTGCAGCCATCCCACAGCTGCTGAGTATTCTCTGTCAAGAATTCACAGGTGCACTCTTCTCCAGAGCATAGCCTCCAGCCTATGGGGGCCGCCTTGTTGACAATGTCTAAGAGGTTATGTCCTTCCCCAGGGGTAGCCCATAGCCAATGACTGGCTGATATGGATGTGTAAGAACTTAGACCTCTTGCCTCAATCTTATGGCATCAGTCATGTTTTAGAGCTCCCCATGGGGTCAGGTTTGAGACTAGCTTTTAGCTAAAATCACTTCTTTTTTTAGCTTCTTACATACAGGTTTCTCCTAAGAGCACTCCCTCAATAAATCACTAACTCAAGAACATGTTCTTTTTTTTTTTTTTTTTTTTTTTGAGATGGAGTCTTGCTCTGTTGCCCAGGCTGGAGTGCAGTGGCGCGATCTCGGCTCACTGCAAGCTCCGCCTCCCGGGTGCACACCATTCTCCTGCCTCAGCCTCCTGAGTAGCTGGGACTACAGGCGCCCGCCACCATGCGCGGCTAATTTTTTGTACTTTTAGTAGAGACGGGGTTTCACTGTGTTAGCCAGGATGGTCTCGATCTCCTGACCTTGCGATCCGCCCGCCTCGGCCTCCCAAAGTGCTGGGATTACAGGCGTGAGCCACCGTGCCCAGCCCCTCAAGAACATATTCTAAGGAAGGAATAGGGAATTCATTTTTCTTGAAGCCCTCCAAGAGCTGAAGGTCAGGGGCCCAAGCTGGAGATCACTTCAGGCAGGTGGGCAGGGTAGACTCTAGAATGTCAGTGAAGCATAATGGTTAAGCACATGGAATCTGGAACTTCAATTGAAAATTCCAGAACTTTCATTGAAATTGTACTTCTAACATTTACTAGCTTATCTTAGGTAAGTAACTTCGATTGAAAGTTCCAGAACTGCGTTAAAATTGTAGTTCTAACATTTACTAGCTTATCTTAGGTAAGTAGCCTCTCTGGTTATACCCAGTAGAACTAACACAATGCCTTGTGCATTGTAGGTGTTCAATGTGTATATATCTAGTTGAACTCACTTATTTTTATTTTTATTTTTTGCATAGCCTATTCTCATACATTGACTAATATGCCTTTTTTTTTTTTTTTTTTTTTTGAGATAGTCTCGCTTTGTTGCCCAGGCTGGAGTGCAGTGGCTCGATCTCGGCTCATTGCAACCTCTGCCTCCCAGGTTCAAGTGATTCTCATGCCTCAGCCTCCTGAGTAGCTGGGATTACAGGCACCTCCCACCACGTCAGGCTAATTTTTGCATTTTCAATTGAGACAGGGTTTCACCATGTTGGCCAAACTGTCCTCGAACTCCTGACCTCAGGTGATCTGCCTGCCTCAGCCTCCCAAAATGCTGGGATTACAGTGTCACTGTGCCCGGCCATGACTTGATCTTCCCTGGTCCAATATTCTGGCCCCTGAATCAGTGATGTTTCCATTACACTAGGTTTCCAACTTTATTTTTCTAAATTTAAATGTAAAAAATGTTTTAGGCTGGGCATGGTGGCTCATGCCTTTAATCCCAGCACTTTGGAAGGCCAAGGCAGGAGGATCACCTGAGGTCAGGAGTTCAAGACCAGCCTGGCCAACATGGTGAAACCCCGTCTCTACAAAAAATACAAGAAAATTAACCAGGCGTGGTGGCACATGCCTGTAGTCCCAGCTACTTGGGAGGCTAAGGCAGGAGAATTGCTTGAACCCCGGAGGCGGAGGCTGCAGTGAGCCGAGATCGCACCACTGCATTCCAGCCTAGGTGACAATAGCAAAACTCAGTCTCAAGAAAACAAAAATATTTTTAGAGATGGGGGGCTTTCTATATTGCCTAGACTGGCCTTAAACTCCTGGCCTCAAGTAATCCTGTTGCCTTGGCCTCCCAAAGTGCTGGGATTATAAGGGTGAGCCACTGCACCTGACCTTTCTTGATCTGTGGTTAGTTGGCCATCTGTCATCAATATCTGAGACTATAGAAGCTCTTGATAAGAGCTTCATGTGTTTTAGCTATTATGGTAGCCTTAAAATGTGTCCACACAGTCACTAATGCTCTTCCCTCCAAAAGGTGAGCTTAATCTCTCTCTCCTTGAGTGTGACTGAATTC